>NC_000008.11:22890405-23193435 GCF_000001405.40 Homo sapiens | reverse complement strand
CCCACAAAGGACAATCACCTGTCTGGATGCAAATGTCAAATTTCAAAGGCAGTTCTTCGGAAGTAATCAGGAATGTGGTTGGGGCCGGCTGCAGTGGGACCTGAGAGAGACTGAAACTCACCTCCAGCCAAAGTTAGCGGGGCAACTGCTTGGGAGGGCTTCTGAGTCTCCTGGCCCATGGCAGCAGAGCCATGAGCAACACTTTCCCAGCCAGGGAACCAAAACCTGTTACCAAAACCTCAGGGGTTTGGTCTAGGTCCCGCTGCTCGCTGCACAGAAAGCCAGTCACTGAGATGATGAGTATTGCCAAGAAGGCTTTAATAGGGTGCTGCAGTGGAAGAGATGGGAGCTCAGTCTCAACTGTATCTCCCTGACCAACTAAAACTAAGGGTTTATATAGGAGGCAAGAAATGTAACAATGTGTAAGAAAGTAGGAGCTAGAATGGGGCAAGGAAACAATCAAGATGAATGAGGGGTCCCACATCCCATCATGGTCTGGATGTAGTGATCTGGTGAGTTTCAGTTCTTTGCTACTTTTTTTGAGATGCTTGCAGGTCTTTCCTGAGGAAGTAACTCAGATAAAACAAATGTTAAGTTTCCAGTCGTTAAGGACCAGAAGGGTCAATTTCTGTTTATCAAAAAAACCTTTCTATGGGACAATTGGGTCAGTTTCAGTTTTTGTATACTCATTGCATATTAAATTATATTTTACACATATTCAGTACCACACATTAAAATGAATGTCACTTTTTTCTTTTTATGTTCTTTAAATGAGGCTGTTAGAAAACATAGCTTGGTACTCCTGGCCCCTTCTATCCCTGTGGATGGTGGTGTGCAGTGCTTTGCACACACATCTCATTTCATTCAATCCCTGGTAGTCCTGAGATCTGGGCAGGTTTGCTCTGTCTTCAGGTTTGCTTCTTGGTCAGGGCCTGCTTGCCCCCACCTAGCTCTGCCCCAGCCTCAGGGAGGGCAGAGGTCCCCTGCCCCAGACCCTGCACTTTCCACAGATGCAGAAGTGGCCACCCTGGGACATGCTCCCATGACAAGCGCAGCCCAGGCAGCCCGCATCCTCTGAGCTCCCGCTGCAGCCACTCTCCCTCCCTCCCTCGGGCTCTCACCCACTTTGCTTTCTGCCTCCGTAGGGTCAATCCATCCTCCCCAGGTGGGTTCTCAGCCCTCTCTGAGGGCAGATTCTCTGGTGACCTTGACGCCCGTCAGCGCCTTGGGGGCCACAGAGGCCAGGCAGTGTGGGTGGGCTCTCTGTGGATGGGAGGTGGGTGGGCAATGGAGCAACAGGTTTGCCCATGCAGGGGGCTCTCCAGGTTCTCTCCTTGGGTTCTGGGCCTGATGTGGGATCCTCTGCCCCTTCTGAACTGAGTCCCAACTCATCTGGCTGTCTCTGTGGCTTTCTCCACCCAGCTCTGATGCTGTTCTTTGACAAGTTTGCAAACATCGTGCCCTTTGACTCCTGGGACCAGCTCATGAGGCAGCTGGACCTCACGAAAAATGAGATCGATGTGGTCAGAGCTGGTACAGCAGGCCCAGGGGATGCCTTGTATGCAATGCTGATGAAATGGGTCAACAAAACTGGACGGAACGCCTCGATCCACACCCTGCTGGATGCCTTGGAGAGGATGGAAGAGAGACATGCAAGAGAGAAGATTCAGGACCTCTTGGTGGACTCTGGAAAGTTCATCTACTTAGAAGATGGCACAGGCTCTGCCGTGTCCTTGGAGTGAAAGACTCTTTTTACCAGAGGTTTCCTCTTAGGTGTTAGGAGTTAATACATATTAGGTTTTTTTTTTTTTTAACATGTATACAAAGTAAATTCTTAGCCAGGTGTAGTGGCTCATGCCTGTAATCCCAGCACTTTGGGAGGCTGAGGCGGGTGGATCACTTGAGGTCAGAAGTTCAAGACCAGCCTGACCAACATCGTGAAATGCCGTCTTTACAAAAAAATACAAAAATTAACTGGATGTGATGGTGTGTGCATATATTCTCGGCTACTCGGGAGGCTGAGGCAGGAGAATCACTTGAACCCACGAGGCAGTGAGCTGAGATTGCACCACTGCACTCCAGCCTGGGACACAGAGCAAGACTCTGTCTCAAGATAAAATAAAATAAACTTGAAAGAATTATTGCCCGACTGAGGCTCACATGCCAAAGGAAAATCTGGTTCTCCCCTGAGCTGGCCTCCGTGTGTTTCCTTATCATGGTGGTCAATTGGAGGTGTTAATTTGAATGGATTAAGGAACACCTAGAACACTGGTAAGGCATTATTTCTGGGACATTATTTCTGGGCATGTCTTCGAGGGTGTTTCCAGAGGGGATTGGCATGCGATCGGGTGGACTGAGTGGAAAAGACCTACCCTTAATTTGGGGGGGCACCGTCCGACAGACTGGGGAGCAAGATAGAAGAAAACAAAAAAAAAAGGAAAAGCAAATCCATCTGATCTCCTGGAGCTGGGACACTCTTCTGCCTGTGGACATCAGAGTCTAGGATTTCTAGCCCTTGGACTCCAGGGCATACACCAGTGGCCTCCCGAAGGATCTAAGGATTTTGGCCTTGAACTAAGAATTACACCATCGGCTTCCCTGGGTCTTAGGTTTTTGGGCTGGATTAAGTCCTGCTTCCAGCATTTCAGGGTCTCTGCTGTGCAGATGGCCTGTTGTGGAACTTCTCAACCTCCATTATCAGATGCATTAATTCCTCCAATAAGTCCCATTTCATATATAGTCATTTACCCCACAACATTTCAGTCAAGGGAACAGCATATAAGATGGTGGCCGTCCAGTAAGCTAAGGTTAATTTATTAATTATTTAATTTATTTACCTTGAGTTCAAGTCACAATTAAAGTACATATACCTTTGGAAATTTGGACTTTTGTATATAAAAGTACTTTTTTTTGGCGGGGGCAGTGGGCAGCTCTCATCCTAAACAAATGTGTTATTTGGTACCTATGCAAAGATTTGGTTAAAAGAAAGAAAAGAATTGCTTCCATAAATGGAGCATTTTCTTAGAAAAACTGGAGCCCATCTAAATGTTTTTCAAGGTCACGTGATCTGAGATAATCTTTAGTAAATAGAAAGCTAGTTTAAGTTTCTTGGTTTAATTAAAACAGACAATTCTTAAGAGTTGTCAACATTATTTACAGTTCACACATACAACTTCTACCTGGATTTACTAATCAAAACACTTACGTGTGGCCGGGCATGGTGGCTCACGCCTGTAATCCCAGCACTTTGGGAGGCCGAGGTGGGTGGATCACAGGGTCAGGAGATCAAGACCATCCTGGTTAACACGGTGAAACCCCGTCTCTACTAAAAATACAAAAAATTAGCCGGGCGTGGTGGTGGGTGCCTGTAGTCCCAGCTACTCGGGAGGCCGAGGCAGCAGAATGGCGTGAACCTGGGAGGCTGAGCTTGCAGTGAGCCGAGATCGTGCCACTGCACTCCAGCCTGGGTGACAGAGCGAGACTCCGACTCAAAAAAAAAGAACACTTATGTGTCTTTAAGATCATAAAACTGTAAATTCAACTGAAGAACAAAATGCACAAGGAAAAGATAAATTTCTTGATATATATGAAACACAAGAAAGAAAAAGAAGATTGAAAAGAGCCATATGTTTTCAATGTATGTTTCTTTGTATTTTGTGTGTTTTTATGTGTTTATTTTTGTGTTTTTTTATGTTATGTGATGTTTGTGTATTTTTGATATTTTTATAAGATGTCTACCTCCTTTTTTTTTTTTTTGAGACAGAGTCTCTTGTCACCCAGACTGGAGTGCAGTGGCAACGATCTCCACTCACTGCAAGCTCCGCCTCCTGGGTTCACACCATTCTCCTGCCTCAGCCTCCTGAGTAACTGGGACTACAGGCACCCACCACCAAACCTGGCTAATTTTTTGTATTTTTAGTAGAGACAGGGTTTCACCGTGTTAACCAGGATGGTCTGGATCTCCTGACCTCGTGATCCACCCACCTCGGCCTCCCAAAGTGCTGGGATTATGGGCGTGAGCCACTGCACCTAGCCAAGATGTCTACTTTTAAATATTTTTATATTTAATTTTTGGTAACTTAAAAATCTTATATTAACCTAAGTTAAATGATGGTTATTTGTATTAGTCTGTTTTCTGTTGCTATCACTGAATACCTCAGAGTAGGGAGTGGGTAATTTATAAAGAAAATAAATTTATGTATTATGGTTCTTGGGGCTAGGAAGTCCAAGGGCAGTCAACAGGCCAAATCTAGGGAGGGCCTTCTTGCTAATGGGCTCTGATATGGTTTGGATCTGTGGCCCCACCAAAGTCTCATGTTGAATTGTAGTCCCCAGTGTTGGAGGTGGGGCCTGGTGGAGGTGATTGGATTATGAGGGCAGATTTCTCATAAATGTTTTAACACCATTCCTCTCGGTACTGTCCTTCTGACAGTGAGTGAGTTCTCATGAGATCTGATTGTTAAAAAATGTGTGGCACCTCCCCATTCTCTCTTCCTCCTGCTCTGGCCATGTGAAGTGCTGTCTTCCTTTGCCTTCTGCTGTGATTGTAACTTTCCTGAGGCCTCCCTAGAAGCCAAGCAGATGCCAGCATCATGCTTCCTGTACAGCTTGTGGACCTGTGTGCCAAATAAACCTCTTTTCTTTATAAATCACCCAGTGTCTGGTACTAATTTATAGCAATGTGAGAACAAACTAATACAAAGTCTCTCTGCAGCGTCCCAAGTTGGTGCAGGAATTATATGGCAAGGGGACTCACTGAGAGACAAACAGCCTTTTACAACAGAGTCACACTGTATTAGTCTGTTTTGCATTGCTATAAAGAAATACCTAAGCCTGAGTAATTTATAAAGAAAAGAAGTTAATTAGCTCACGGTTCTGCAAGCTGTACAGGAAGCATGGCAGCTTCTGCTTCTAGGAGACCTCAGGAAGCCTCCAATCATGGCAGAAGGCAAAGGGGGAGTGAGCTGTCTCACATGGCCAGAGCAGGAGGTAGAGAGGGGAAGGTGCCACACACTTACAAACAACCAGATCTCAGGACAACTCACTCAGTATCAGGAGAACAGCACCACAAAATTGTGGTTAATCATTCATGAGAAGCCTCCCACGACCCAATCACCTCCCACCAGGCCTTACCTCCAACATCTGGGATTACAATTCAACATGAGATTTGGTGGGAACACAGATCCAAACCATATCACGCACAAATTGCAATTACTTCACACTCACGATAACCCATTAATCTGTGAAGGATTAATCTGTTCATGAAGGCAGGGCCCTCATGATGGAATCACATCTTAAAGCCCCTACGTCTGAGTACTGTTACATTGGGGATTTAGTTTTAATATGATTTTCAGAGCAGAAAAACATTCAAACCATAGCAATATGTATTGAATATCTAGATCATTTCCAAATAAGATATTAATATGATACTGAAACATTTATTGCTGAACATAAATTTAGAACTTACTTTGCCTACCTATTACAGAAGAACAAAAGATATTTGGGCCTATTAAACCTTTCCTCTGCCATTTCCTGTCCTGTGTCATAGGACTAGGAATCGTGTTTCTAGAAAGTATGAAATCGTGTGCTTGCAAACTTGGAAGAAAACAGTTCATGACTGCATACCTTCTAGTTCTCTAGTGTTCACTGGAAATTAAAGACACTAAAAGTTAACAATTCTTATTAATTAATCATATTAATGTAATTGGAATTTCTAGAAATATTAGGGGAAGCAACTTTATACGCAAAGCATAACAGAAAAATAAGGTGTATTTTTTCTTTGAAACCTATGAAATATACTGGCCAGGCACGGTGGCTCATGCTTGTAATCCCAGCACTTTGGGAAGCTGAGGCGGTGGATCACCTGAGCTCAGGAGTTCGAGACCAGCCTGGCCAACATGTTGAAACCATGTCTCTACTAAAAATACAAAAATTAGCCAGTCATGGTGGCAGGTGCCTGTAACCCCAGTTACTCCGGAGGCTGAGGTGGGAGAATCGCTTGAACCCAGGAGGTGGAGGTTGCAGTGAGCCAAGATAGCACCACTGCACTCCAGCCTGGGCGACAAAGCAAGACTCTTTCTAAAAAAACAAAAATGAATAAACAAAAAAACTATGAGACAGAAAAGATGGGTTTTTGTTAAAATAAAAAATAATATTGTTTTAGTTTGAAAATTATTCAAAGGTTGTTTCAAAATGAATCAATAAAAAACATAAAACTGAATGGATATTGTCTTAGTCTATTTTGTGCTACTATAACAGAACATCTGAGACTGAGTGATTTACGTAAATATGCAGATTGATTTTTTACTGCTCTGGAGGTTTGGAAGTCCAAGGTCAAGGGGCCCATATTTGGTGAGGGCCTTCTTGTGGCCTCATCACCTGGTGAAAGGTGGAAGGACAAGAGGGCATACATGGGAGGAAGGGAAAATGTGCAAGAGGGGGACAAACTCACTTTTATAACCAATCTACTCCTGCAATAACGAACCCACTCCCACAATAATGTATTAATCCATTCATGTGGGAAGTACCCTCTTGATCTAATCATCCCTTAAAGGTCCCACCTCCCCCCACTGTTGCATTTGGAATTAAGTTTCCAACACATGAACTTTGGGGGCACACAAAAATCACAGCAGAAATAAAAAGTTAGAGAAAACAAGAGAGAATCATATGTGCTCAAGTTAATTAAACCGAATGAATTTATTATAGTACTTTTAAAAATGAGCTTAAATACTGAGTGAACTGACATAAAACTAAAATTTGAATTTCTCTGTTAAAAGGACAAAATAGGCTGGGCGCAGTGGCTCACGCCTGTGATCCCTGGACTTTGGGAGGCCAAGGCGGGTGGATCACCTGAGGTCAGGAGTTTGAGACCAGCCTGGCCAACATGGTGAAACCCCATCTCTACTAAAAATACAAAATTAAACGGGCATGATGGCAGGTGCCTGTAATCCCAGCTACTTGGGAGGCTGAGGCAGGAGAATCACTTGAACCCACAAGGCGGAGGTTGCAGTGACCTGAGATGGGGCCATTGCTCTCCAGCCTGGACGACAGGGCAACACCCCATCTCAAAAAAAAAAAAAAAAGCAATACAGAAGGTTACATGAATGTAAAAAACCTTTTAGATCTCAGTCTTTCTAAACAATTAAAAACCTAATAAAGGCAACAAATGAGTTATTATTATTATTACTATTATTATTATTTTGAGACAGGGTCTTGCTCTGTAGCCCAGGTTGGAGTGCAATGGTGTGATCACGGCTCACTGCAGCCTCCACCTCCCAGGGCTCAGGTGATTCTCCCACATTAGCCTCCCAAGTAGCTGGGACTACAAGCATGTGCCACCATGCCAGCTAATTTTTGTTTTTTATTTTATTTATTTATTTATTTATTTTGAGACAGAGTCTTGCTCTGTCACCAGGCTGGAGTGCAGTGGCGCGATCTTGGCTCACTGCAACCTCCGCCTCCCTAGTTGAAGCGATTCTCCTGCCTCAGCCTCCCGAGTAGCTGGGACTACAGGCACACGCCACCAAGCCCAGCTAATTTTTGTATTTTTAGTAGAGATGGGGTTTCACCATGTTGGCCAGGATGGTCTTGATCTCTTGACCTTATGATCCACCCACCTCAGCCTCCCAAAGTGCTGGGATTACAGGGTAAGCCAAGGTGCCCGGCCTAATTTTTTCTTTTTGGTATTTTTGGTAGCTGTAAGGTTTTGCCATATTGCCCAGGCTGGTCTTGAACTCTTGGGCTCAAGTAATCCACCCACCTTGGCCTCCCAAAGTGCTGGGATTACAGGCATGAGCCACTGCACCTGGCTGGGAATTATTTTGATAAAATGTAAAATATTGTTTCTTAGGCTGGTTACGAGAAAGGGAAAGAAAAACCTGCAGTCTGACTGTTCCTCCTTATGGAAAACCCATCTAGAAAATGCTAGTGTTTTCTATTGATAGACAGTTCAGGACTTTTTGCTTCCTAGTTTTCACTAAAATTTAAAGTTACTAAGGATAACAATTGTAGTTAGTGTATAATTCTGTACATAAGATTTGCCAAAGATGTGTTCTTATTAAGAAAAAGAATAAATTAGTCTAATTCAGAAGTTATCTAAAGGTTAATTCTAATTATGGACTTGCAAAGGTTATTTATTAAACAAGGTAGAAAGGAACCAGTAAGTAGGGGAGAGAGATGTGAAGTAAGTTATGGATTTATGGGAGGCGTGGTGGCTCACTGTGGGAGGCTGAAGCAAGTGGATCGCTTGACCTTAGGAGTTCAAGATCAGCCTGGGTGACCTGCCAAAAAGCTCATTTCTAACAAAAAAAAAAAAAAAAGGAAAAGAAAAAAATTATGGTGAAGATATATTTTTGGTAATGAAGGTTAGAAAGAAAAGAGAATAACTTTGTATGAGAAAAAGTCTTGTATGATGAATATATGAATATGTTCTAATATAAATTGAATGATTATTAAAACAAGACAGAAAAAAATTTAGGACAAAATAGAAAGTCCTAGTATGTCATCAATGATCCATGCAAGTACATTGTAAAATATTCTTTAAAATCTGATAGAAAATTGAAAAGTTTGGCTAATTGACATTGCTCGTGGTTAAAGCGCTTAGTCTTGATGAAGGTAAAGTAAGAAGTATTGTAAAGAAATACACTGGCAGTTTGCCAATTCTTCTTTAATATAGTTCATCATGAAGTCCTATTTAACAAGGGGCCACATTTCACACCCACGCTTGCATTGCTTTGTTTCACACTGTACTGCTCTTTTGCAGAGATAGTACTAGCAATAAAGTACTTACTGGTCACATGCCTAAAGTGAATTTCTTAATTGCACAAAATATACAGTGGGATTGGTGGACTTAAAGACATTAATTCGTAAACCAGGAATAAAATATTCTTTTTTTTTTTTTTTTTTTTAGGCTCTGGGTAACATGGTAGCCTCCAAGACAACTGAGTAGGAAAAAAAATTGGGGGTTGGTGTCCTGTTCATTTGTTTTTGCTTTTAATTTGCATTTAGCTGCTGTTTGTTTTCCTTGGGGTTTGGCTTATGCATACAATTGTAAGTCCATTGTCGTGTTTTAGTTTCTTTTCTTTTTTTTTTTTTTTTTGAGATGGAGTCTCGCTCTGTCACCAGGCTGGAGTGCAGTGGCGTGATCTTGGCTCAATGCAACCTCCACCTCCTGGGTTAAAGTGATTCCCCTGCCTCAGCCTCCCGAACAGCTGGGACTACAGGTGTGCGCCACCATGCCCAGCTAATTTTTGTATTTTTAGTAGAGACGGGGTTTCACCATGTTGGCCAGTGTGGTCTCGTTCTCTTGACCTCATGATCCACTCGCCTCAGCCTCCCAAAGTGCTGGGATTACAGGCATAAGCCACCGTGCCCGGCCGTGTTTTAGTTTCTAATGGAAGGCTTGTATTTGGTTCTATGAACAGCCATTTTGTTTCCTATGCATTTCCAACCATTTATCATTTGCTCTATTTACCTAAACTTCCTAAGCTACCTTGGTCAAACCTGCAAAATCGAGAGAGCACACCAGCCATTTAAAATTGGATTGGTTTTGCTTAGCTCTGATGATCTAGAGAGATAGAAGAACTTTAAGCTTCCTGTTAAAAAAAAAAGGCTTACAAGTCCAGCAGAAAAAGAACATTATTGATTTTGTTATCTGAAAAAGCAAGTGAGAGGAGAAATGTTCAAATGGCATTTCTTTTCATGGAAATTCAATTCCATCAATTTAAGTTGGTTTCAGATCCTTTTCTTTAGGCAATGAAGAAAAACTGTGATACGGGCACAAAGTTTTAATATTCAGGAAAGATTGGCCTTGCCCTTCAGAAATTTATACTGACTAGAATTTCTCTAAAATTGCTTTAGTTGTGTTTACCATAACTAAGTGACATTCACTTGGGTTAAGCAGTAATTTTAAAAGTGAGACTTTTCTTTTTTTTTTTTTTTGAGATGGTGTTTTGCTCTTGTTGCCCAGGCTGGAGTGCAATGGCGTGATCTTGGCTCACTGCAATCTCTGCCTCCCTGGTTCAAGCGATTCTCCTGCCTCAGCCTCCCAAGTAGCTGGGATTACAGGCACCTGCCACCATGCCCAGCTAATTTTTATATTTTTAGTAGAGATGGGGTTTTGCCATGTTGGCCAGGTTGGTCTTGAACTCCTGACCTCAGTTGATCCACCCGCCTCAGCCTCCCAAAATGCTGGATTACAGGCATAAGCCACTGTGCCCAGCCAACTTTCTACTGATTTTTTATTCCAACCCTTTTATTACATTTAGGCCTTCATGTGTGTACTTGAAAATAAAATATATACAAGTGTTGCACCAGTTTGAAGTTTCTAGTGGTGAAACTTACCTAAGCAGTTGTCTAGATTAACAATCTTGGAAAGGTGTGATGACGCTTTTTTGAAATAGTTGAAATTATTCTGTGCTTGTTCTTAACTCTGTCCCTGTTTTCTTGTACAATATTTAAGAGAAGGAGATTATCCTTATTCTGAATTTCGAAAACAGATATCCGCATTTACCTTATTTTTTTGTTTGTTTTTTGAGACGGAGTCTTGCTCTCTCACCCAGGCTTGAGTGCAGTGGGAGAGTCTCAGCTCACTGCAACCTCTGCCTCCTGGGTTCAAGAGGTTCTCCTGCCTCAGCCTACCAAATACCTGGGATTACAGGCACACACCACCACACCCAGCTAATTTTTGTATTTTTAGTAGAGACAGGGTTTCACCATGTTGGCCAGGCTGATCTCAAAGCTGTGACCTCAGGTGATCCACCTGCCTTGGCCTCCCAAAGTATAATCCCAAAGTGGGATTACAGGCGTGAGCCACCGTGCCTGGTTGTATTTAGCTTTTTTTTAAATAATGGAGAGGAAAGTTAGTTGTCTTACTTTGATAAGTTTGGCATAAAACCTATCACATTTTTGATGCTTTCGGGCACAGTTCTGTCACTAGATTGTTGGCATTAGACATATGCTATAAGTAACCTAACCACTTTAATATAATGGTTTGAAGTGCCGCAGGCAGTAACTACTGGACATGGTTAATCTGTGACATGTTAGAGAGAATGCTAGGACTTCCTGCAGTGTAAAATCCTGTTAACCAATCCTGTGCTGTCAAGTTAAAGGACTTTGACTCCTGGGTCTGAAAAAGGCACCAACTCTTGCTTAATCTTTTTTTTTTTTTTTTTTTTGAGACAGAGTCTCCATTTGTCACCCAGGCTGGAGTACAGTGGCGTCATCTCGGCTCACTGCAAGCTCTGCCTCCCATGTTCACACCATTCTCCTCCCTCAGCCTCCTGAGTAGCTGGGACTGCAGGCGCCTGCCACCATGCCCGGCTAATTTTTTGTTTTTGTATTTTTAGTAGAGACGGGGTTTCACTGTGTTAGTCAGGATGGTCTCGATCTCCTGACCTCGTGATCCGCCCGCCTCGTCCTCCCAAAGTGCTGGGATTACAGGCGTGAGCCCCCGGGTCCGGCCAACTCTTGCTTAATCTTGAACATTGGCACCAGTCAAAGCTTCGTCTTCAGACCCAGGAGAAGGTGACAATCAAAATGAAGTGCCTTCATGAGACACAGGGCAAGAAATTAAAACTATTCAATCCCTTTAGGCCCAGGGACTATTTTGGAAGAGATGGGCATGTGAGATTGTAAGGACTGATTCTGAGGGATAAAATAAGTCTGGAGTTTTTCTACAAATTAAGCATTAAGATCAAAAGCACACTGATGCAAGGCCAGAGTCTGGGCCCCTGTATCAGAATAACAGGGTTTCCTTGGATCACTGATTTGCTCTTTAATAGAAAATTGTAAAACATTATAGAAGGTTTATGAAAATCTTACATTATGGTCAAACTAATTAAAATTAAATAGATTAGTTGCTATGGGTTTATTAAAGTGAGTTTTAACATTAATAACACACCATACAAGGGTAAAAACTTTGTTGTTTCTTTTGAAGAAAACGTTTGTGTAATATTAATAAGAGATGATGTTGCTATGATTCATCTTTGGTGGAAGTGGGGGATGGAGAGAGAAAGATTGTATTTCAGAAGAAAACTGTAGGATTAGATTAACCTGTGATTCCTGAGTGGCCACGAGGTCACCCATGGTGGCCTCCTCAGCTTGAAGCAGCCAGAAAGATCCAGGGCCAGGTTCCCCGGGATTGAGGAATTAATAAGTAGAAAGGAGGGACTGAAACAGACCCAACTGTCTCATAGGATCGATGTTTATGGTTTATTTGAAAAATCATAGAAATTGATCCTCCCAGTGTTAAAACTTGAGAAAGTTACATTAGTCTTATCTAACTTCCTTTCTCAGGAAACCCACCATCAAGCCTCCCAGACAGTGTCAAGGAACTGAAACTTCCTGAAATCATTGCATTTCAACAGTGAAATGCTACACTCTTCATCCACTATGATTGCCTAACCAGCCAGGTGGTTCCCGTTGACCCACTTCTCTTCATTACTCCTCTCTAATTCCTGTTTTTCCACACATGGTTACATTTCTTATCATGACTCTCTAATTCCTGTATTCCTACCTATGGTTAAATTTCTTCCCTGCTATATAAACCCCTACATTTCCGTGGCAATACTCAGTGTCTCAGTGCTTGACCTTCTGTGTTTCAAGCAGCAGGACCTAGACCCATCCTCAGGTGTTTCAGTAACAGTAACAGCTTGCCTATGGACAATTTTCATGCCCGTGGGTATATGGGGTGCTCAGAAAGTTCACCAGAACACCTGATGTAAAGAACACAACAGGAAATTCATCAAAATTGCCACGACTTCTTATCATTCCACCATCTAAAGATGCTTCAAGCCCAACATCTAGAAATCTCAACTGACTGTCCTCTGGACTCAAAAACTGGGCTTGTATAATTTGCTCCAACCATTAACCTTTACTTTTCTTTCGTTTCCGTAGAAATGCCTCTTATTAAATACTGATTGACCACACCTTATAGAGGCCTAACCTAGATGAAGGACCACCTATAACATCATCTCCTAAAATGAGATACAACTGCCTAACTGGACAAAACTATTCTCATGACTAAGAGACTTATTCAATAAGATATGGGTCGCCTGTAATCCTAGCACTTCGGGAGGCTGAGGCGGGTGGATTGTCTGAGCTCAGGAGTTTGAGACCAGCCTGGCCAACACGGTGAAGACCAGCCTGGCCAACACAGTGAAACCCCATCTCTACTAAAATACAAAAAATTAGCCAGGCGTGGTGGCACACACGTGTAATCCCAGTACTCGAGAAGCTGAGACAGGAGAATTGCTCAAACCCAGGAGGCGGAGGTTGCCATTAGCCAAGATTGCGCCACTCCACTCCAGCCTGGGCGACAGAGTGAGACTCCATCTCAAAAAAAAAAAGCTATGGGACAATATAGTTAGACTTATGTCTTGCCTGTTCCAATTTATATTCCGTTTTCCTTTATAGGTCTCTTGCCATTCAGTTACTAACCTGATTCTACTCTCCACAGCCATCAACTTAACTTTTAATACATGAAACAACCTGGGAAGTTCCAGATGAGAGAAATGAAGGGGTTAAAATATGCTAATCTAGCATATTGACTATTTAAGTTAAAGACACTTGGAAAACAGCAAGTGAGAAACGATCACTTTGACCCTCCTGTTGTTTCTTAAAAGTAGAAGATGGCCGGGCGCAGTGGTTCATGCTTGTAATCCCAGCACTTTGGGAGGCCGAGGCGGTGGATCACGAGGTCAGGAGATCGAGACCATCCTGGCTAACACAGTGAAACCCCATCTCTACTAAAAATACAAAAAAAATTAGCTGGGCGTGGTGGCGGGAGCCTGTCACCCCAGCTACTCAGGAAGCTGAGGCAGGAGAACTGCGTGAACCCAGGAGGTGGAGCTTGAAGTGAGCCGTGATAGCACCACTGCACTCCAGCCTGGGTGATAGAGCGAGGCTCCATCTCAAAAAAAAAAAAAAAAAAAAAAGTAGAAGATGAAATTTATATGGGAAAGATTCCCTTTCTGTACTAGAAAGATGGAACATTCCTATCTGCAAGGAAGAGAAGTTGAAACAGAGGATTCTGAACAGACCTTGTTAAAAATAACTTATCTTTTAAACTTCTTTACATAATTTAATTGCTTCTCCACAACTCTTTTTTGATCCAATTCAGTGCATGAGTAACTGACTCTAACTACTTCATTGGATCTTCATTTCTTTATGGGGGCTCCCAATGATCAATGTTATGTCAGTTTAACTCTGCAACCTAGCTGGGACCCTAGGAGGATGAAAGGGAGTTTATCCAGCCCTACAATAGCAACCAAAAGAGGGCTTAATGAAAAAAAAAGTGATGGAATTTAACAAAGCGCATTAGTTTTAGGACTACTGTAACGAATTGCTGCAAACTTTATGGTTCCAAAAAATTCACCTCACAGTTCTGCAGTCTAGAGGTTCAAAGTCAAGGTGGTAGCAGGGTTGGTCCCTCTGTGGGCTGTGAGGAATAATCCATGCCTCTCTTCTGGTTTCTGGGGGCTGCTGGCTATCCTTCACCTTCCTTGGCTTCCGGGTGCTCACTCAGTCTCCATCTGTCTTCCCAGGATGTTCTCCTCTCTGTGTGTCTCCCTATCTCTTCACATGGCCTTCTAAGGACACCGGTCACTCGGTTTAGGGCCCACCCTAACCCAGTATGACCTCTTCTTAAGTAATTATATCTGCAAAGAACCCATTTCTAAATAAGATCACATGGCTGGGCACAGTGGCTCACACCTACTTTGAGAGGCTGAGGCAGGCGGATCACGAGGTCAGGAGTTCGAGACCAGCATGACCAACATGGTGAAATCCCGTCTCTACTAAAAATACAAAAATTAGCCAGGCGTGGTGGCACGCACCTGTAATCCCAGCTACTCAGGAGGCTGAGGCAGGTGAATAGCTTGAACTCGGGAGGCAGAGGTTGCAATCAGCTGAGATCATGCCACTGCACTCCAGCCTGGGCAACAGAGTGAGACTCTGACTCAAAAAAAAAAAAAAAAAAATCGCACTCACAAGTACCAGAGTATAGGGCTTCAAAATAAGCTTTAGGGAGACAAATTCAACCCACAAAAGCATACAAAGTAAATATGGTCCATGTACAGGGAAAGAAGAGATTGACAGATACCTGGGGAAGTTGAGATATTGGTCTTATTTGGCTTTAAATCAACAGTTGTGTTGGGGTTTGTTTGTTTTTCTGACAGAGTCTCGCTCTGCTCTGTCATTCAGGCTAAAATGAAGTGGCATCATCTCGACTCAATGCAACCTCCACCTTCGGGGCTCAAGCAATTCTAGTGCCTCAGCCTCCAGAGTAGCTGGGATAACAAGAGTGTGCCACAATTTCCTGGCTAATTTTTATATTTTTAGTAGAGACACGGTTTCACCATGTTGGCCAGGCTGGTCTCAAACTCCTGACCTCAAGTGATCTGCCCAACTCCACCTCTCAAAGTGATAGGTTTATGGGCATGAGCCAACGCCTCGCCTAAATCAACAGTTTTAAGCATGCTCAAATATCTAAAGGAAGTGTGTGTGTGTGTGTGTGTGTGTGTGTGTGTGTGTGTGTTCTAGAGGATTGCGGAGGATTAAAACAATAGCTCGCAGCCCGTGGCTTCAAGGGTGAGGCTGAGGAGCCCATGGGCAGGGGCTGCAGGGAAATATTCTAGGGAAACCCAGAGCAGCACCTGCACCTTTCTTCTGGGGAAACATTGATGCATCTATAGATATCTATACATACCTGTATCAACATATAGAGAATATCCACAAAGATATAGGAAATATTCGAAGGTTCCCAGTAGAAATCCTGGGACTGAAAAAAATATAATAGCTGAAGTGAAAAATCCAGTAGAGAAATTCCACAGCAGATTTGATCAGGCAGAAGAAAGAATCCGCTAATTTGAAGACAGGAGAAAAGAACAGGCCAGATAGCCTCTGCTGTGTGCAAGGAGGGAAGGAACTGCTTCACAAAAGCAGACCTTCCCTTGCTTGTCTGTTCTCCTACTAGAGAAAGCAGTAGATGATCATATCTGAAGAGTATGTTGGTAACATCAAACATAAAAAGAAGGCAATTAAGGGTAAAATCCTGAGATATGTGTGAATTCATGACCAAATTAACTATGGAAACTTACATAAAGGAAGTGTAGAGGTTTTGTTTTTCTTTTTGCCCCTGTCCTCCCATTCTTCCCTGAAACAGCTCTGAGTAACACAGGCTGTGTTCTTGCTGTGACTCACACCTTCCTGCCTTCTCTTCCTTCAGGCTTGCTGAAGTCGGTGTGGGGTTGTTTCCTGCCTCTGACTCCCTGGAACTTAAAGTGACAGAGTCTTGGGGACTTGAATCCAGCACCTCCTTCTTCCCCTCCCTTTGGAGACAGGGACACTAGCACTGGGCTGGCTCACCCACAGCCTCCCGGGGGGTCCTCTGGCTGCACCTGGGGCTGCAGTTGGGCTCTGACAGAGCCGTCAAGGAAGGAGCAGTGGGTCCTCCTGAGAGGTGAGCTGGCCCTGGTTGTTAGGAAAGTCCTGTGGTCACTCTCCTGTGGCTTCCTCCAGCCCTGGCCCGATCTTCGCTTTCTCCCCTGAACTTCCCTGCATCCTCATGAGTGGGACCAGGTTGCTCAGCCCTGCAGGCATCTGGGAGACCCATTTCCTGTTTTCCTTGCCCTGGAGGAACCCCTCCCTCTTGCCTATAGCTCCTGGGAGGCCCAGGCGTGCTCCCATGCTGTTCCCCTTCCCCAGAGGGAAGGGAGTACTGCTCCGGGTCCCCCCTGCTTCTCACTTGCCCTCCCCATGAACTCCTCGGCCTCACTTGAAACCCTGGGCTGTGAGCTATGGTTTGAACCCTCCACAATCCTCCAGTCTCATCTTTCCTCTTCTTAGACTTGACCTTTCTTTCCTCCTGCTCTATTCTTCCTTTTTCCCACAAGCCAGCACTAGGCAGGGCTCACTGTGTGTGATACTTCATTACAGGCGACTCATTCTTCAGCTCTGTGCCCCTTTTCCTAACATTCGGACCCTGCCCAAAGCCCCCCACAAAACATAAAGTTAATAAACATCCTGTGAGTCCCCCTCCAAAGATTAAGAGGATGGCCTGTGTTCTCAAGATGGGCAAAGGCGAGAGTCCAGTGTCATGCTCCACCCAAATACCAGCCCCTCTCCCCAAAACCTCTATCACCAGTATGCGAAGGGCAAAGAAGTTGTGAATATTTGAGAATACATCTTTGGCCACATTTCTAATCACATTCATTAGGCAATTTTCTAGAAGAAGTAGAATATCGGCATTAACCCGTACAGGTGCGCGCGCGCACACACACACACACACACACACACACAGCTGTGATTCCTACCAACAGTGCATCACTTTAGATCTGACATCACTGTTCTTTGGATTTCATTTTTCCTAACTAGGAAAGAATTAGTTGACTTTGATGACATTTCTCTGATATATGTTTCATATATTGGTCAGTACTTTAAATTTCTTTGTTCAAATTCATTTTTTAGGATTTGTTTTGTCTAGAAAGACAGGCTTCATGCTTCCCAAATACTAATAACAGATTTCTGGTTTTTTAAATTTGCCTATTCTTTTTGTCTTAGATTTTAACGTACTGAAATTTTAAATTTTAAGTAGCTAAATCTATAGGTACACTTATTTTTTTCTTGGTCATAAACTTAGAAAGTCCATTGCCCAACATAAAATAAAATGAACTTCTCTAATTTCTTAAGGAGATTTTATTAAATCATTAGATTTGTAGCATATAGTGATGTAAAGTCCATGGACATTACTTTTGATATAGAAAGTGTGATGTTGCCCTTAATTTTTCTGTGTTACTCTCATCTGTCCAACCCCAGTGAGCGACTGATTATTCCTTCCTCTGAACCTTGTGGTTTATGGTGTTTATGGCAGGTTCATTCCATAGCACGAAGGCGTCAATCATTAATCTATGGTGATTAATCCTCAGTCATCTCCCTGCTCTGAGCTGAGGGATGTGCTAGTGTTGAAAGTTCCATTGCTCTGATCACTGGCGGCCGGACCCTCTCCTCCAAGAGCCACCTCATGAGCATCAACTCAGGAATGCTGGAAGTCGTTTTATGATTAAAATAAATAAAGCCCCTCTCACCACAATTGCTCAGGAAACATCAGTGTTTTGAAGCTTTGGCCCCAAAACCAGGAGCAGAGAAAAAAACAGATGTTTCTTATTACGTCCCAGCCATGAATACCAAGAGAGAGGAACACTGGGGCCATTTCAGAAACTGCTTACCACAGGCCCCATGTGGGCTCAGGGGAGAGAGGCCCTGGCCTGGAGGAGGAAGAGTGAACGGGGAGTGTGAGTGACATTAAGTGTTTGCTAACGTGAGACTAGCTGGACCCTCTCTCTTCTAGTGGTCCCTGAATCAGAGCCTTAGCACTACATATTGGAGTCTGGATTGCCTGTTTCAGGAATCTGGTCTCTCAACAATCATTAGATTTCTGAATGAAGATTTAGCATAAACACCCTGTATATGATAAAACAAAATTTTAAAGATTATATTTAATTTGTTTCGAGGCCTTCACGAAAAATTTAAAGAAATTATACCACCACAACCCATATTGACATCTACTGACCCCTGGAAACCAGTAGAGGAATATGTTAGGAAAAAATATTCTGCCAGGGACCCATCTGATGTTGGCCTGACCACCTGAGCGCAGGCACTGGTCCCACTCATTAACAGATCTAAGAAACATGAGGTACCAGCCCTACTACCCAAAACCCTGAGTGCTATAGGCTCAGACAAAAAGGCAAAGTTCTAGCTAAGAAAATATTAAGAAATTGCCTGGCGCGGTGGCTCAGGCCTGTAATCCCAGCACTTTGGGAGGCCGAGGTGGGCGGATCACGAGGTCAGGAAATCGAGACCAACTAACACGGTGAAACCCTGTCTCTACTAAAAATACAAAAGATAAATTATCCAGGCGCGGTGGTGGGCGCCTGTAGTCCCAGCTACTGGGGAGGCTGAGGCAGGAGAATGGCGTGAACCCAGGAGGCGGAGCTTGCAGTGAGGCGAGATAGCACCACGGCACTCCAGCCTGGGCAACAGAGCGAGACTCCATCGAAAAAAAAAAAAAAGAAAATATTAAGAAATTGAGAGGTGACAGCATGCTGGCAGTCCTCAGAGCCCTCCCTTGCTCTCGGCAGGGCTCCCACTTTGGCGGCATTTGAGGAGCCCTTCAGCCCCCCCACTGCACTGTGGGAGCCCCTTTCTGGGCTGGCCAAGGCTGGAGCCCACTCCCTCAGCTTGCAGGGAGGTGTGGAGGGAGAGGCGCGAGCGGGAATCGGGGCTGCGTGCGCGCTTGCGGGCCAGCTGGAGTTCCGGGTGGGCGTGGGCTTGGCGGGCCCGCACTCGGAGCAGTCGGCCAGCCCTGCTGGCCCCGGGAAATGAGGGACTTAGCCCCCCGGGCCAGCAGCTGCGGAGGGTGTACTGGGTCCCCCAGCAGTGCCAGCCCACTGGCCCTGTGCTCGATTTCTCACCGAGCCTTAGCTGCCTTCCTGCGGCGCAGGGCTCGGGACCTGCAGCCCGCCATGCCTGAGGCCTCCCACCCACTCCATGGGTTCCTGTGCGGCCCAAGCCTCCCCGACGAGCACCTCCCCCTGCTCCATGGCGCCCCAATCCCATGGACCACCCAAGGTCTGAGGAGTGTGAGCACACGGCACGGGACTGGCGGGCAGCTCCACCTGCAGCCCCAGTGCGGGATCCACTAGGTGAAGCCAGCTGGGCTCCTGAGTCTGGTGGGGACGTGGAGAGTCTTTATGTCTAGCTCAGGGATTGTAAATACACCAATCGGCACTCTGTATCTAGCTCAAGGTTTGTAAACACACCAATCAGCACCCTGTGTCTAGCTCAGGGTTTGTGAGTGCACCAATCGACACTCTGTATCTAGCTGCTCTGGTGGGGCCTTAGAGGATCTGTGTGTCAAAACTGTGTATCTAACTAATCTGATGGGGACGTGGAGAACCTTTGTATCTAGCTCAGGGATTGTAAATGCACCAATCAGCGCCCTGACAAAACAGGCCACTCGGGTCTACCAATCAGCAGGATGTGGGTGGGGCCAGATAAGAGAATAAAAGCAGGCTGCCCGAGCCAGCATTGGTAACCCCCTGGCGTCCCCTTCTACACTGTGGAAGCTTTGTTCTTTTGCTCTTTGCAATAAATCTTGCTACTGCTCACTCTTTGGGTCCATGCTGCTTTTATGAGCGGTAACACTCACCGTGAAAATCTGCAGTTTCACTCCTGAGCCCAGCGAGACCACGAGCCCACCAGGAGGAATGAACAACTCCAGACGCGCTGCCTTAAGAGCTGTAACACTCACCGCGAAGGTCTGCAGCTTCACTCCTGAGCCAGCGAGACCACAAACCCACCAGAAAGAAGAAACTCCTAATACATCTGAACATCAAAAGGGGCAGACTCCAGACGTGCCACCTTAAGAGATGTAACACTCACCGCGAGGGTCTGCGGCTTCATTCTTGAAGTCAGTGAGACCAAGAACCCACCAATTCCGGACACAAAATTACACTGATCAATATATTCATAGTTCGAGATACTTCTGGGAACCGATGTGTGGATTTTTCCCACCCTGACCACTTTTCCCACCTCAGATGAGTGCCCCATAATTCAATTCACTTCTTTTTTTTTTTTTTTTTTTTTTTTGAGACGGAGTCTCGCTCTGTCGCCCAGGCTGGAGTGCAGTGGCGGGATCTCGGCTCACTGCAAGCTCCGCCTCCCGGGTTCACGCCATTCTCCTGCCTCAGCCTCCCAATAGCCCGCCATCACGCCCGGCTAATTTTTTATGGTTTTTAGTAGGGACAGGGTTTCACCCTGTTAGCCAGGATGGTCTTGATCTCCTGACCTCGTGCTTCGCCTGCCTTGGCCTCCCAAAGTGCTGGGATTACAGGCATGAGCCACCACGCCCAGCCAATTCAATTCACTTCTGACACAAATCGGAGGTAGTGCCGACCCCACAGGGCAAGGACTCAGTGCCACAGACTCCCCCCACTTCAGGTGCAAATCACAAGCAGGTGGTCTGATATGGTTTGGCTGTGTGTCCTCACCCAAATCTCATCTCAAATTGTAATCCCCACATGTCAAGGGGGGAACGTGGTGGGAGATGTCTGGATCGTGGGGTTGGTTTCCTCATGCTGTTCTCATGATAGTTCTCGCAACTTCTGATGGTTTTATAAGGCTTTGGCAATTCCTCATTCACTCTCCCTTCTGCCGCCTTGTGAAGAAGGTGCCTGCTTCCCCATCGTCCTCCGCCATGACTGTAAGTTTCCTGAGGCCTCTCCAGCCATGTGGAACTGTGAGTCAATTAAACTACTTTCCTTTATAAGTTACTCAGGCTCGGACCATTCTTTATAGCAGTGTGAAAACAGACTAATACAGTGTCCCCAAGTCGTCCACGCCTTCTGTCTGACTTAGCTACTGATATATATTAGTGTTTGGTGACCCTAAATGTCTCAAAATAAATTCACTTGTGACAGAGGATCAGCCCACATTGAAATTGCTGACCCCTCAGAGTGAGAAGCGTATGTGTGGTGGACTGAGGTGATAAGAGGATTTGCTGTGGACGGGCACCCCCTAGACCAGACAAGCAAGTGAAGCCAGAAGGCAGCTGAGATCTTGGCTACAGACAAGCCTGCAGAGGGCCATAAAAACCGCAAAGACTCTGACCATAGCCAAGCAGCTGCTGCAGCTCTGCCCCCAAGAACTCTGAGGCCTCTTTCCCATGGGCTATGGAAGAAGAGCAGCGACCCCCACCCTGGTCCATGTTCTGAGGAAACCCGGACCTGCCAGTGTGTCAGTCAGCGTGCTGGTCTCCTGACATGCTCACTGTGGTCCCTTCCCCACCGTCTCATCACCGCCTGTGTGTGTTGACTATATTTGCATGAGTGTGTATGTGCAAAAGCCACACAATAAACTGTGAATTCATAAGAATTTCATTGGCCATTGAGTCATTGTGAAAACTCCTGGTTCCCCCACAACTAGGCTAATTAGAACCTGACATGGGAGCCACCAACTGACAATTCCCATGTTCTGCATCTCAGGTTTCATCATTCACTAGGCCAGCTCACAGAAGCCAGGAACACAGTTTACCTGCTATTGCCAATTTATTACAGAGGATATTTTTAATGATATCAATCAACAGCCAGATGAAGAAGGTGAGGGTTGTGAGGGTGCCCAGTGCAGGAGCTCTGTCCCTGTGGAATTAGAGGGTGCCACCCTCCCTACATACAGATGTGTACTTGTTCACAAACCCAGAGGCTCTCTGAACTCTGTCTTTTTGGGCTTTTTTTTTTTTTTTTTTTTTTTTTTTTTGAGACGGAGTCTCGCTCTGTTGTCCAGGCTGGAGTGCAGCAGTGCTATTTCGGCTCACTACAAGCTCCGCCTCCCAGGTTCACGCCATTCTCCTGCCTCAGCCTCCCAAGTAGCTGGGACTACAGGTGCCCGCCACCACGCCTGGCTAATTTTTTGTATTTTTAGTAGAGATGGGGTTTCACTGGGTTAGCCAGGATGGGCTCGATCTCCTGACCTCGTGATCCGCCCACCTCGGCCTCCCAAAGTGCTGGGATTACGGGCGTGAGCCACCACGCCCGGCCTCTTTTTGGGCTTTTTTGGGGGCTTCATTGCTCAAGCATGAGTGATCACTGGCCATTGGTGATCACCTCAACATTCAGCCCCTCTTCTCTCACCAGAAGCTGGGATGGGGGAGGGCATTTGCAGCTTCCACCAGGTAAGCAAAACCCAAGCAAAACTTCAGCAGGGGCTGAAGGTTCAACCCTCTGATCACAGGCTGGTTCCCCCCACCCCGAGGCTGTCCAAGAGCCTCCAGCCATCAGTCATTTCACTGGCATACAAAAAACACATTGATCACTTGAGAGATTCCAAGGATTTTCAGAGCTTTGTTGCAGGAAACAGGGCAGAGATCAAATATGGCACAAATAAAATAATACATATTTGATCTTTTGAGTTGCATATCCTTTTGCTATGAGGGAGTCCATGGCCAGAGACCAGACTGATCTCTGGCATGGACTCCCTCATAGCAAAATCAGTCTGATCTCTGGCCATGGATTCCCTCATAGCAAAACGATACACAATTCAAAAGATACTGGTAGGTTACTAGGTCCTCCTCAGTCACTTATAATTAGTCCACTCCAGCATCATATCATATACAAATGTCTCCCAGGGACCGGGTGTGGTGGCTCACACCTGTAATCCCAGCACTTCAGGAGGCCGAGGCTGGTGGATGATCTGAGTTCGGGAGTTCAAGACCAGCCTGACCAACATGGAGAAACCCCATCTCTACTAAAAATACAAAATTAGCTGGGTGTAGTGGCACATGCCTGTAATCCCAGCTACTTGGAAGGCCCAGGCAGGAGAATCAGTTGAACCCGGGAGGTGGAGGTTGCAGTGAGCCGAGATCGCGCCATTGCACTCCAGCCTGGGCAACAAGAGAGAAACTCAGCCTCAAAAAAAAAAAAAAAAAAAAGCATCCCAGGATGAGACCACTCAGGTTTTTAGGCCTCCATTCCACCTGTCAGGTTCCAAAAGCAGGACAGGTCTCAGCAAATATGGAGCTTCCCCCTCTCAGACATCTGGGATAATTGAGCTAAGAGACAATGTCTTCTCTTCCTCTGCGTCTCTTTCTTGGTATTACTGTAATACAAGATTTTCCCCATTACATAAACCATTTATTCATTATTTTACTCTCAGCTCCTCCTCCTTCTTCTTTTCACTTATATTCAAAGTTTTCCACTTTAAAAGGAATTGTGATGGGCCAGCTTGCTGACAGCAATACTCATGCAGCAAGCGTATCCCCTCAATCTACTTCCATTCATATAGGGCAGGGTTACATAGGTGCAGAACTAGTGGGCTATTTTACCAATAGGCAATGTATTAGTCCATGTTGCGTTGCTATAAAGGAATAGGTGAGGCTTGGTAATTTATAAAGAAAAGAGGTTTATTTGGCTCATAGTCCTGTAGGCTGTACAAGCACGGCACCTGCATCTGCTCAGCTTCTGGTGAGGGCCTTAGGGAGCTTCCAATCATGGAAGAAGGCAAAGCGGAGCCAGCACATCACATGGTGACAGGGATCAAGAGACAGAGGTGAGAGGTGCCAGACTCCTTTAAGCAACCAGCTCTCGAGTGAACTAATAGAGGAAGGACTCATTCACTACTGTGGGGAGGCAGACAGCCATTCATGAGGGTTCTTCCCCCATGACCCAAAACACCTTCACCAGGCCCATCTCCAACATGAGATCCTGTTTCAGTATGAAATTTGGAGGGACACACATCCAAACCATATCAGGCAATGTAGCTGCATATACGGTTAGCTTCTATTTTGCCAGGTGGGGCAAAGCACAACCCACACCCATCAGGTCTGTAAGAAAATTGACAGAAAAGTCTAAACACATAGTCTCAGTTCCTGGCTTAGGAGTCGTCGCTGCTTCCAGCACTTGTAGTTGTAGCCCCGGTCCTGTGGCCACTGCACCAGGTGGTGGGTGGGGAGGAGGGGAGAGTTGAGGTAATGCGGGGAAGAAAGACAAAAATGACAGTCATTGGCCGGGCGCGGTGGCTCATGCCTGTAATCTCAGCACTTATGGGAGGCCAAGGTGGGTAGATCACCTGAGGTCAGGAGTTTGAGACCAGCCTGACGAACATAGTGAAACCCTGTCTCTGCTAAAAATACAAAAATTAGCTGGGCATGGTGGCGGGGGCCTGTAGTCCCAGGTACTCAGGAGGCATCACTTGAACCTGGGAGGCGGAGGTTGCAGTGAGCCGAGATCATGCCATTGCACTACAGCCTGGGTGACAGAGTGAGACTGTGTCTCAAAAAAACCCAACAACAACAACAAAATGACAGTCATTATACTAGCATCCTCCCCACCCCCTCATCCCCAGATCCACTGGAAAAATGGAGGAAAGTCTGGTGGGGACACTCCTTTAGCCCACTCGTGTGGAGTAGGGGCACACACCAGTGAAGGTGTGGAAGCCAGCCCTTCATGCCTGTGTCTCCCCCCATTTTAGACAATCAATGTTTCAGTTGACTGTTCCGCTTCCCTATCAAATTATTACTCTAAGGAGGATATCTCTCTGCCCATTGCTAAACATTATGCACTGAACAGCCTGTTTCTCGGTCCAAGGAAGTTCGGTTTAGTGGTCCAAACTAGAATAATACCTTCTTTCAGTTCTTTTATATTAATAGCACTCTGGGCATTTGCAGCCTCCACCAGGTAAGGAAAAGACAATCCACAGTCAGTTTCTGTTGCTGTCGAGACTCACCTGTACCCCCCAGGGCACTGCCCTCAGTCTCACTTTCCAAGTATGTTGAGGGCCTCCTCATCAGGGAATCTGCCTCATAGCTATAGGCAGTCTCTGTCTCTCCCGCTGCTAGACAGAACAGCTCTTATTGGTGTCATGTGCCTGAGAGAGAGCAAGAGGAATGTGTTTCGATTCAGCCCATCTCTGCGTCACTGTGGTTCCCCCATATCCACTTCTTTTGCTTCGTGGCCTCTGGTGACCACCTCAAGGGAGTACACGGGGGTATCTCTTGCTGATTACAGTCACTTTCTAAACCTGAGGGTGGGTTCTACTGACCAGCATGGGCGTGTCTTACTTTAATGCACTCCTCAAGCTCCCCTAGAGATTTCCATAGGGTCGGGCCTCATATGGACATCCCTACACTAGGTCAGTTTCCCCTTACTCTTGGAAACAATGGAAAATGTAGAGACGAATATCCAAATTTAATACCCTTTATTTGGAAAGTAAGAATTGCAATTCTTGGCATACACAAAGACCAAGTTGTCTTTGGTACGTCCAAAGAACAAAGAGAAGTTTGGAAGTTTTTTTTTTTTTTTGAGACGGAGTCTGGCTCCGTTGCCCAGGCTGGAGTGCAGTGGCGTGATCTCCGCTCACTGCAAGCTCCGCCCCCTGGGTTCATGCCATGCTCCTGCCTCAGCCTCCCGAGTAGCTGGGACTACAGGTGCCCGCCACCACGCCCGGCTAATTATTTTGTATTTTTAGTAGAGACCGGGTTTCACAGTGTTTGCCAGGATGGTCTCGATCTCCTGACCTCGTGATCCGCCTGCCTCGGCCTCCCAAAGTGCTGGGATTACAGGTGTGAGCCACCGCACACGGCCAGATGTTTTTTTTTAAATGAGAAATACTAAGTATTTTTTTTTGCAGAAAGTTCATTGGCGCTGTAAAATTTGAAGAAGTGGCATGCTCTGACTGGTGAGTGACTGCAGTGGGTCAGGCTGGTCTTAGAGCAGCAGCTGGTTGTGTCAATAGATATAAGACAGAACTATTAATAGTTTCACGTTACAGCTGCCAGACTTACAGAGAATTGCAGTTTGGGGGTAATACAGTGATTTTTCTTCCCCATGGCCTCTTGACTCTGTTTTAGTTGGGTGTGACAAGAATGACCCAATTTGTGCGATCAACTTTCACATTCTCCTTCCCAACTCTATGACCGGGACATTGACGACTGTCCATGAGCCAGAAAAAAACTCAAGTACAGGGGCTTTTGCTGCTGTTCAAATCTTCCATAAGGCTAGGAAAATAGCATGCAATCCAACCCACCTAGCCAATTTGCCTTTGCCTTCTTCCATCAGAGGGGTGGCCTTCCAAGTAGGATGTTGTCCATTCATCTAGGAATGACTGTCTACAAACTAAGTAGCTCTTGGTCAGTAAGTAAAGAGCTGTGTATAGGGCAATGTCCAAGTGACCACAGAATCCAGCAGCTCCTCACCCAGTTCCAGACTCAGTCTGAGGGGAACAGAGGCTCCCTGCTCATGAGTGTCTCCTCTTTGCCTTCCTCAGGCACCAGGATCCCATATCAACCATTTCCATTTTTTAGGCTGAGTGAGGTGGCTCACGCCTGTAATCCCAGCACTTTGGGAGGCTGAGGCGGGTGGATCACGAGGTCAAGAGATCGAGACCATCCGGGCCAACATGAAGATCCCTCGTCTCTACTGAAAATTCAAAAATTAGCCAGGCGTGGTGGCATGTGCCTGTAATCCCACCTACTCGGGAGGCTGAGGCAGGAGAATCGCTTGAACCCAGGAGGCAGAGGTTGCAGTGAGCCTGGATCGTGCTGCACTCCAACCTGGCAACAGAGTGAGACTCCATCTCAAAAAAAAAAAATCCATTTTGTAATAGAACTCTTCTGGGACTGGCCTCCCCGTTAGAGCTTTTCCAAGATTCCTGAAGACATCATCAGTTTTTCAGGTTTCAAGATTATTTTATGTCCTTCAGTGACAGGGGAGACTTCAGTTAGTGTTCCATCTCAAGCTAGTAAGTGCCTCTTAAGTGGAAACTTGACTCTAAAGGCCCAGTTCCTTGGAGGTGCTCACAGCCTTTTGCCATTAGCCCTAGTCAGTGCTCCACACAGGGCACAGAGAATGCGTTGTTACCTGCAGTCTGGTTTCTGGTCTATACTGTGTGGTCCACCCTCCAGGGCCAAGGGAGCTAAGGTGCTCTAAGGACTTTCCTGCAGGCCCTGGTGGCTCTGTGTTAATGCTGTCAGTCTTCCTGAAGTCCCTGACCTTTCACCTCCTGCCTGGATCTGCACCCCGCACACATTCCTGACCCCACACATTTCTCATTGCCTGGGTCCTGGCACACATTTCTGACCCTAGCTCAGTGTCTGGGGCCTGGCACACATTTCCGACCCTAGCTCAGTGCCTGGGGCCTGACACACATTTCTGACCCTAGCTCAGTGCCTGGGGCCTGACACACATTTCTGAGTCTAGCTCAGTGCCTGGAACCTGGCACACATTTCTGACCCTAGCTCAGTGCCTGGAACCTGGCGCACATTTCTGACCCTAGCTCAGTGCCTGGGGCCTGACACACATTTCTGACCCTAGCTCAGTGCCTGGGGCCTGACACACATTTCTGAGTCTAGCTCAGTGCCTGAAACCTGGCGCACATTTCTGACCCTAGCTCAGTGCCTGGGACCTGGCACACATTTTTTTTTCTTTTTTTTTTTTTTCACAGAGTCTCGCTCTGTCACCCAGACTGGAGTGCAGTGGCACGAATCTCGGCTCACTGCAACCTCCATTTCCTGGGTTCAAGCAATTCTCCTGCCTCAGCTTCCTGAGTAGCTGGGATTACAAGTGCCCGCCACCACGCCCAGCTAATTTTTGTATTTTTAGTAGAGATGGGGTTTAACTATGTTGGCCAGGCTGGTCTCGAACTCCTGACCTCTTGATTCGCCCACCTCAGCCTCTCAAAGTGCTGGGACTACAAGCGTGAGCAACCGCGCCCGGCCCTGGCTCACATTTCTGACCCTAGGTCATTGTCTGGGCCCTGGAAGGTGCTCAGGGTGATCCATCGCTCAAATCCAAGCCTGTGGAGAGGATGACATTTCATTCCCAGGTTTCTCATGAGCCAAAAAACCTTCATTTCTATAGCGCTATCCTCTTCTATCTACCATGTGAGGGGTCAGGAGCCGACTCATCCCAAGGGTCTAGGAGTCCTGCCATTGACCTTACTGCTTAGGGTCACAAGCTGGCACCCTTCAAAACCACACATTGGGTCTGCCCTCACAGCGGCAGTGTGTTCAACTGGATGGGGAGGTAAGTAGCCCAAGGTCAGACAGTTGGACCTGGGTAGACAATAGACTTGGGGACAGACTTTGGAAGGCACTCCCCTGATTCCCCTGTCTCCATGGGGCCTCAATACTAGAGCCCTCAAGGTTGGTCAGGGAGTGTTTGTGCTTTGACCATGCAAAGGGTGCCAGGTTGTGGCTAGGGATGCCCCCGGCGTTCCTCTCCCTCCTACCTACTCCTCAGCCTCTGCAGGTGCCTGTCATGGCCTCTGTGTCCTTCATTCTGTCCACTCATGTGTTCACTGGGCCCCTCCTTGGTGCCAGGCACCCGCTACTGAGGGATACCAAGCCCCTGCCAGAGAAGCTTGGAGCTGGGTCACAGCAGCAAGGAGGCTGGAGACATCAGTGGCATCAGTGCACTGGTCAGTGAGGCCGCTGTGGGAGGAGGGAGTGGGAGCAGAAGCTAAGAGTGGACTGAAGTCCTGAGGCCAGGAAGTAGTTCAGGGTTTAAGAAGAGGAGAGACAGGCGGCCCGGGGAGGGAGCAGGCTCAGGATGGGCCTCCAGTGCCTCCTCTGGAGCTCACTACCCAGACTACAGCAGCGCAGCGGGCAGCGCCTCAGCTCCTTCCCCTTCTGCTGCCTACAGCCTGGACAGGACCCGGAATCAAACCGCAGGCCCTGGGTCACCGCTGCCGGAAAGAGCCAGTTCCTGTCCGTCCATGCACCCACCCACACAACCTGGGCCCTCCTGGAGGTGCTGGGGGAGACCCAGCCTGAGTGCCTGGAAGTGACTGCGGGAAGGGAGTACAACTGACCACGCCTTTTTTCCGGGGTATAAAAGCGGAGGAGCACGTTCTATTCTGGCAGTGTAGCTGCGAGAACCTTTGCACGCGCACAAACTACGGGGACGATTTCTGATTGATTTTTGGCGCTTTCGATCCACCCTCCTCCCTTCTCATGGGACTTTGGGGACAAAGCGTCCCGACCGCCTCGAGCGCTCGAGCAGGGCGCTATCCAGGAGCCAGGACAGCGTCGGGAACCAGACCATGGCTCCTGGACCCCAAGATCCTTAAGTTCGTCGTCTTCATCGTCGCGGTTCTGCTGCCGGTGAGTCTCCGCCGCGGTCCCTGGCTGGGGAAGAGCGCACCTGGCGCCGGGAGTGGGCAGGGAGAGAGGGGGACACGGTGGGGATGCTTGGCCCGGGTCGCCTGCGGCCGGGCATGTCTGGGCAGGACGAACCCGCCGTCGGAGTCAGGGGAAGAGTGGGGTGCCCGGGCTGGGCAGGAGCGACCGGGCCGCGAGGGAGCAGAGCGCGCGCTCCCCCTGGCTGTCCCGTGCGGCGAGGACCGCACTGAGCTGCCCCAGAGGAAGTTCCAGAATCAGCGGAGGGAGGGAGTCAAGATGGAAACCCCGGAGTGAACCTCAGGAAGCCACAGAGCGGTTGCCTCTTTCGTTCGTTCGTTCGTTCGTTCGTTCATAACGTTAACCCAGGCCGGTCGCGGTGGCTCACGCCTGTAATCCCAGCACGTTGGGAGGCCGAGGCGGGCGGATCACCTGAGGTCAGGAGTTGGAGACCAGCCTAGCCACCATGGTGAAACCCCGTCTCTACTAAAAATACAAAAATTAGCCGGACGTGATGGCGGTCGCCTGTAATCCCAGCTACTCGGGAGGCTGAGGCAGAAGGAGAATCACTTGAATCCGGGAGGCGGAGGTTGCAGTGAGCCGAGATCGCGCCATCGCACTCCAGCCTGGTCAACAAGAGCGAGACTCCGTCTCAAAAAAAAAAAAAAAAAAAAAAAAAAAGTTAGCCAGGCGTGGCAGCCTGCGCCTGTAGTCCCAGCTACTCAGGAGGCTGAGGCAGGAGAACTGCTTGAACCCGGGAGGCAGAGGTTGCAGTGAGCCGAGATTGCACCACTGCACTCCAGCCTGGGCGACAGAGCGAGACTCTGCCTTAACAAAAACAGACAAACAAACAAACAAAATTAACCCTATGTTTACACTGTTACACGTGTTTCTTGGAGATCAGTTTAACAAACAGCCTGTGAAAAAGCTTTCCAACGCTGTTTTTTGTAACTTTCATTTCCTATAGAACCCTGAAAGTGGCAGGAAGCGGTTAACCAAGGTGCTTGCAGTCAGTGTCTTCCACTGCCACCCGTGTGTCCCCTCTGTATCCCATAGGCAGGACCGCGGGATGGCCCCTTCCTTAGGCATAAAAGATGTAAAGTTCTCGTTGTGAGTTGGGTTTGGAAACTGAGATTGGTAGTGGGGTGCACAAGAAGGACATAAAAATAAGATGTGCAGACTGCCAGGACTTTTTCTGAGTGACTGACGTTTCTGCCAACAGTGCTTTCTAAGGTTTCTTACGTAATACCAAAAAACAAAACGGGGAGGATAAAACAAGATTACATGAACCATGAGAGTCTCCATGTTTTCTTTCAACGAAGTAATACTAAATTCAGAACAGCAGTGACATTTTCACCTCTCAAAAATTACACAACTGACTTCTACAATAGTTTATAGTGGGTGGACCTACCTGAGGCAGCTAGAAGAATGGCTGTGTCAGGACAGTGGCCCTGAAGAGAGAATGTGTGGATGACCTGTGTAGACAAGACCAGCAACCTGAATTTCACAGTTTTGGGAATGTGAACTCTATGCGTCCCAAAGGAGGCTTTGATCCCTCCATCAATCTTGCCTTATTAAATGCATTTCAATGCACAGTTGCTTTTTAAAATTTTGGAGCTAGCACAAATCACATTAGATGTTTTATGGCAGTACATTCAGATTGATTTTCTTTTAAACAAGGGTATTGTATTTTACTACATGGGTAAGCCACAGGTTAATTCACTGTTGCCATCTAGAGGCAGCTGGTTATATCCCATCCCGATGGGATATAACCCAAAGCAAATTTGCCTTTGCTAATTCCAACAGCATTGTACTAAATACCCTTGTATGTATCGTGTGTCCACATGTCCATGCGCACCAGCTTATTGGGCAACTCCTTAGAAGTAGAATTTTACTTCTACTTCCGTGGGATAAATCATTTCAGAAGTTTCTTTAGATGTTTACGAATTTTCTTCCAAAAGACCATTGAACTCAGCTTACACTCACACCTAGTTCACACATGTGCCTGTATCCCTACACCCTTGTTACACTTAGCTTTCATTCGTTGCTAGTCTAGGAAGTAAAAGGTGATTCATCACATTGTTATGTACTTTCATTCCTTAATGGTATTAGGAATTTTCAAGGATACGGGAGTTTTGGTAGTGGGAGTAGATGACCGGGGGATCCAGATGAGACAGCAGGGGAGGGTGGCAGGGAAGACTGAATTCCCAGCTGTGAACTTGGAGAACCGTGGTCAGCTGGGGCCAGTCCCTGCCACCTGCCACGCCTGTAAATGGAGATAAGGTCTCCATCTTCAGGCTGTCAGGAGGACATCAGATGAGCCTGGAGCTGAGCTCAGTTCCTGACCCCAGGTCCTGGCTCTGTCAGCGTTGGACTGTTCCAATCTGTGTGACAGAGGCTTCCGCCCCGCCCTTCTCTTTATCAAAGTAGGAATCGAAAAGATCCAACGGCCCAGAATCTCGGACTCTGAGGCTCTCAAGGACTCCTGAGATTGGAGGCTGGGAACAGCTGGGCCCTGCTGTGCTTCCCCTCCAGCTCTGTGACACTGGTGTGGCCCCAGCTCCTGCCTGTAAAGTGAAGAGGAGATAAAAATCTTCAGCAGCCCTGTGTAAACCTCAGAGGGCTGTGTTAGCAGGTGTGGGAGGATGAACCACATCCTCAGGGCTGGTGTCAGTCACTCCGGACTGGATCCCCAGGGCACATGTCCTCCACCCAGCAGAGGCTGCACCTGTTCCTACTTGCACCTCCATACCAGGCTCCCTGGCCTTGGGGCAGAAGCTTCTGAAGACTGGGGTGGAGCACCATGTGGAGGGGCCATCGAGGAACAGAGGAGCCAGAGTTCAAGTGAGGACAGCGATGGCACTGCAGGGCCACAGCCTGGTTTACCTGCCAAGTTTCCAGTTGTGCTTCTGGTGGGTGTCCGGCCCGGGTTGGAGTTTGAAGATGAGCAGGAAAGGTCTCCATCCAGGTGGCTGCAGATGGCTGCTCACCCAGCCCCTACTGAGAGGCCACGGTCCCAGTTCTGGTTCTCTGTCCTGTATCCAGGAGTGGCAGGGTAGCGAGGCTCTAGCTTCCAGGTTGGGGATGGAGACAGTGGGGACAGTGCCATGCCCCGAGCCTGTGCTGTTGGGCAGCTGGTATCCTGCTCCCAGCCAGAGAGTGTACATCTTCGTGTAGTGGATTTTCCTAACAACCAGGGGACATGAGGGCAGGTTGTTTTCCCTGTTTTACAGGTGGCAAAATGAGATTCAGGAGCAATGTCTCCAGCATTTTTGTCCTCACCTTCTGAATAATAGCAGCCATATTTGGGCCTCTGAAGGGCTAGAGTTCTCTGAGGAGCTGCTTCTCTGATCTCTGTCCTGCACTTGGCCTCTGGGAGCTCCTATGGGTCCTCAGCAGAGTCCACAGGGCTCTTCGGAGTCCCCTCCCTGTGCCACAGCCTGGAGCCTGTCCTTAGGTGGTAAGCTGAGGCCGCCACTGCGCTCACCTCATGGGCTTGGGGGGAAAGTGAGTCACCCAGGAAATAGACAATGAGCTCTTTATTGTCTTTGGAGTCTGCTGGAGCCAGGGAGGACAGATGAACCCCATGTGAATCCTGCTTCCTGGAGCCCACAGTGTGGTGGGTGAGGTGACACCAGGAATCATATAACTAATAGGAGGTAGCATGAGGGAGGCCTGATATCTCACCACCATTGCCTCCCCCTCCTCCAGAGAGGCCGTGTTGGTGCAAGGCTATAGGATGTGGTATTGTTGGCGTGGAGGATGGTGTTTGGTTAGAGTCACCATTGAGAGTCATAGAGGGAAGCGAAGCTCCCCTTGAAGGGCTTTTTTTTTTTGGCTGGACCTGAGAATTAAATTGACATAAGACAGGTACACAGGAGAAAAGCACGTACGACTTCTTTTTTCTTGAGATGGAGTATTGTTCTGTCACCCAGGCTGGAGTGCAGTGGTGCAATCTCGGCTCACTGCAACCTCCGCCTCCCAGATTCAAGCGATTCTCCTGCTTCAGCCTCCTGAGTACCTTGGGATTACAGGTGCCCACCCTTGCGCCTGGCTAATTTTTGTATTTTTAGTAGAGACGGGGTTTTGTCATGTTGTCCAGGCTGGTCTCGAAGTCGAGCTCAGGTGATCCGCCCATCTCAGCCTTCCAAAATGCTGGGATTACAGGTGTGTGCCACCATGCCCAGCCAACACACACATTTATTTAATGCAAGTTTTACCTAGCACAGAGAAGCAGTGAGAGTCAGTTACTTATATATTGAATTGGACCAAGTAACTTGTGAAGAAGCTAGTAAATATATGGAGGCTAAAAAGCTGAGTGGTTCTGTTCTAACAAGGTCTGCACAGTAATCTCTTGGCCTCGACTTCTCATCCTTAAAAATAAGGAGATCGTCCTATGTTTCCCTGGGGACTTTCATCTCCTGCTTTTAGGAAACACAAAAGAGGTCAAAGCATCTTATTGCGCCTGCTGTTTTTCAGTAGCCTTTAACTGATAATAGTCAATGGGCCAGGGTGGGTGGGCAGGTGCGATGGCTCACATGTATAGTCCTGCCCAGGTGGGTGCATCCTTAGAGCCCAGGAGTTCAAGACCGGCCTGGGAAACATAGCAAAATGCTGTCTCAAAACCAAAAACCAAAATAAAACCAAAAACCACAGACACAGACACACACACACACACAGAAAATCATGTCGTGTGAAGGAATACAAGCAGAATGCATACCATGTGATTCCTCATCTTATTAAAATACAACTAATCTATTGTGATAAAAAGCAGAAGAAGCATTGCTGGGGACATAGGAGCAAAGCAGAAGAGAGGATTACATTGAAAAATGAAGAAACACTGCAGGACGGTAGACATGTCATTATCTTATCGCGGCGATAGTTCCACAGTGTATACGTACATCTCAACCTACCAAACTACATGCTTCAAAAATGTACACTTTGTTTCATATCCATTATACCACAATAAATCTATTTTAAAAAAACCTTCAATAGAATATAAGCACTTGAGTGTATACTGTATTCCCTATAGCACTTGCACATAGATCATGGAAATAGGTATGCATAAAAAGTCAGTACCCAGTTAAAGTGGAATTCTAAAAGGTAATTAACATTAAAATGTGCAGGGGAAAAAGGAGTAAAAAAATTAGACTAGACAACCGTAGTTTAAATGGTAAACGTATAGGTCTATTTTGACTAACAATTATTGCACTCCCTGTAAATCCACTGAGCACTACAGTTCAATGGTAGAAATGTTTGGAAGGGCTGAAAAAACAAGACTCAGCTATATCTTGTCTATATGAGATGGGCCTTAAAAGGAAGACACAGATGCTGTCTGTGGAAAGCAAATAGATGGAAAAAGATACCCCACGCAGAGTGTAAGGCCAAGAAAACTGCCGTGGCTATCTCAGTATCACATGAAGTTGATTTTGTTAGCGGTGGACGAGATCCGAGTTACCCTACGTTGAAGGCGGCGAATCCGTATGGGTCCACAGCACCTTCAGCTCTTCGCCTCCTGAGAAGAAAGAATTGGACTGAGGGGCATAAGGCAGAAGGAGAGACAGAGGCAAGTTTCAGAGCAGGAGTGAAAGTTTATTAAAAAAGCTTTAGAACAGGAAGGAAAGGAAGGAACGGAAAGAAAAGAAGGAAAGTACAACTTGAAAGATGGCCGAGCAGGTGACTTGAGAAACAGTGCACAGCCGGACTGCCTGAGTTGGGGTTTTATAGGTTGGCCTACTTCCAGGATCTTGCCTTACTTCTCCCCACTCCTGAAATCTTATTGGGAAGCTGCTGATCAGTTTCAGGTGTTTTCTATGTATTAGGAGACTGCCTTTTTCTGGCATTGGCTGTAACCAGTTCTTACTTTAGAGACACGGTTATCAACCACCTGATGGTCGCCCAACACTGCTGGTGTCAGAAGCGGGGAGCCCTCTCCTACCCTGCTCATACCTGACTAGCTGCCTACTGTAACAATTTTAGGACATAGAATATTATGGGAGCTCAAAAGGGACCCTTGTAGTTAAAAAGGTTAATTCTTCAAGGAGTATAATAATAATCACAAATTGTATATGCCTAGTAATACAGCTGCAGAACACATGATGCAAAAAGAGAATGAAAAGGAGATTAAATCAGCTGTTTCTCTGTAATTGACAGAACGGTCAGATGAAAACCCCGGTAAAGTGGCAAGCGATCTGCACACTATCAACCACCTTGACTTAACTGACATTTAAAGAGCAGGAGTGGAACATCCACTGAACACTGATTCCTTTCTATGCTCATGATACTTTCACCAAGATAGACTGGGTTCTGGGATATAAAACACGCGATATGACCTCTAAACTTAATGAAACGAGACTGGAAGTCAGTAATAGTATCCATAGGGAATTCTAAAATTTGGTTATTGAACAATACACTTCTAAAAAATCTGTGGTTCAGAGAAGAAATCAAAAGGGAAGGTAAAATGTTTCAAAATAAATAATAATAATATAACAGCAAAACTGGTGGGAAATGGCTAACAGTGCTCGGAGTGAAATAATACAGCTTTCAATGTGTCTATTAAAAAAATTGGGGAGATGGGGAGTTACTCCTGAAGGGTATGCAGTTCCTTTCTGGAGTGATAAAAACATTCTAAGATTGATTATAGTGATGATTGCATAGCTATGAGTATATTAAAAAACTACTGAAATGTAGACTAAATGGGTGAATTATATGAATAATCATAATTACTAATTATGTGATTTGTGTCTCGTTAAAGCTGTCAAAAAAAGAAAAATATGTGAAATTTATGGCCTGAAGATCTACATTAATCAATCATAAAATATAAGCATAAATTTAAACCAAAGTAACAAGGAGGAACATAAATCAAGGAAATAGAATAGAAACCACAAAAAGAACTGACAAAACGGACTGTGTGTGGTGGCTTACGCCTGTAATCCTAGTACTTTGGGAGGCTCAGGCAGGCAGAACGCTTGAGCTCAGGAGTTAGACCAGCCTGGGCAACGTGATGAAACCCCAGCTGTATAAAATACACCAATATTAGCCCAGGCATTGGGGCACTCTCCTGTCTGTGGTCCCGGCCACTTAGGGACTGAGGTTGGAGGACCACTTGAGCCCGGGAGGCAGAGATTGTAGTGAGCAGAGATTACACCACTGCACTCCAACCTGGATGACAGAGGGAGATCCCGTCTCCAAAAAAGAAAAAAAAAAAAAAAGAGTTGAGAAAATGAATAGTTGCTCTTGAAAAGGAGTAAGGGTGTGAGAGCAGAGAAAGGTGACAGAGACATCGCCTGAACCTAGAGGGACCCCAGCTCTAGAAGGGAGGATTTGGGAAATGTGCATTAGCTTCACTGTCACCAACTACTAGGCAGGCTTTCATGTGGAAGAAAGCTACATTTTGTCTTGCTGAGAGCCAGGTAGTTGAACAGAGCCCAAGGTAAGTAGCTTTTATTGTAACCATTTTGTTTTTTCTCAGGAGCAAGATTATATTAAATTTAATTAAATGTAAATTTACAATTAAATTAATTTTGTACTTTTACACACTCCCAACTTAAAAGTTACAAAAACTATGCAAAAAAAATTTGAAAAATAGCTGTTGGCATGATGAAAGCTATTATTGAATTTTTCAGTGTGTACTTTCTACAAACAAGGAAATTAACATCAACACATTACCACTATCTAATATGCAGACTCTATTCCGATTCTCCAGTTGTCTTCTCGTCGTCATTTATAACACAGAGATCATGGCCATAATCCCTGAATTGCTGTTTTATCTTTTTCTGTCACTCTTTGATATTTAGTGGGAACAGCTTGTCAAGGTCCTTTGTGAAGCAGAAATTACTTAATGTTTGATGCTATATCCTGACTTTCTTTAAGGTTATATTGTAACCCTCATTTGTAAAAATGTGTATTTTTATGTGTGTGTCTGTGTGTGTGCGAGAGAGAGAGAGAGAGAGAGAATATTCACCCACTGGTCAATTAAACACTTGGTCAAACTAAATACATTAGATGCTATTTCTGCTTGAAGGGCTCATATGTGTGGTTTTTTTGTTTTTTGTTTTTTGTTTTTTTTTTTGAGACAGAGTCTCGCTCTTTCGCCCAGGCTGGAGTGCAGTGCAAGCTCCGCCTCCTGGGTTCACGCCGTTCTCCTGCCTCAGCCTCCCAAGTAGCTGGGGTTACAGGTGCCCGCCACCATGCCCAGCTAATTTTTTGTATTTTTAGTAGAGACGGGGTTTCACTGTGTTAACCAGGATGGTCTCAATCTCCTGACCTCATGATCCACCCACTTTGGCCTCCCAAAGTGCTGTGATTACAGGCCTGAGCCACCGCGCCTGGCCTTTTGTGTTCTTATAAAATCTTTTCTTGCCAACTACAGTGGTGTGTTCCTGTTACCCAACTTGCTTGGGAGACTGAGGCGGGAGGATCACTTGAGGCCAGAAGTTCCAGGCTGTAGTAGACTATGATCACACCTGTGAATAGACACTGCATTCTAGCCTGGGCAACATAGCAAGACTCTATCAAAAAAAAAAAAAAACTCTTCTGCTCATATTTTCTGGGGTAAATATATTTTATGTTATAATATGATAAAAGGATACGGAGGTGTTTTTCTTTATAGAAAATAGCTACCTAACAGGCCAGGGGACAAACACGGATGCAAAAGAATGAAAGTTTGGAATGGGAAAAAAGTCCAGGCTCTCATGGGTTTTGTCACTTGGGGTGAAGGGAATGTGAGACGGAGCCTGGGAGAGGTAAGGTCTGGAAGCCACTCAAGCCCATCTCTGCCTTGTCCCCACAGGTCCGGGTTGACTCTGCCACCATCCCCCGGCAGGACGAAGTTCCCCAGCAGACAGTGGCCCCACAGCAACAGAGGCGCAGCCTCAAGGAGGAGGAGTGTCCAGCAGGTGCACTCTTATTTTTAAAAATCAGTTTATTTTTAGTTGACAGATAAACATTGTATATATTCATGGTGTACACCATGATGTTTGGAAATATGCACGCATTGTGAAATGGCTAAATCAAGCTAATTCACATACTTATCGTGTATTTGTTGTAAGAACACTTAAAAGTCTACTCAGCAATTTTCAGCTGTATGGATACAGAGCCCTGGGATAAGCCCTCTTTGCCCTCCTCACCTGTGGGTTCTGTAGCCATCCTCATCTGTGGGTGTTGCATCCGTGGTTGCAACCAACACAGATCAAAAATATGTGGAAAAAATAATGAAAATGATAACATGTCAATAAAAGTAGATAAAAAGCAATGCAGTAAAGCACTTATTTACATAGCATGTCTATTGCATTAGGTATTACAAGTAACCTAGAAATGATTTAAAGCATATGTACCTGGGGTGTATGCAATACTATCCCAATTTGTATCAGGGACTTGTGTAAGTGCAGAGTTTGTTCCATGGAATATATTCCCTGTGAATAGAAGGCAGGACTGTACAACACATTGTTTTAATAACTGTAGTCACCATGTCACACAATACATCTCTTGAATTTATTTCCCCCTGTCTAACTGAAATTTTGTATCCTTTGACCAGCATCTCTCCAACCCACCGTGCAAATACAGCGCTGGTAATCACCATTCTACTCTCTACCTCTATGAGATCAAGTTTTAAGATTCCACATATGTGAGATCATGAGGTGTTTGTCTCTCTGTGCCTGGCTTATTTCACTTAGCATGATATCTCCAGGTTCATCCATGCTGTCACAAATGACAGAATTTCCTTCTTTGTTGAGGCTGAATAGTATTCCATTGTGTCTATGTACTACATTTTCTTTACCTTTTCATCATCGATGGACACTTAGGTTGATTAATGTCTTGACCATTGTAAATAATGCTCCAATGCACATGGGAGGGAAGATACCTCTTTAACATACTGATGTCATTTCCTTTGGATGTATACACAATACTGGGATTGCTGGATCATATAGTTATTCTATGTTTTGTTTTTTGAGGAACCTCCATACTGTTTTCCATAATGGATGTACTAATCTCCATTCCCACCAACAGTGTACCAGTGTTCCTTTTTCTCCCCATCATCATCAACACTTGTTATCTTTTGTCTTTTTGGTAATAGCCATTTTTACAGGTGTGAAGTGGTATTTCATTGTGGTTTTGATTTGCATTTCCCTGATTAGTGATGTTGAGCATTTTTTTCATATACCTGTCGGCCACTTCTATGTCTTCTTTTTAGAAGTGTCTCTTCAGGTCCCTTGCCCATGCGTCCGTTTTAATTGGATTATTTGATTGCATACTATTGAGATGTTTGAGTTCCTGTGTATTTTGGATGTTAACCAAAATCTTGGATCTTTTGGATATTGATCTCTCATCCTGTATGTTGTCTCGTCACTCTGTTCATTGTTTCCTTTGTTGTGCAAAACCTTTCTAGTCTGATATAATCTCATCTGTCTATTTTTGCTTTTGTTGCCTGTGCTTTTGGGGTCATAGCCAAGAAATCAATGCCCACACCAACGTCATGAAGATTTTCCCCTATGTTTTCTTGTAGTAGTTTTACAATTTCAGGGCTTATGTTTAATCTTTAGTCCATGTTGAGTTGATTTTTACATATGATGTGAGATAAGGGTCTTATTTCATTCTTCTGCAGGTCAATATCTACTTTCCTCTACATCATTTATTGAAGAGGCTGTCCTTTCCCCATTTTGTGTTCTTGGTATCTGTCACAATCAGTTGACTGTAAATGCATTGATTTATATCTGGGTTCACTATTTCATTCCATCAGTTTATCTTCGTTTATGCCATTACTATTCAGTTTTGATTACTATACCTTTGTAATATATTTAAGAATCAGGTAGTATGATGCCTCCATCATTGTTCTTTTTGTTTGTTTTGCTTAAGATCACTTTGGCTATTTGAGGTCTTTTGTGGTTCCATACACATTTTAGATTTATTTTGTCTATTTTGGTAAAAAATGTCATTGGAATTTTAATAGGCATTGCATTGAATCTGTAGATCACTTTGGGTCATATGAACAATTAAGCAATATTGAGTTTTCTAATCCATGAACATGTACTGTCTTTCCATTTATTTTTGTTACTTTCCGTTTCTTTCATCAATATTTTACAGTTTTCACATCTTCCACCTCTGTCACAAATTTATTTAAAAGAGTTGCTGCCTTGACATCCATTTTTAGGCCCAATGTAAGTTGTTTAAAACCCAATCATACCACAGCATCTTTTGCCCAATTAATAATTCCTTTCCCTGTTCAATTGTTTTTGATCTAGCACATTTGTTCATCATCTCCCTGACCCCAAACCCAACACATCCCACAGGAGCTGACTACAATAAAACCTAATGGTTCACAGCAGAGCAGTGTGAACCTTCTTTGCAGGTGTTGTCTTCCACAATCCCTGTGGGAAAGCCTGGGGTATAATGCCCATGGATCTTTATAAAGGTGTAGTCCCACGGGTCCTCTCTCTCTGTCTCTTGCTCCCCACACACCGGTTAGTGTCCTCGGACTGGATAGCTCCCCACTTCCCGTAAGTGCTGCAAAGTGTGCTATCCTCTTCTCTCTGGAGTCTGTAAGTAATACACCACTTCTGTGTTTCCTGTGTTTTGTTGTGTTGCTTCCTCTGTGTTTTCCCTAATTGACACATCTGAACCTAACATCCTTCTCCATCTTGGCTCTCTTAAAGAGTGGCTGTCTCCTAAAGAGTAGAGATAACTTAAAACTGGACATAGGTCAGACAAGAGCCACCAGGTCTACTGCTAGTAAAAGTAATTGTCTTGTGGAAGGGACATGTACAAGATGAACACCCAATTAGGCATTAGACAGTCCACCGGGACAAATAAGTTTCCTGTGAACATCCATGATGAAATCTCCTGGATCCCCCCCAGGGCAAGGCTAGAATTTATAGCCACTCTACAGAGAGAAACCTCAAGACCAAATTAGAAAAAAATACAGCCACCACCTTGGTTAAATTTATTCCTAAGCATTTTTTTTGTAGCTATTATAAATGGGATTTTTCAGATAGTTTCTTGTCAGTGTATAAAAACACTACTGAATTTGTAAGTTAGGTTCATGTCTAACTTTATTTTACACTGATAACAATTTATCTTTGATCTCATAAAAAACTTGACACCTTTTCTTCTCCTGCCTTATTTTATGTTTTGTCATTATTTACGTCTTTTTATGTTGTGTATTCCTTAACAAATTGTATTAAGTATCATTTAAAAAAATACATTGGGCTTTTAACTTTTATAGTAATGATGTAAGTAATTTGTACACTATTATGATTGTATTAGAATATTCTGAACTTGACCATGTATTTAACCACCTAGTTTTATATTTTCGCATGGTTTTGTGTATCCAGTTAGTGTTCTGTTCTTTCAGATTGAATAACTCTCTTTAACATTTCTTGTAAGGCAATACATGCTAAAGATGAACTCCCCCCGTTTTTTTTTTTCTTTGTCTGATAAAGTCTTTACTGCTCTGCATTTCTAAAGGACAGGCTTGCCAGGTGTAGTATTCTTGGTTGGCAAGGAATTTTTCCTTTCTGTACTTTGTATGATTCCACTCTCTCCTGGCCTGTAGGTTTTCTGCTGAGAAGCCTTTGGTAGTTTTATAGGGGTTCCTTTGTACATTGCTTGTCTCTTGCTGGTTTCAAAATTCTCTTTGCCTTTGATGTTTGGGAATTTGTTTAAGATGTGTCTTGGTGAAGATCTCTTCATATTTATCTGTTAGGGGTTTTTTGGGCTTCATGAATGTGGATGTCCATTCCCATCCTGTTTTGGGACATTTTCTTTAATTATTTCTTTAATTACACTTTCTGTTCCTTTCACTTTCTCTGATGCTCCTTGGACCACCATAATGCATATATTGTTTTGCTTCACAGTAACCGTTGGTACTGTTGGCTTTCTTCCCTCTTTTTCATTCTTTATTTTTTTTTTCTTCCTGTGACTTGGTAATTTCAAATGATCTGTTTTCAAGCTCACTGATTCTTTCTTCCGATTAATCAACTCTGCTGTTGACATTCTCTGTGGAATTTTCTTAGTTCAGATATTGTGTTGTTGTTAATTTTAGAATTTCTGCTTTCTTCTTTATTATGTTGTCTGTGTATATTAAACTACTCATTTTGTTCATGTATTGTTTTCCTGACATGACTTAGTTGTCTATCCATATTCTCTAGTAGCTGACTGAGCTTCTGTAAGATGACTGTTTTCAAGTCTTTGTCAGGCTGTTGTAAATGTCTATTCCTTTCGGGTTGGTTACTTGTGCTTCATTTTGTTTCTTTGGTGCCGTCACTGTTCCCTGATTGCTCAGGAGCCTGTGGCAATATGTTGGAATGTGCACTTTGAAGAAGCAGGGACTTAATCCAGTATTTACAGACTGGCTTTGTCAGGGAACGCCCTTCACCAGTCAGCCTGTTCACAGATTCTGGGCAGGCCATGTGGTGTGGTTCAAGGGTGGTCAGAGCCAGTATCCAGAGAGGTGACCTGAGGCCTGGCTCCATGAGGGCTGAACTGGCACTGGAATAGGCCTTGTACTTGGGTCTGCAGATGTCAGCCAGGTGCTGTGATGGGTCTCATCCTTGGGTCCACAGGGAAGGGCCTGGAGCCTGAGTTCATGGGGACTGACCTGGCACTAGGACAGATCTGGAAGCTGAATCTATGGAGGTGGGTCAGGATCCTGGGTCTGTAGTGCTAGCCCGAAGGCACAAGCTAAGACTGATATCTTAGCTTATCATGCCTTTATCATGCCCTTATCTCTATGTGTTTCCAGACTTCTGTTTCCTGCACTTTCTGGTTCTTTATTCCATAGGGACATGTTGGATGATTTCTGTCAGTCAGGCACCGTGCTAATGGGATAATTATAAGAGGCCCTGCCCTCGTGGAACCTTTTCTCTGGGATAGTATTAAGACACACAGATCAAAATAACAGTCAGAAATTCCTGATAGGAACCATGAAGAAATTAAGTGATGAGTGAGACAGAGACGAGGTTGGTGGGGCCTCTCGGGGATGGTGATTTTGGCCAGTCTCCAAAGCTGGACAGGGATAGTTGTGCAGAGAGCCAGAAATGGTGCTCCTGAGCAGCCTCCCTAGGAATGACAGTCCCAGGGTGCAGGCGCTGGGGGATACCGAGCAGAGACGGGGCCACCATAGTGAGTGGACAGCAAACAGGTCAGGTGGACCAGCATGGGCAGATCACATGTAGATGAGGTTGGATTTTATTTTGTTATTTTATTTTATTGTTAAAAAAAAAAAAAAGTAGACTGGGCGTGGCATGGTGGCTCACGCCTGTAATCCCAGCACTTTGGGAAGCCGAGGAGGGTGGATCACCTGAGGTCAGGAGTTGGAGACCAGCCTGGCCAATATGATGATACACCGTGTCAACTAAGAATACAAAAAATTAGCTGGGCGTGGTGGTGGGTGCCTGTAATCCCAGCTACTCAGGAGGCTGAGGCAGGAGAATCGCTTGAACCTGGGAGGTGGAGGTTGCAGTGAGCCAAGGTCGCGCCATTGCCCTCCAGCCTGGGTGACAAGAGTGAAACTCTGTCTCCAAAAAAAATTTTAAAAAAGATAAAATATTTCTTTTCTTTTCTTTTCTTTTTTTTTTTTTTTTTTGAGACAGAGTCTTGCTCTGTCGCCCAGGCTGGAGTTCAGTGGCACAGTCTCAGCTCACTGCAAGCTCTGCCTCCCGGGTTCACGCCATTCTCCTGCCTCAGCCTCCCGAGTAGCTAGGATTACAGGTGCCTGCCACCACGCCCGGCTAATTTTTTGTATTTTTAGTAGAGATGGGGTTTCACTGTGTTAGCCAGGATGGTCTCGATCTCCTGACCTCGTGATTCGTCCGCCTTGGCCTCCCTAAGTACTGGGATTACAGGCGTGAGCCACCGTGCCTGGCCAAAAAAAGATAAAATATTTCAAATATTTATATTGATTACATATTGAAATGTAGTGTTTTGGATATTTTTAGGCTAAAAAATAGTTAAAATTAATTTGACCTCATTCTTTGTACTATTTTAATGTGGCTTTCATAGAATTTGAATTTTGCATGTGATTTGTATTATATTTCTGTCAGCAGTGCCAGTCAAAGGTATGTAATAGTGTAATAGATGCAGAATTGATGACAAGACCAAGCCAAGAAGAGCAGATTTCTCTGTCTGGATTCCACTGAGGGCCAAAAGAGAAATTTGCCAGCCATTGTCAGCCTCTGGGAATTCTGTGGTGACTCATTCATTAACTTTTCTCTCCCTTCCCAGGATCTCATAGATCAGAATATACTGGAGCCTGTAACCCGTGCACAGAGGGTGTGGATTACACCATTGCTTCCAACAATTTGCCTTCTTGCCTGCTATGTACAGTTTGTAAATCAGGTACAGAATGTGTGGACCCCTTGCCCAGAGGTGGAGTGCATAGTGATGAGGTGGGAGCTGTAGCCGATGTGAGTCGGGGAACCAAGTTCTAGCCCAACTTGGTAGTCTTCATCATGCCCTGTTCCATGATTATGACTAGTTGATTAAAAAAAAAAAATAGAAATCTTTTTTTTCTTTTCTTTTATTTATTTATTTTTTTGAAGACAGTTTCACTCTTGTTGCTGAGGCTTGAGGGCAATGGCATGATCTTGGCTCACTGCAACCTCTGCCTCCCAGGTTTAGTGATTCTTCTACCTCAGCCTCCTAAGTAGCTGGGATCACAGGCATGCACCACCACACCCAGCTAATTTTTTTTTTTTTTTTTTTTTTTTGGGAGACGGAGTCTCGTTCTGTTGTCCAGGCTGGAGTGCAGTGGCGCGATCTCGGCTCACTGCAAGCTCCGCCTCCTGAGTTCACGCCATTCTCCTGCCTCAGCCTCCTGAGTAGCTATGACTACAGGTGCCCGCCACCACACCCGGCTAATTTTTTTTTGTATTTTTAGTAGAGACGGGGTTTCACCGTGTTAGCCAGGATGGTCTCGATCTCCTGACCTCGTGATCCACCCACCTCGGCCTCCCAAAGTACTGGGCTTACAGGCATGAGCCACCGTGCCCAGCCAGTTTTTTGTGTTTTTAGTAGAGACAGGGTTTCTCCATGTTGGCCAGGCTGGTCTCGAACTCCCGACCTCAGGTGATCCGCTTGCCTCAGCCTCCCAGAGTGCTGTGATTACAGGTGTGAGCCACTGCGCCTGGCCAAAATCTTTTCTGTAATGCATGCCACCAGGCTGGGAAATCTTCTAAACTATTGCCTGCAGCCGGGTGGGGGCATCATTACAGCATAGAGGAGGCCTGGCCCAGTGGACAGGGCTGGGTTCCAGCAGTGGCACAGGTCTGCTCCGTGGCCAGGCTCTCTCCTCCCGGGCTCTGTGCTCCTGAAAGGTGCTTGGCCTCACTTAGCCTTCAGGTTCTCAGGCCCCTTCCTCTTCCCCAGCAAGGCCGGGGCTTTTGGGAAGTCCCCCAAGGGCCCCTCTCCTTGCAGAGTCTCTCAGGTGATGCCCTTGCGCCTCCCTTGCTACTGACCATGCCATCTAAACAATGCTTTTCCCCTAACCTGATATAATAAATAATGAATCACGGTCCTTTTGTATTGGTCCTTACATACAGGGTGGGTGTCCTGTATGAGTCCCGAGTGTGCTGGTGCAGAAACCAGCCCTCAGAACTCCTTGGTGAACTGAGTTGAGCTGAGTGGGAGGGGATGGGGTGGTGAGGAAGGGTGGACAGACATGTCAGGGAAACACATTCTCAAAACCTTATGCTCTGTTGTCAGGTCAAACAAATAAAAGTTCCTGTACCACGACCAGAGACACCGTGTGTCAGTGTGAAAAAGGAAGCTTCCAGGATAAAAACTCCCCTGAGATGTGCCGGACGTGTAGAACAGGGTAAGACAGCAGCCAGGGGCTCCCAACAGCTTTCAGGAACCTGAAAAGACCTGATTCACCTGGTACCTCTATCTCTCCGCTGACCCCATGGATCCTCCAGGCCCGAGGCCTCCCTGAGCCTGTGGGGTTTCCTGAGCCTGCGTTGGCCCCTCCTGGTCCATCTGCCTGTCCCCACCCCTACCCCCTGCAGCAGCCCCTTCCCATACCCTCCCCAGCAGGAGTCCCTTTGTCCAGGCTGAATTGTTCACTGGGCACAGGAGGTGACTTTCTAGGTCCCTTGAACCTTTTCAGGCAACCTAGGAAATGTAATTTCCTTTTGAAATCAGAAGAAAACACTTGAATCCAGCCTGGCTTGTATTTTTCCTTACTCTAAGTTGGTTTAAAAAATGTAATTTTTAATATTTTTTATGTGGGCAGGGACCCATAAAGACAAAAGTGTCCGTAGCCCACAAAAGTCATAATAAGGCCATGGGTGGAGCTCCCTTAAGTTCCCATGAGGACCTGAGCCCACCCAGCCGGCCTCACCCCTGGCCCCCGATTTCTCACTAAGTCCTTCTTTATCCTATTTGGGTTTTAGGGGCAAAGAGTAACTTGCTCTTCTCTGGCCCTCCAGTGTTTGCTGTGGTTGGGAGGAACCAGCGGCAGACAGGGTGGGGCGAGGACTCACTTGTACTGTGTGTTAACTGGAGGAAGGGGCTCAGCTTGTGGCCACAGGGGCTTGTGATCTTCCCCTGGAGTGCGGCTCCTCCTAACGCAGGCCTCCCCTGCAGCCCAGGGAAGCTCAGTGTGTGCCCAGCACAGAAGGCTCCTGGATCTACAGCTCTGACCCCAGAGCAGGGAGGCCGAGGGGCTGAAGTGTGCATGCTCAGACCCTTCCCCAGCCTCAAGAAGGGAGCACAGGGGGACCCACTGCTGACACGAGGAGCCTGTCCTCCTGACGCCTTCTCAGGGACTTTGGGCAGGGAGGGTGGCTCCTCTTTCATCCCACCTGGCCAGCTTTCCATCAAGAGTCCCTGTCTCCCTCTCTGTGTGTACCCAGGTGTCCCAGAGGGATGGTCAAGGTCAGTAATTGTACGCCCCGGAGTGACATCAAGTGCAAAAATGAATCAGCTGCCAGTTCCACTGGGAAAACCCCAGCAGCGGAGGAGACAGTGACCACCATCCTGGGGATGCTTGCCTCTCCCTATCACTACCTTATCATCATAGTGGTTTTAGTCATCATTTTAGCTGTGGTTGTGGTTGGCTTTTCATGTCGGAAGAAATTCATTTCTTACCTCAAAGGCATCTGCTCAGGTAGGTGCTGGCTGAGGGTGGGAGCGCTGGGCACTGTCTGCCCTGCCCTCTCCCACTCCGTTCCCACAGACAGTAATCCCCATCCCTGCCCCTGGTCCAAGCGTCTCCAGCCTGGCTTGGTCTTCCTTCTTGTGATCGCCCCATCCCCACGTCCTGTGTATCCCCAAGGACCCTGGTCTCATCAGTCCCTCTCTCAGGGCTGGGGGACCCCTCATCTCCCGGAGCCAACTCCAGGAGGGCAGGGCCAGTTCCTCCTATCTTCAGGCCCAGCCAGGCAGGGGGCAGTCAGCTCCTCAACTGGGTGACAAGGGTCAGGATGAGAAGTGGTCGTGGGATTTATTCAGCCTTGGTCAGAGCAGAACACAGAGATTTTCCACGTGTTGGTTTTTACTCTAGTTCCCCTTCTCATCCCCCTTCCTCAGGGTGTCCCCTAATTGCAAGGCCCCATTCTGTCCCCAGCCCCAGGGCTCCTTGTCCAGTGTCCCAGCCCCCAGCCAGCCCTGCGCCCCACTGTCCTCTGGGAGGGAGGTGCTGCATGGGCCCCTCCCCGCCTGCTCAGGAGACTGCTTCTTTTCCAGGTGGTGGAGGAGGTCCCGAACGTGTGCACAGAGTGAGTTGGTTTCTCCAGAAACTGGGGGCTTCGTGGGTTCAGGAACTGCTTCCCATCCACTGCCGAGCCTGGGTGGGCACAATCCCTTGTCCTCATGGCTGCCCTGACTCTCTGACATGGCCTGGGGGATCTGGGCTGACTGTGGGGGACACACGGCCATTTTGAGCAGCACACAGACCAGCAGGCCGTGCTGCAGCCCTGTCCTTCCTGCAGCCTCGGTGACACCATCACTCCACAGCTGGCCCCATGGGGATGGGGTGACCACCTGACCCACCTCAGCATGGGGTCCTGGATGTGCTGAGCCTCAGCTGCCTGGGGTGACCTCATTGGAAGGGGTTGGGGATGGCAGGTCCAGCTGTGTACTGGGGACCCTGAAGCTGAGCCCGGGGTGTGGACTTGAGTGGGCTCTTTGTCTTCCCAAGGTCCTTTTCCGGCGGCGTTCATGTCCTTCACGAGTTCCTGGGGCGGAGGACAATGCCCGCAACGAGACCCTGAGTAACAGATACTTGCAGCCCACCCAGGTCTCTGAGCAGGAAATCCAAGGTCAGGAGCTGGCAGAGCTAACAGGTGTGACTGTAGAGTTGCCAGAGGAGCCACAGCGTCTGCTGGTGAGTTGAGGAGGGACTGTGCCCTGCCTGGCGTGCAGCCTGCACAGGACTTTGTAGACAGTGGGACATGGCAGTGCCTCCTCTTTCCTGGCCCAAGGGGACATGGAGCCTTTGGGAGACAGGGGACTGCAGGGGACGGAGCAGCTGCACTGAGGTGGTGACCGTGCCAGTCTGCAGGACATCTGCTTCTTACTCCCTGTCCTGTCCTTGCTGTGTCCCCAGAGCCTGGATCTCCACAGGCATAGAGTGGGTGTCACAGGGTTCACTGAGGACTGAATAAGGCTGCACAGTCTCCATCGTGTGCTCCTAACAGAAGTCAGGGAGCCCTTGCTTGAAACAGCGGAAGTTTTAAATGTTCTTCAAAATTCTTACTACATTGAACATATTTCACAGTAAATCTTTGTCCAGATTTCTGATCAAGTATGTAAGGAGGCTTCTGGGAAGAAGTAGGATTTCTGAGTCAGTGTGTAGAAGTGCTTTTGTATTACAGAAACACACACATCCAGTTATTCACATCGATTCACTAGTTTTGATATGACATTGAGTAGGTGTGAAATCTGGACACACATTTGTTTTTTTTTAAGTTCTTTCCTTCAGGATAAAATAAGATGATCCTACCTAATTTTTTGTGGACTTTTAAAGAATGATTTGGTTTGTAGCATACACCAGTGGAACGTAGGTGCCATTTCTTTTGTGATGCTGTGTGAAGTGAGGAATTCCCTGAATTGTTGTGAGTCACTGTCTCCTTCCTCCACGCCTGTTTAGGAACTGATTCTCCTATTTTTCTCTGCTTTTGGCTCCTCTTTGATCACTTGTCAAATACTTACCTAGACAAGGTTCACTTTCCACCCATTTTCTTCCTTTCCTATAACTATACCCCATTTTTTTTAATGAAGGGAAGTATAAAAAGGTAAGGAAATAAACAAAAAATATCAACAATTACTCCACGCTGCTGAATCGCATTGCACCTTTGTTTTGTAATTTGTAGAGATCTGATCTTGCTATGTTGCCCAGGCTGGTCTCAAACTCCTGGCCTCAAGTCATCCTCTCACCTTGGCCTCCCAAAGTGGTGGGATTACAGGCATAAGCCACTGCACCTGGCCGCGCTGCACATTTTTTGAAAGTGGTAAATGCAGAGCCACACATCTGCCACACTATAGAAAGGTGCTCAGTCGGCCGGGCGCCGTGGCTCATGCCTGTAATCCCAGCACTTTGGGAGGCCGAGGAGGGTGGATCACAAGGTCAAGAGATGGAGACCATCCTGGCCAACATGGTGAAACCCCACCTCTACTAAAAATACAAAAAATTAGCCGGGCGTGGTAGCGGGTGCCTGTAGTCCCAGCTACTCGGGAGGCTGAGGCAGGAGAATGGCGTGAACCCGTGAGGCGGAGCCTGCAGTGAGCCGAGATCACGCCACTGCACTCCAGCCTGGGCTACAGAGTCAGACTCCATCTCAAAACAAAAACAAAAACAAAAAAAAAACAAAGGTGCTGAGTCATAGTGGTAGTCCCCTAACACTTCCTCCAGCCCCCAGCCCTTCTTCATTCAGGTGAATACAACAGATAATTTCTTGTGATTCTTTGTAGAAATCTTTATGCATATGCCATGTATATTCATACAAGCGTATGTACATTTTGTTTACATTACAGGGATTACTTTACATATAATACACTGCCAAGGAAACTTTTTTTCATTTTTTATTTTTCCTTTTTCAAATTTATTTTGATTCAGGGGGTACATATGTAAGTTTGTTTGATGCTGAAATTTGAGGTATGAATGATTTTATCCAGGTTGTGGGCACAGTATCCAACAGTTAGTTTTTCACCCCTTCCTCCTCTCGCTCCCTCCCCGCCCTGGTAGTCCCCAGTGTCTATTGTTGCCATCTTTATGGTCGTAAGTACCTGATGTTTAGCTACTACTTATAAATGAGAACACGCAGTATTTGGTTTTGCGTTCCTACATTAATTCACTTAGGATGATGGCCTCCAGCTTCATCCATGTGGCTGCAAACAATATGATTTCATTCTTTTTTATGGCTGTGTGGTAACCTATGGTGTATATATGCCACATTGTCTTCATCCAATCCACTGTTGATGGGAACCTAGGTTGATTCCATGTCACTGCTATTATGGATAGTGGTGTCTTTTGGTAGAATGATTTGTTTTCCCTTTTTTTTTTTGAGAGGGAGTCTCGCTCTGTCACCCAGGCTGGAGTGCAGTGGCACAATCTCGGCTCACTGCAACCTCCGCCCCTCCAGGTTTAAGCAGTTCTCTGCCTCAGCCTCCAGAGTAGCTGGGATTACAGGCATGTGCCACCATACCCGGCTAATTTTTTGTATTTTTAGTAGAGACGGGGTTTCACCGTCTTGGGCAGGCTGGTCTTGAATTCCTGACCTCGTGATCCATCCACCTCGGCCTCCCAAAGTGCTGGGATTACAGGTGTGAGCCACCGCGCCCAGCAGATTTGTTTTCTTTTCTATGTATACCCAGTAGTGGGTTTGCTGTGTTAAATAGTAGTTGTTTTAAAATTCTTTGAGAAATCTCCAAACTCCTTTCCATACTGGCTGAACTAATTTACATTCCCACCAAAAGTATATAAATGATCCTTTTTCTTCATAGTCTCGCCAGCATTTACTGTTACTGGCTTTTTAATAATCGCCATTCTCACTGTATGAGATGGTATCCCACTGTAGTTTTGATTTGCATTTCTCTGATGATTCATGATGATGAGCATTTTTTCATATGTTTGTTGGCCACTTGTATGTCTTCTTTTGAGACATGTGTGTTCATGTCTTTTGCCCATTTTTAATGGGGTTGTTTTCTGTGTGTTCATTTAAGTTGCATATGGCTCCTGAATATTAGACCTTTGTCAGATGCATAGTTTGTAAATATTTTCTCCCATTCTGTAGGTTGTCTGTTACTCTGTTGATACTTTTTTTTTTTTTTGAGATGTACTCTCGCTCTGTCACCTAGGCTGGAATTCAGTGGCATGATCTCAGCTCACTGCAACCTCCGCCTCCCGGGTTCAAGTGATTCTCCCTCCTCAGCCCCCCTAGTTGCTGGGATTGCAGGCACGTGCCACCATGCCCAGCTAATTTTTGTATTTTTAGTAGAGATGGGGTTTTGTCTTGTTGGTCAGGCTGGTCTCGAACTCCTAACCTCAGGTGATCTGCCTGCCTCGTCCTCTCAAAGTGCTGGTATTATAAGTGTGAGCCCCCACACCCGGCCTGTGGAGAGTTTCTTCTGCTGTGCAGAAGGTCTTTAGTTCAATTAGATGCCACTTGACAATTTTTGTTTTTATTGCATTGCTTTTGAGGACTTAATCATAAATTCTTTGCCATGGCTGATGTCCAGAGGGGTGTTTTCTAGGTTTTCTTCTAGAATTCTTATAGTTCATGGTCTTACCTTTAAACTTTTAATCTACCTTGAGTTAATTTGTGTATATGGTGAAAAGTAGGGGTCTAGTTTTCGTTGTTCTGCATATGGCTAGCCAAATATCCGAAGCATCAGCTGTTGAATGGGGAGTTGTATTATTCCATTTTCATACTGCTATGAAGAAATACTTGAGACTGGGTAATTTATAAAGAAAAAGAGGTTTAATGGACTCACAGTTCCACATGGCTGGGGAGGCCTCACAATCATGGCCTGAGGTGAAAGATGAGCAAAGGCACATCTTACATGGCGACAGGCAAGAGAGCGTGTGCAGGGGACTGCTCTTTATAAAACCATCAGCTCTTGTGAGTCTTATTCACTATCACAAGAACAGAACTGGAAAAACCAGTCCACGTGATTCAGTTACTTCCAATAATTTTTTCCAATTCTGTGGAAAATGACATTGGTAATTTGATAGGAGTAGTATTAAATCTGTAGATTGATTTCAGCAGTATGCCCATTTTAGCCATATTAATTCTTCCAATCCATGAGCATGGAATGTTTTTCCATTTGTTCATGTTATCTATGATTTCTTTTAGCAGTGTTTTGTAATTCTCTTAGAGATCTTTCACATCCTTGGGTAGAGGTATTTCTAGGTATTGTGTGTGTGTGTGTGTGTGTGTGTGTGTGTGTGTGTGTGTGTCTGTTGTAAATGGGATTGTGTTATTGATTTGGTCCTCAGCCTGAACATTATTGGTATATAGATATGCTACTGATTTTTTTTCTTTTTGAGACAGAGTCTTGCTCTGTCACCCAGGCTGGAGTGCAGTGGCGCGATCTCAGCTCACTGCAAGCTCCACCTCCCAGGTTCACGCCATTCTCCTGCCTCAGCCTCCCCAGCAGCTGGGATTACAGGCGCACACTGCCACGCCTGGTTAGTTTTTTGTATTTTTAGTAGAGGTGGGGTTTCACCGTGTTAGCCAGGATGGTCTCGATCTCCTGACCTTGTGATCCGCCCTCCTTGGCCTCCCAAAGTGCTGAGATTACAGGCGTGAGCCACCGTACCCAGCTACGCCCCGTTAATTTTTGTATTCTTTAGTAGAGACGGGGTTTCACCATGTTGGTCGTGCTGGTCTTGAACTCTTGACATCGTGATCCGCCTGCCTCGGCCTCCCAAAGTGCTGGGATTACAGGTGTGAGCCACGGTGCCCGGTGCTACTGATTTTTATACATTGATTTTGTATCCTGAAATTTTGCTGAAGTCGTTTATTAGTTCCAGGGGCCTTTTGGTGGAGTATTTAGGGTTTCCAAGGTATAGAATCATATCGTCCATGAAGAGTTTTCACTTCTTCATTTCATATCTGGATGCCTTTTCTTTCTTTCTCTTGCCTGAGTGCTCTGACTAGGACTTCCAGTACTATGTTGAATGGGAGTGGTGAGCGTGAGCATCCTTGCCTTGTTCCAGTTCTCAAGGGGAATGCTTCCAGCTTTGGCCCATTCAGTATGATGTTGGCTGTGGGTTTGTCATAGATGGCTCTTACCATTTTGAGGCATGTTCCAATGGGAACTTTCTAATGTTTTTTAACATCCAAAAGAGCAAACACCTCTTCCATACTTTTTCAAAATGTATTATTTTACCCAGATAAAATTTAGAATTAAAAGATTTCCTCCATCCTTCCCTCCCGAAAAACCTCAGTTGCCGTTTTATCAATTCGCTTTAAAATTAAAAATTAATCTAGAAACACTGAATATTTTATTAATATTCAGTATTTCCTTATCAAAGGAGATAACATTTGGTGTCAAGTATTTTATTGTAACTGAGTTGTGATTTGTGTTCCTCTTCAAATAAATTATTCCTGTTTCTTATGGCTGTTTAGTATTTTGTATCCATTATGAGTTGGATAACCTTGTAATTCTGTTTGCTAATTTATTGCATTTGCTATGTTTTTAACATTCCTCCAGACATACATTTCTATTTCAATATTGTAGTTTCATCTTAGGGGTTTTAAATGACGTTGAAAATAATGATTATTGTGTCTGCCCTCTTCCAAAAGTCTTGCCTCATTTTAATTTTCCATCTTGTTGCCTAGGCCAGACCTTTCAGAACAATATTCAGCTGTGCTTAGGGAAGGCAGGTGTTTGGGTCCTGATTTGATTTCTGGGGAAGGCCTCCAAAGTGTCACTCTTAGCAATGGCATTCACTTTTGGTTTCATATAGAAATTCTCATCATCAAGAACACAGCTTACTATTCTAAAAGGGTTTGAAAAAAATCAGAATTGCTGTTTAATTTTACCAAATGTCTTTCCAGCCTCCATAGAGACTGCCATTTTATTTAATTACGCTATTGATATGGTAGAGTACTGATGATCAAAGATCATTTACAGTCTTGGGATAAATCATTTTGTTAGGTTTTCCTGGGTGCTCTCATATATAGTCTGCCGAGACTCTGCTGGTAAGAATTCTGGAAGGAAGTGATCATTTCTTGTGAGGGTGGGTGGGAGTTGATTAGATGGGGCAGAAGGGGACTTTCTGGGGTGTGGCAGTTTCTATGTCTTGATCAGGGGATAATTACACAGGCCTATAGTCAAAGTTGGTCAGAACACTTACAAAGTGAGCATTTACTGCATGTCACTTATGTCTCAATGAGCCACCAGCACACAGAGCCCAAGAGCTATGGAGGACCAGAGGTTTGTCTCCATCTCCATGGAGACCCAAGAGGGAAAGCGCTGCAGGTCTCTTGCTGGCTAGTGGTCAGGGTCAGTACTAGACTGCAGGACTCCTGACTCTGACCAGAGCATTCCCCACTGTGTGTTACAGGAACAGGCAGAAGCTGAAGGGTGTCAGAGGAGGAGGCTGCTGGTTCCAGTGAATGACGCTGACTCCGCTGACAGTAAGTGTTTTGTGCCTTGAGACGCAGCAGGAGGACAGGGAATAGGGACGGTGTCCTAACTGCTGTCCCTATAGCTGAGAGGGCTCTTCTGGAGGTTTCACTGCTGGAAGCAGGGGGCCCCATGTCGATCCTGTGCTGATCGTCCTTGGAGCATTGAGACCCTAAATCTCTTCTCTCTTCTCAGTCAGCACCTTGCTGGATGCCTCGGCAACACTGGAAGAAGGACATGCAAAGGAAACAATTCAGGACCAACTGGTGGGCTCCGAAAAGCTCTTTTATGAAGAAGATGAGGCAGGCTCTGCTACGTCCTGCCTGTGAAAGAATCTCTTCAGGAAACCAGAGCTTCCCTCATTTACCTTTTCTCCTACAAAGGGAAGCAGCCTGGAAGAAACAGTCCAGTACTTGACCCATGCCCCAACAAACTCTACTATCCAATATGGGGCAGCTTACCAATGGTCCTAGAACTTTGTTAACGCACTTGGAGTAATTTTTATGAAATACTGCGTGTGATAAGCAAACGGGAGAAATTTATATCAGATTCTTGGCTGCATAGTTATACGATTGTGTATTAAGGGTCGTTTTAGGCCACATGCGGTGGCTCATGCCTGTAATCCCAGCACTTTGATAGGCTGAGGCAGGTGGATTGCTTGAGCTCGGGAGTTTGAGACCAGCCTCATCAACACAGTGAAACTCCATCTCAATTTAAAAAGAAAAAAAGTGGTTTTAGGATGTCATTCTTTGCAGTTCTTCATCATGAGACAAGTCTTTTTTTCTGCTTCTTATATTGCAAGCTCCATCTCTACTGGTGTGTGCATTTAATGACATCTAACTACAGATGCCGCACAGCCACAATGCTTTGCCTTATAGTTTTTTAACTTTAGAACGGGATTATCTTGTTATTACCTGTATTTTCAGTTTCGGATATTTTTGACTTAATGATGAGATTATCAAGACGTAGCCCTATGCTAAGTCATGAGCATATGGACTTACGAGGGTTCGACTTAGAGTTTTGAGCTTTAAGATAGGATTATTGGGGCTTACCCCCACCTTAATTAGAGAAACATTTATATTGCTTACTACTGTAGGCTGTACATCTCTTTTCCGATTTTTGTATAATGATGTAAACATGGAAAAACTTTAGGAAATGCACTTATTAGGCTGTTTACATGGGTTGCCTGGATACAAATCAGCAGTCAAAAATGACTAAAAATATAACTAGTGACGGAGGGAGAAATCCTCCCTCTGTGGGAGGCACTTACTGCATTCCAGTTCTCCCTCCTGCGCCCTGAGACTGGACCAGGGTTTGATGGCTGGCAGCTTCTCAAGGGGCAGCTTGTCTTACTTGTTAATTTTAGAGGTATATAGCCATATTTATTTATAAATAAATATTTATTTATTTATTTATAAGTAGATGTTTACATATGCCCAGGATTTTGAAGAGCCTGGTATCTTTGGGAAGCCATGTGTCTGGTTTGTCGTGCTGGGACAGTCATGGGACTGCATCTTCCGACTTGTCCACAGCAGATGAGGACAGTGAGAATTAAGTTAGATCCGAGACTGCGAAGAGCTTCTCTTTCAAGCGCCATTACAGTTGAACGTTAGTGAATCTTGAGCCTCATTTGGGCTCAGGGCAGAGCAGGTGTTTATCTGCCCCGGCATCTGCCATGGCATCAAGAGGGAAGAGTGGACGGTGCTTGGGAATGGTGTGAAATGGTTGCCGACTCAGGCATGGATGGGCCCCTCTCGCTTCTGGTGGTCTGTGAACTGAGTCCCTGGGATGCCTTTTAGGGCAGAGATTCCTGAGCTGCGTTTTAGGGTACAGATTCCCTGTTTGAGGAGCTTGGCCCCTCTGTAAGCATCTGACTCATCTCAGAGATATCAATTCTTAAACACTGTGACAACAGGATCTAAAATGGCTGACACATTTGTCCTTGTGTCACGTTCCATTATTTTATTTAAAAACCTCAGTAATCGTTTTAGCTTCTTTCCAGCAAACTCTTCTCCACAGTAGCCCAGTCGTGGTAGGATAAATTACGGATATAGTCATTCTAGGGGTTTCAGTCTTTTCCATCTCAAGGCATTGTGTGTTTTGTTCCGGGACTGGTTTGGCTGGGACAAAGTTAGAACTGCCTGAAGTTCGCACATTCAGATTGTTGTGTCCATGGAGTTTTAGGAGGGGATGGCCTTTCCGGTCTTCGCACTTCCATCCTCTCCCACTTCCATCTGGCGTCCCACACCTTGTCCCCTGCACTTCTGGATGACACAGGGTGCTGCTGCCTCCTAGTCTTTGCCTTTGCTGGGCCTTCTGTGCAGGAGACTTGGTCTCAAAGCTCAGAGAGAGCCAGTCCGGTCCCAGCTCCTTTGTCCCTTCCTCAGAGGCCTTCCTTGAAGATGCATCTAGACTACCAGCCTTATCAGTGTTTAAGCTTATTCCTTTAACATAAGCTTCCTGACAACATGAAATTGTTGGGGTTTTTTGGCGTTGGTTGATTTGTTTAGGTTTTGCTTTATACCCGGGCCAAATAGCACATAACACCTGGTTATATATGAAATACTCATATGTTTATGACCAAAATAAATATGAAACCTCATATTAAAAAGGTGTGGTGTTCGTTTATTTCCATCCTCCTCTCCTGCTGTGACACAGCTCTGAGTGACAGGAGGCCAGGGCTTCGTTCCTGCTGGGCCTCCTTACTTGTCCCTTCTCTGCCTTCAGGCTTGGCCCGCCTGGCGGTGGGGGTGTGGGGGGAGTTTCCTGCCTATGACTCCCTGGATTTTAAAGGACCAGGTTCTTGGCTACTGGAATTCGCGCCTCCTCCCTGTTTCTCTCCTGTCTGCTCCTCCCTCTGGGGAGAGGGACAGCAGCCCTTCCCTGTATCCCCATCAGTGGACCCAGGTTGCTCAGCCCTGCAGGCACCTGTGAGAGCCATTTCCCACTCCCCTTGCGCTGGAGGACCTGCTCTCCCTCTGGCCCACAGCTCCCAGGAGGCCCAGGCGTGCTCCCATGCTGTCTGCCTTCCCTAGAGGGGAGGTGGGGCTGCGGCTGCTCCATGCTACCTCCTGCTTCCCGCCTGCACTGCCCATGGCCTCACTTGGAACCCTGGGCTGGGTGAGCTGCATGGAGGCTGAGCATGGAGGGGCCTGGGCTTGGGCAACATGGCTTCCCCCAGAGTTAGAGCTGCTTGTGTTGCCACCGCCTACTGTCTATGAGGATTTAACCCCTGATCTCCAAGTCTTGGCGCCACACAGCCATGGCAGGGGTTGTCTTTGTTTCAAGTTTGCTCTATCCCAGACCTAACCAGCGTTTTCCTGGAGCCCACCCCATGGCCAGGCCCTCTCAGCTAGAACATCTTTCTCAGGCAAGGTGACTCCTGAGCTCTGAGCCCAGAGCCCCACTGCCTCCTGGCTCTGCCCTTCCTCCGTGGGACTGCATCTTTTACATCTAAGAAGGATGTGGGCAGTGAAATTTGGGTCAGGGTTAGAAAACAGAAAGGGGCAATTGTGGCCCAGCCTTTGCCCCTTGGGGGCTGGGAGCTACCATTTCCATCCTCCACATTCCTCCAGCCCGGCTCTCCTCCTCTCTGGACCAACCCTGCCTTTCCTCCTTCTCCATTCTCCCTCTTCTTCTTCCCTTTATCCCACCCAGCAGTAAATAAGTGTCACAGGGGAGAGACCAGTATCTGGCCCAGTGGCGCAGAGGTAACAGATTTTACCAAGACAGTTGTAGGTAAAGAAAAGCAGATTTATGGCTGGGCACGGTGGCTCACGCCTGTAATCCAAGCACTTTGGGAGGGTGAGTCGGGTGGATTACTCAAGGTCAGGAGTTGAAGACCAACCTGGCCAACATGGTGAAACCCTGTCTCTAACAGAAGATACAAAAATTAGCCAGGAGTGGTGGCATGTGCCTGTAATCCCAGCTACTCGGGAGGCTGAGACAGGAGAACTGCTTGAACCCAGAAGGGGAGGTTGCAGTGATCTGAGATCACACCATTGCACTCCCACCTGGGCAGCAAGAGCAAAACTCCATCTTAAAAAAAAAAAAAAAGCAGATTTATTAGAGAAAGTAGGAAAATGTGTAGCAAGGAGGCAATGGGCAAGCCAGCAGAAGAGGAGCTGACTGCAAAGTAACAAAGGCTTACTGGAGATTTTATAGGCTAGTGTTTATGCCAACTGTTGAAGAGGGCTTTGTGCAGTACTGGTAAGCCAAGGTTGCAGTGAGCCGACTTGCAGGTGTCTGATGATAGCTGAGTGCGGGAAGATTGTGAGTTATTTGCACAGGAGGGCTTTGTGTCCTGGACCACGAAGAAAGGCAGATTTATGTAAACCGTGAAAATCTGAGACAGATCTCAGTTAATTTAGAAAGTTTATTTTGGCAAGGTTGAGAATGCATGCCCTTGACATAGCCCCAGGAGGTTTTGATGACATGTGTCCAAGGTGGTCAGAGCACAGTTTGGTGTTTTGTTTGTTTTGTTTTGTTTTGTTTTTGAGACAGAGTCTTGCTCTGTCACCAGGCTGGAGTGCAGTGGTGTGATCTTGGCTTACTGCAACCTCCACCTCCCAGGTTCAAGCTTCTGCCTCAGCCTCCTGAGTAGCTGGGATTATAGGCGCCAGCCACCATGCCTGGCTGATTTTTGTACTTTTAGTAGAGATGGTTTTTCGCCATATTGGTCAGGCTGGTCTCAAACTCCTGACCTCAGGTGATCCATCCACCTTGGCCTCCCACAGTGCTGGGATTACAGGTGTGAGCCGCCACACCCAGCTGGTTTTATACATTTTAGGGAGAACATGAGACATCAATCAACATATGTAAGATGAACATTGGTTCAGTCCAGAATAGGTGGGTTAACTGGAAGCAAAAGCAGGACAACTCCAAGCGGGGAGGGGGCTTCCAGCTCATAGGTAGATAAGAGACAAATAGTTACATTCTTTTGAGTTTCTGATTAGCCTTTTCAAAGGTGGCAATCAGATGTGCATTTATCTCAGTGAGCAGAGGGTGAATTTGAATAGAATGAGAGGCAGGTTTACCCTAAGAAGTTTTCAGTTTTGACTTTTCCCTTTAGCTAAGTGATTTGGGGCCCCCAAGATTTACTTTCCTTTCACGCTTACCTGCTTTCTCTTTTTGCTTTCCCCTGCTCCCACCAGTCTGGCTCACTTTCCCTAATTAGGACTCCACAATAAGGCTCTGTGTCCTATGGCCTTTCATTACAAGAGACTTATTCTCTAGGCCAGTGCTCCTTTCCCTGACCTTTGACTCCAATCTGGTTCTCTCCCAACACACACCCTGGGCACCCCATGGAATGCCCCTCTGAAGGTGAGGATGGGAGTCTACAGTCTCAAGATGGACTTAGAGCCAGAAGTTTGTGTATGTATTTGAAAAGAAATCTTGGACAACTTTCTGACCAAGTTCATAAGGTAGCTTCCTGAAAGAAATAGAATTACTGTGTTAATGTCCAGAGGCATTTTTTTCTGCACACACACACACACACACACACACACACACACACACAAACACACTCACACCCATGTGCACACCACATACACATGCACAGTTTTGGTTCCAACAACACTTCATTAGTCTTGAGCTGATGTGCTTGCTCTTTCGTTTTTGTTTTCTCAAACTAGGAAGAAATTAATTAACTTAAATATGCATTTCTTTATTTTTGGACTTAGGTGTCACATGTTTATTAGCTGTTTGATTCTCTTTTCAAACTGATAACTTACAACTTTTATCCTGCCTATTGAGATACGGGTCCCTACCCATGCACTTTCTCAGATGCAGATAATAGGTTTCTACTTTCTTGTTTGCAATTTTATTTGGTCAAAGATTTCCATGTGCAGAATTTTTAATGTTAAGAAGCTTAATCTATTGATATGTCTATTTTGTCATTGATTATAATCTTATGAAAGTCCCCTCCTGGACAAAAGGTAATGTAAACTTCTTTAGTTTTTTTTTTTTTTTTTTTTTGAGATAGGGTCTTACTCTCTCACCCAGGCTGGAGCACAGGGCTCACTGCAGCCTCAACCTCCTGGGCTCAAGCTTCCTGCTTCTGTCAAGGGTTTATCCTTCTATTTTATTCTTTGTAGTCATCATGAATAGGATTGTCTTATAGTTATGCCATTTCTCATTAGACCAATAGAATCCTAAATCCTCTTCTCCCACCCTTTTCTCCTCCCCCTACTGTATCCGACCTTGTCCCCTAACAACACCCTACACCGATCTGTCTTTCCCTTCCTCTTTCACCTTCCCTCCTGGCTGTAGTTCAGGGCCTATATCAGGTAGAGGGCCTCCTGAGGGCCTGCGGAGTCCTGCATGACAGGCACTGGCCCCCGGATTCCTGAGCACTGGAGCTGAGGCTAACCTGAATTTGATGAGCAATTTGATTGCCCTGTTTCAAGAATTTAGTGTACTAGGCCGGGCACTGTAGCTCATGCCTGTAATCCTAGCACTTTGGGAGGCAGAGGTAGGGAGTTCAAGACCAGCCCGACCAACATGGAGAAACTTGGTGTCTACTAAAAATACAAAATTAGCCAGGCGTGATAGTGCATGCCTGTAATCCCAGCTACTTGGGAGGCTGAGGTAGGAGAATCACTTAAACCCCGGAGGAGGAGATTGCGGTGAGCTGAAATCGCCCCATTGCACTGTAGCCTGGCCAACAAGAGCGAAACTCTGTCTCAAAAACAAAACAAAACAAAACAAAACAAAATTTAGGCCGGGTGCGGTGGCTCACACCTGTAATCCCAGCACTTTGGGAGGCTGAGGCAGGCGGATCACAAGGTCAGGAGATTGAGACCATTCTGTCTAACATGGTGAAACCCTGTCTCTACTAAAAATACAAAAACAAAATTAGCTGGGGGTGGTGCCGGGCGCCCGTAGTCCCAGCTACTTGGGAGGCTGAGGCAGGAGAATGGCATGAACCCGGGAGGTGGAGCTTGCCGTGAGCCGAGATCGCGCCACTGCACTCCAGCCTGGGCGACAGAGGGAGACTGTGTCTCAAAAAAAAAAAGAATTTAGTGTACTAAAGAATGTAAAATGTTTCATTAATACTTTATTGTGCATTAATTACATGTTGAAATGAGAAAAGTTTGGTTATATTACATTGAATAAAATGTCATGAACATTAATGTCGTGTACTTCTTTCATGAGGATATTAGAAAATATAAATTTGTGTCTTGGCACAGTGGCTCATGCCTGTAATCCCAGCACTTTGGGAGGCCAAGACAGGCAGATCACGAGGTCAAAATATCAAGACCATCCTGGCCAACATGGTGAAACTCCATCTCTACTAAAAATACAAAAATTAGCTTGGCATGATGGTGTATGCCCGTAGTCCGAGCTACTCAGGAGGCTGAGGCAGGAGAATCACTTGAACCAGGAGGTGGAGGTTGCAGTGAGCCGAGATTGAACCACTGCACTCTAGCCTGGTGATGGAATGAGACTCCGTCTTAAAAAACAAAAAAACAAAAAAAAACCCAGAAAATATAAATTTGTATTCCTGACTCACCTTATATATCATCGGGTAGTGTATGTAGTACATTTCACACACATCTCATTTAATCCTCCTTATAGTCCCTGAGCTGGTAATTCTTGCTCCATTATACAAGGTAAATTATCCCTCAGAGTCTGTTTCCCCCCACCTAGCTCTGCACAGTACCCATGAGTGAAGCTAAGTTAGGTTTAAAACCAGGAAAACCAGGTTTTTGTCATCAGCAAGATAATTCTACAGGAGGCTCTCCACTTTTCCTCTCTTTGTGGAAGCACCAAATAAACATCTACACATGAATCAGTTTTATCTGAGAGAAACCCAGAAACTAGTGGAGAGACTCCTACACATGGGGAACTGAGAAAACTCCACATTGAAATGGGCAGGAAAAGCTGGGACACATTCACACACAAACACCACCCCGTGTACACTGCTGCGCATCAGGAGAAAACTCCCAACCCCCAGCTTCTCCCCCGAGGAGTCAAGTGCTTAGGCCACCCATATAGTACCCCAACTTTTACAGTTCCCCTGGAGGGTTTAGCTTTTACATTACCTAGATGTGGGAGCGACAGACACCTTTCCTGCTCACTCTTCAAACTGCAACCTGGGCAGGGCACCCACCAGAAGGACAACTGGAAATATGGCAGGTAAACCAGGCTGTGGCCCTGTAGTGCCATCGCTGTCCTCACTTGCAGTCTGGCACCTCTGTTCCTCCATGGCCCCTCCCCATGGCACTCCAACCTAGTCTTTAGAAGCTTCTGCCCCAAGCTGAGGGAGCCGGTACTGAGGCGCAGGTAGGAGCAGGTGCAGCTTCTGCTGGGTGGAGGACATGTGCCCTGGGAATCCAGTCCAGAGTGACTGACACAAGCCCTGAGGATGTGGTTTGTCCTCCCACACAACCTCACACTGCCAACACAGTCCACTGCGGTTTATACAGGCCCTCTGCATAAATAAGGCCTCTCTGTCTTATTTTACAAGAAGGAGCTGGGCCACACCAGAGTCACAGAGTTGAAGAGGAGCACCGCCAACCCTGGCCGTCTTTAGCCTCCAATCTCTGGGCTCTTTGACAGCCTGAGTGTCTAAGCTTCTGAGCCTTCAGAATTTCTCAGTTCTCACTTTGATAGACAGAGGGGCGGGGTGGAAGGACCTGGTACAGAGATTGGACCAGCCCAGCACTGACAGAGCGAGGACCTGGGGTCAGGAACTGAGTTCAGCTCCAGACTCATTTGAGGTCATCCTGACAGCTTGAGGACAGAGACCTTATCTCCATTCACAGCCATGGCAGGTGGTGGGGACTGGCCCCAGCTGACCACGGTTTTCCAAGTGCACAGCTGGGAATTCAGTCTTCCCTGCCACCCTCCTCTGCCATCTCATCTGAGGTCTGCGGATCATTTACACTCAGTCTCAGAAAACTCCCGGACCCTGGAAAATCCTCAAATAATGCTGAGAAATCAAAACCACAACAGTGAGATGCACCATTGTTTACTTGTTAGACTAGCAAAGAATGAAAGTTCAGAGTAGCAAGGGTGTAGGACTCTTGGTGTGAGAGTAAACTTGTTGTAATTTTCTTTTGGAGGACAATTTGTCAAAATCTAAACAAAATTTTTAAATCATTAACTCATCGACTCCGCAATTCTGCTTTTAAGTAGTGCACATGACTATCTGGATATGTGATACCTACAAGATGATTGCTGTTAGAATTTTCAAAAACAAATGCAACTACCCACAGAAGGCAACAGTAGAATGGACCATAGTTCCACTATGAAAGAAGCTACTATGCTTTTGTTAAAAAGAATGAGACAAATGAATGTATTGACCAAAACATCTAATATAATATATTAGCTTCAAAGTTTGGTTTTTTTTTGAGATGGAGTCTTGCTCTGTCACCCAGGCTGGAGTGCAGTGGTGTGATCCCGGCTCACTGCAAACTCTGCCTCCCGGGTTCACGCCATTCTCCTGCCTCAGCCTCCCGAGTAGCTAAGACTACAGGCACCCGCCACCACGCCCGGCTAATTTTTTGTATTTTTTAGTAAAGATGGGATTTCACCATGTTAGCCAGGATGGTCTCAATCTCCTGACTTCATGATCCACCCACCTCAGCCTCCCAAAGGGCTGGGATTACAGGCGTGAGCCACCGCGCCCGGCCTAGCTTCAGAGTTTTTAAAAAATAATTATGCCTGTAAATACATCTTTCTGCCAGTGTTTCCAAGGCATCCTGCAGGGTGTGGACCAAGGGGCCCCACCTGGTTTTGCTGACCCATCTCACTAGCATCCGTACAAGGCATTCCCAGGGATCGCTGCATCAGCTCTGGCCATGAGGATCTCATTGTCCATGAGGCTCGGCTGCCTCATGAGCGGGTTCCAGGAGTTAAAGGGTAGGATCTGTCCAAAGTTGTAGAAGCACAGCCTCTGAGCTGGGTGGAGAAAGCCATGTAGAGAGCCAGGTGAATTGGGACTCAGTTCAGAAAGGACAGAAGTTCCCACATTAGGCCCAGAACCCAAGGGGGGAACCTGGAGAGCCCCCTGCATGGATGAACCTACTGCTCCAGCGCCCACCTGCTTCCCATCCATAGAGAGCGCGCCCACACTGCCTGGCCTCCCTGACACCCAAGGCGCTGCAGGGAGTCAAGGTCATCAGAGAATCAGCCCTCACACAGGGCTGAGAACCCATCCAGTGAGGCTGAAAGCAAAGTGGGTGAGAGTCCGAGGGAGGGAGAGACAGTGGCTGCAGCAGGAGCTCAGAGGAGGGAGGAGGCTGCCTGGGCTGCGCTTGTCATGGGAGCAGGTCCCAGGGTGGCCACTTCTGCATCTGTGGAAACCGCAGGGTCTGTGGGGGGGATCTCTGTTTACACCCAGCTCAGCCTCATTCCCTGAGGCCGGGGCAGAGGTAGGTGGGGCAAACAGATCCTGAGCAATAAGTCACCCCAAGAGGGAGCAACCCCACCCAGATCTCAGGACTGCGAGGGTGCGAACCCAAAATATCTGAGACAGGTCTCAATCAAGTTAGAAAGTTTATTTTGTGGCCAGGCACAGTGGCTCCTGCCTATAATCGAACAATTTGGAAGGCCAAGGCCAGTGGATCACTTGAGGTCAGGGGTTTCAGACCACCCTGGCCAACTTGGCAAAACCGTGCCTCTACTAAAAATACAAAAATTAGTTGGGTGTGGTGGCACATGCCTGTAATCCCAGCTACTCGAGAGGCTGAGGCACAAGAATCTCTCGAACCTGGGAGACAGGGGTTACAGTGAGCGAAGACCCTGCCACTGCACTCCAACCTGGGTGACAAAGCGAGACCCTGTCTCAAAAATAAATACATAAATAAATAAAAATTTTTTAAAAGCTTATTTTGCCAAGGTTGAGGACACGCCCATGACACAGGCTCAGGAGGTCCCAACCAAAATGGTTGGGGTCAGCTTTCTGTTATACATTTAGGGAAAGATGGGATATTAATCAATATGTGTAAGATGTACATTGGTTCTGTCCAGAAGGGTGGGACAACCAGAAGTGGAGGCTTCTAGGTCATAGGTAGATAAGAGACAAAAGGTTGCATTCTTTTGGGTCTTTGATCAGCCTTTCACTGAATACACAGCTTATATGTAAAAGAGTAGAGGTGGAGGAATAGTCACTCATGCCTTAGTCTGGCTCAGTGAATCTGCATTTTTCATAAACAATAGGGCGGAGGAAGCAGTCAGATATGCATTTGTCTCAGGTGGACAGAGGGATGACTTTCTGTCCCACATGTGAAGATCAGCTATCAATTTACATTGCCAGAGTGAAATTCAGCAGAACTGTTTTAGGGTAAGGATCTTGAGGCCCACAAGGAATTCCCTCATGGGCGAATTGTGAGGGAGGTATGCAGCTTTTTAATCTTTGTAACTATCTTATTTAGGAATAAAATGGGAGGCAGGTTTGCCTGACAAAGTTCGCAGCTTGACTTTTCCCTTTGGCTTAGTGATTTTATGGTCCCAAGATTTATTTATTTTTCACATGGGATTCAATAAAATGTGTGTGCATCACACGGCACACCGCCTTCCTTAGAGAGAGAGAGGGCCAGGAATACGAGCTTATGTTTTGTACAGCCTCGTTTAAAGAATATAAAAAGAAACAAGTGACATTCACTGATATTCATTCACCTTTTTCATCTGAGACCCTTCAGCTTTTAGGTGTCTGTAAAAGACAGTGGGCCAGGCGCGGTGGCTCACTCCTGTAATCCCAGCACTTCGGGAGGCCAAGGTAGGTGGTCAAGGAGGCCAAGGTCAGGAGATCGAGACCATCCTGGCCAACATGGTGAAACCCTGTCTCTACTAAAAATACAAAAATTAGCTGGGCATGGTGGTGTGTGCCTATAATCCCAGCTACTAGGGAGGCTGAGGCAGGAGAATCGCTTGAACCAGGGAGTTGGAGGTTGTGGTGAGCGGAGATTGCGCCACTGCACTCCAGCCTGGTGACAGAGCGAGACTCCATCTCAACAAAAAAAAAAAAAAAAAAAAAAAGACAATGGAGAACCCCCTTGATCAGAGTCAGAAGTCGTGGATTCCAGTAGTGACCCTGAGAAGCCACCAGCTGTGGGACCTGGTTCATGTCACCTCCCCTCTTTGGTCTCCATGTAAATAATAAACCACCCATCCTGCAGAGCTCACAGATTCTCTGTCCCTGTTTGGTCACTGAGATGTAAGTTAATGCAGTAAACTATTCAGTTAAAAAACAAACAAACAAATAAACAAACAAAAAACAACAGGGTCTTACTCTGTCACCCTGGCTGGAATGCAGTGCTGCAATCTCAGCTCACGGAACCTCAGTCTCCTGGGCTCAAACAATCATCCCACCTCAGCCCCTTGAGCAGGTGGGACTAGGGGCACACCACCACCCCTGGCTAATTTTTGTATTTCTAGTAGAGATGGTATTTCATCATGTTGCCCAAGCTGGTCTGAAACTGCTGGACTCAAATGATTTGCCCATCTCCGCCTCCCAAAGTGCTGGGATTACAGGTGTGAGCCACCGGGCCCCAGTCTCAGCTGTTCATTTCTTAAGTGTTTCATTTCCTCTATGACAACTGTATACTCACATGTAACCATTATGCAATCAAGACAGAGAATTTCCACCATTCCCAGAAAGTCCCTTTCTGCCCCTTTTAGGCAATTTTCACCACCCCAACAAGACACAGCTACCTCCTCCCTGGCTTTTAGGAGACTAATGACTTCCATATATATGAGGGTACTTTGGAAAATCTAACGTAAAAGCTCATTCAGAGAATGTGAATGTGTTCAAAAATAACGTACCGTATCAATAGTATCAATAAGCAAACATCATATCGTCTCAGTGGAGGCTGAGAAGCCATTTAGCAGAATTATTCACCTATTCTTGTTCTTAGAACAGAATAGGAGGACAATTCACAATGATAAGAATTTTTGTAGAAAAACAAGAGCCGGCCGGGCGCGGTGGCTCACGCCTGTAATCCCAGTGCTTTGGGAAGCTAAGGTGGGTGGATCACCTGAGGTCAGGAGTTCAAGACCAGCCTGGCCAACATGGTGAAACCCCGTCTCTACAAAAATACAAAAATTAGCCGGGCTTGATGGCGGGTGCCTATAATCCCAGCTACTCGGTAGGCTGACCCAGAAGAATGGCTTGAACCCGGGAGACAGAGGTTGCAGTGAGCCGAGATCCTGCCATTGCACTCCAGCTTGGGCGACAGAGGGAGACTCCAAAAAAAAAAGAAAGAAAGAAAGAAAAGAAAAGAAAAACAGAGCCAATTAATGGTGAAAGACCTAGGTCTTCCCAATGAAATGAAATCAAGATTGGGCCAGGTGCGGTGGCTCATGCCTGTAATCCCACCAGTTTAGGAGGCCGAGGCAGGCGGATCACCTGAGGTCGGGAGTTTAAGACCAGCCTGACCGACATGGAGAAACCTTGTCTCTACTAACAATACAAAATTAGCTGGGCCTGGTGGCGCATGCCGGTAATCCCAGCTACTTGGGAGGCTGGGGCAGGAGAATCACTTGAACCTGGGAAGTGGACGTTGTGGTGAGTCGAGATCACGCCATTCCACTCCAGCCTGGGCAACAAGAGCGAAAACTCCGTCAAAAAAAAAAAAAAAAAAGAGGCCGGGCGCAGTGGCTCACACCTGTAAGCCCAGCACTTTGGGAGGTCAAGGTGGGCAGATTAGTTGAGGCCAGGAGTTCGAGATCAGCTTGGCCAACATGGCGAAACCCCAGCTCGCCGGGGTAAAAATACAAAAATTATCCGGGCATGATGGCACACATCTGTAATCCCAGCTACTCGGGTGGCTGAGGCAGGAGAATTGCTCGAGCCTGGGAGGCGTAGGTTGCAGTGAGCCAAGATCATGCCACTCCACTCCAGCCTGGGTGACAGAGTGAGACTCTATCTCAGCAAAAAAAAAAAAAAAAAAAAAAAAGGAATAACTTATCTGAAGAAAATCACAAGACCTAATTGAGTTATAAGAAAATACTTGAATTGAAGCATGTTCTATGATAAAAAAAAGTATTGAAGAGATCTTAATTCTATCTTTTTTAAGTGTTTATTTTTAAGTATATAAATTTTTTTTTGTCTCACTAGGTTGGTCTTGAACTCCTGGCTCCAGTGATCCTCCCTCGGTCCTTCCCAAAATGCTGCGATTACAGCAAGAGCTACTTAGCCCAGCCTCTTATGATCAGCTTTTTGGTAAGGAAACTGCTCCTCATTGTACAATTTTACAAATGGCCCTTGTTCTCATTAATCTGAATTTAAGATGGCATATGTTATCCTTCTAGAGGCAGGTGGCACCACATTAGTTAGAAATTTCATGAGCGGATTCTGGTAGGAGTGCCCAAGAAATCAATGGTGGACAACATGGATGAGATGTCTATTCTCTTGTGCCTTCTGAATGACACAATCCGTCTGTCCTTCCTTCACGCACTTGTGCAGTAAACATTTACCAACACCTGCTTTGAGCCAGGCACTGCTCAAGGTTCTCATGGCATATAAGGTGATAAAACAAGATGGGGCACCTCCCACACGGAGGTGACAGTGTCCTGTGTAATATGTGTAGTCTGGGCTACGTCATCCAGGCAAACTTTTTGGTGAATTTTCAAGTAGACAGGAAAAGCAGAATTGGGAATCAGACAAGGGCGGCTCAGGTGCAGCTGAATTGTTAAAGGCAGGGGCCTTTCCTGAACACATTGAATTGTCTTTCTGGGTCTCGGCTTTCCTCATCTGCAATAATGGGCTGCTAATACCTCCTTACGGAACTATTGTATTAATTAAAGAAGGCAGTGTATATAAAGCAGTTAATTCACTGTCTGTAAATATTGGGAGCCCAACAAAAGCTGGATCCCTTAAGTCTGTGATATAGATATTTTTGATGAGACAGGGTCTCACTCTGTTGCCCAGGCTGGAGTGGAGTAGCATGACATTGGCTCACTGCAACTTCTGCCTCCCAGGCTTAAGCAATTCTCCTGCCTCAGCCACCCGAGTAGCTGGGATTACAGACGTGTGCCATCATGCCCGCATAATTTTTGTATTTTTGGTAAAGCCGGGGTTTCACCATGTTGGCCAAGCTGGTCTTGAACTCCTGGCCTCAAGTGATCTCTGCCTTTGTGGCTTTAGCCATTGGCAGTTTGCACATTCCTAAGGAACACACCCACAGTGCCGCAGGGGGTTCTGGGCTCTGTCCATTGACAGTTCCCTTTGACTGTGAGGATGGAGCTGTACTGCTTTACACAGATGTCTGACAGCAGGTCCTCAGGCTGTGGTCATCCATGTCAGGTCACAGATCAGGAAGTTGCAATATCAGAGCCAACTCTGAACTTTCTAAAGTCCTCAATTCCTACCTGTGGCATTACCATTATCATCATTTCCATGTACAAGATGGAGGATGAAAAGGATTTCCACCAGATTCAAGTCAGGTGTGGCTGAGAGGGAAAGGCCCTAGGTAGATCTTTTTTTTTTTTTTTTTGAGATGGAGTCTCGCTCTGGCTCTGTCGCCCAGGCTGGAATGCAGTGGCGCGACCTCGGCTCACTGCAAGCTCCGCCTCCCAGATTCACGCCATTCTCCTGCCACAGCCTCCCCAGCAGCTGGGACTACAGGCGCCCACCACCATGCCTAGCTAATTTTTTTGTATTTTTAGTAGAGACAGGATTTCACCGTGTTAGCCAGGATGGTCTCGATCTCCTGACCCTGTGATCTGCCTGCCTCCGCCTCCCAAAGTGCTGGGATTATGGGTGTGAGCCGCCGCGCCCAGCCTCATCATTGTAAGCTTTTAAATGATAAATTCCAATTCTTAGATAGCTGTAGAAATATTTAAATGATCTTTACCTCTTGTGACTATTTTGCTAAGTAGGGTTTTTCAAGAAATTTCTCTATTTCACCTAAGTTGTTGAATTTTTTTCGCATAAAGTTATTCATCAGATCCCACTATTATCCTTGTAATAGCTGTAGAGTTTGTAATAATATCCCATCATTAATTCTTGATATTGGTGTTTCATGCCATTGTTCTTTTTCTTTTGAGGTTTGGTTTATTAATTTTATTAATTGTGTTGATCATTTCTGAGACCCAACTCTTGGCTTGTTGATTCCTTTTATTCTTTGTATTCTATTTCATTAATTTCTACTCTATTATTTCTTTCCCTTCCTGCTACTGCCTCTGAGTTTAATTTACACTTATGTTATGGGTGAGTAATGCAGACCTCTGAGTCATTGATTGTGATACCATTCTTCTTTTAATCCTTAGGAATTTTACAGAGATATACTTCATATATCACATATATATCATATAATTCTTCCGTTTAAATATATTTATAGACGTGTGTAACCATCAATAAAATCAATTTTTGAACATTTTCATCATCACCCCAAAAAAGACTCCACACCCATTGGCAGTCGCTGCTCCTTGTTTTGTAATTCCCAACTCTTTTAACAGAAGCCTTGAAAGCTGTGCATTTCACTCTAAGAACTGGTGTAGTGGCATCCCACACATTTCTACATTTTATATAATCATCATAATTTATTTTGAAATATTTTGAATTCTCTTTTGATTTCATCCATGAACTATGAATTTTTTATAAGTATGTTGCTTAATATTCACATATTGGGAGTTTTTCTAGATATAGTTATTAATTTAATTTCATTGAGATCAGAGAACATATTTTATATAATTTCCTTCATTTCAAATGTTTTTAGATTTGTTTTATAGTTCACAATGTGGTCTATCTTGGTGGAAGTACCATGTTCATAGAAAAGAAGGAATCTCTGGTACATGTTGCATGTGTGTGCTATAAATGTCGATTAACCCATTTATGCCTGAGGTTGCAATTTTTTGAAATTTTACAATTAGACCTTGGTGATGACCTTGAGCAGTAGGATATAAATCATTCCACATGTTTAGTGTTCCAATAATGGAACACTAGGCATAAGTATTTGTCAAGATGGTTGACAGTGTTCAGATCTGTTGTTATTTTACTGTTTTCATCAGATCATTCTATCAATTGGTAAGAAGGGGGTGAGATGATCTCCCTTTAATCCTTTTGAGTGTTGCTTCATGCCTTTTAAAGTTCTATTATTAGGCATATACACATTTATGATTATTATGCCTTCTGATAAATTCACCCTTTTAACACTACAAATAGTGCCTTTAAAAAAAATCTCTGCGAATAGCAAGTGAAAACCTGACAACAAGCTCTTGGTGACTCTGGACCTGGGCAGTCCTCAGCCTTCTGTTCAGCTGCTCTTCCCACCTCTCACATGAAACATGTCTATGAAAGGCTGAGGACATCACATCTGCATTCATGCGGGCTTCCTAGAACCCACAGTACTCATTCATCCAAGGAGAGCATGTCAGTGCCTGGTGGCCACACTATACAAGGAATCGTGGAGTATCAGGAATAAGGCACGACCCTCCCTTTCCTTAGGACAGTTCCAGTTCACAGGGAGATGAGGCACATACATCAATAACCCCAAAGTCCATGAAGGTGCAAAGAGTCATGTGGGGCTGCCCAGGCAGAGGTGACAAATGCCACTGGTGACAGGACACTGGTGGACATAGAGGGAAAAGTCCACACAGACAGGTTCCCAGGCAGACAGGAAGTCAAGGCAGTTGGGGACGGGAGTCAAAACAAGTGATGCTGGGACACAGCTCTGAGGTTTGTGGGCATCTCTGATTGAGGGAGATGGAAGGTGAGGTCAGAGAATGAGGTTCTCAATTCATAGATTTGGGCTCATAGGGGTGTGAGAGTGTGTGTGTGTGTGTGTGTGTGTGTGTGTGTGTGTAAGAGAGCAAGAGAGAGAGGTCTTGTTCCAGGTCTTCTCCTCCATAGACTCTCCTGACCCTGCCCTGCCTCTTCCTGAGATGAGTCATTCACCAGGGGGTTTCCTTGCCTTGTTCCTCCTGGACCAGTGTTGTATTAGGCTGTTTTAGAGGGAAGTTTGCCGTTCACATTGATTTCCTCTCTCAGGCATACATGCCCTAAAAATGCCTCGTTGATCTTAAAATGAGCAACTCAGAATTGTTCTGAGGTTGTGCTGTGGTGGGAAATCTGCTTCTTTTGAGTCTTTTGTGGCTTTTTTCTTTCTTTGTTCTTTTGGTATAAGAAGAACCTTGGATTAAGAAGCAAGCCATCTGTCTTGTAGTCTTGGGCCAGCATCACGGTCCAGGGGAAGCCACTTCTTATCTAAATATGTTTCATTCCTGAAATAAGAGGTGACCTTAAATGACTTCTCAGGGACCCCCAGCTGTGACCCAGCGCTAGGTGAATGCAGGCCTCACGAACAAGCACCAAATACTCCCCTGGGAAAGGTCAGCAGAACCCAGTGACCCAATCATTGCTGCTGCCCCTGAGGGTCACTCATCTCCGTGCCCAGCCCCTCCACTGAACGAATGTTCTGCGTCTCACGCTGCTTGTCTAAGACAAGGACAATGAGGGTTCCTGTACAGTCTGGTTGTATGAGGATTAAGTGTGTTCATATGTGTATAAAGTGCTGAGAACAGAGCTTGGCACGCGCAAGTACTGTATTTCAGCACATGCTGTTGTTAGTACAATCATTCCCCTCAATGTTGATTTTAATGAAATCACATCCTCCAGGCCACCAATATCTTGACCTGGGGCCTTGCAACGGCACAGCCTCCCTCTGCCAGAGTCAAGTAGGGAGGGATGACATTCCTGGAGCCGGCAGTCTCTCTGGAGGTGCAGGGAGCGGGGAGGTGGCCCCCATGCTTCCTGATAGCTATTTAGGTCCCTGGTGACACCTCCTCCACCAGACTGTGGGCTTCAGGGAGCAGGACTGACACAGGGCTCATTTGTCCTCCCACCACCACCAGGCGCAGACATTCTCAGAGTAAAGGGCTCATCACCTACTTCCTGGGGGAGTGACTTTCCCTCCAAGCCCATGAGGTGAGCCCAGTGGTGGCCTCAGCTCACCGCCTCAGGTCACAGATTCCAGGCTACAGCACAGGGAGGGGACCCCAAAGAGCCCTGTGGACTCTGCTGAGGAACACCAGGAGCTCCGAGGCCGAGTGCATGGCAGAGATGTGGAGAAGCAGCTGCTCAGAGGACCTTAGCCCTGCAGAGGCCAAAACATGGCTGCTATTATACAGAAGGGGAGGCCACAAATGCTACAGACATGGCTTCTGCAGCTCCTTTTTGCCTCAATCGAATTGCTGAAACCACTGTTAAGGAGAAAGTCTTAAAAGCAGCCAGAGAACAAAGATCTCCCCACAGACAAGCCAGGTGAGAGGGGCAGTCTAAGCCGGAGAAACCACAGCAGGAAGAGGCAGCGGCAGAGGCCCCACTCCAGCTGGTGCCGCTCCCCCCTCCTCTTCACCAGGACTATTGCCCCTCCCTCCACCCAGTGCTGAGACCCAACAGCAGACATGGGGTGAGGGGGTGATGCGCGTAACATGACCTAAGCCATACAAATATATTACCAACAAACTCCAATGACTTAACTTTGAAATTCTTTCTTTCTTTCTTTTTTTGGTTGTTTTGTGTGTGTGTGTGTTGTTTGAGATGGAGTCTCGCTCTGTCCCCCAGGCTGGAGTGCAGTGGCGCGATCGCGGCTCACTGCAAGCTCCGCCTCCCGGGTTCACGCCATTCTCCTGCCTCAGCCTCCCGAGTAGCTGGGACTACAGGCGTCCGCCACCGCGCCCGGCTAATTTTTTGTATTTTTAGTAGAGACGGGGTTTCACCGTGTTAGCCAGGATGGTCTCAATCTTCTGACCTCGTGATCCGCCCATCTCCGCCTCCCAAAGTGCTGGGATTACAGGCGTGAGCCACCGCGCCCGGCCTTGAAATTCTTCTCATCTAACTTTTTAAAGTGGTCATTCCTAGTTTCCCTCATTCCTACCAGTGCTCTGGACAGACTTGCCTGTGGCCTGGTGCACACACTTCCCCCACTCTGAGCTGCAGTCTCCTCCTCTGTAAAATGTGATGATTCCTTCAATTTCCTGCCCAGAGACCTGGATGGGCTGTGAGTCTCTGTTACTCAGGGTCTCCTTGTGGGCACTGTTCTCACCCACCCAGGCCTTGGTGGGCGATGTGAGTGCCGGAAAAAGACCACAGGAAGGCAAAGAACTGACTCAGGAGTCCACATCCAGGGCTTGCAGCAGGGTCCCCAGTACGCAGCTGGACCTGCCGTCCCCACCTCCTCCCAATGAGGTCAACCCAGGCAGCCCAATCTCAGCACATCCAGGACCCGCTGCTGGGGCCAGGCCCCCGATGCTGTGCTCAGGCGGACACCCCATCCTCAGGTTGCAGGCTGTGGAGTGAGGGTGTCCAGTGAGGGTCACTCACTGTGGAGTGAGGCTGTGGAGTGAAGACTACAGGAAGGACAGGACTGCAGCAGGACCCGCCGGTCTGTGTGATGCTCAAGATGGCCATGTGTCCCCCACAGTCAGCCCAGAACCCCAAGCCACTTCAGAGAGTCAGGGCAGCCATGAGGAAAAGGGATTGTGTCCGCCAGGGCTCTGCTGTGGGTGGGAGGCAGTTCCTCAGCCCATGAGGCTTCCAGTTTCTGGAGAAACCAAGTCACTCTGTCTACACGCTCAGGGGCCCTTTCACCACTTGGAAGAGAACGAGTCTCCTTAGCAGGTGGGGAGGGGCCCATGCAGCACCTCCCTCCCAGAGGACAGTGGGGCACAGGGCTGGGCTGGGGGCTGGGACACTGGACAAGGAGCCCTGGGGCTGGGGACAGGAATGGGGCCTTGCAATTAGGGGACACCCTGAGGAAGGGGGATGAGAAGGGGAACTAGAGTAAAAACCAACACACGGAAAATCTCTGTGTTCTGCTCTGACCAAGGCTGAATAAATCCCGTGACCACTTCTCATCCTCACCCTTGTCACCCAGTTGAGGAGCCGACTGCCCCCTGCCTGGCTGGGCCTGAAGATGGGAGGAACTGGCCCTGCCCTCTTGGACTTGGCTGGGAGATGTGTGGACCCCCAGCTCCAGGAGAGGGACTGATGAGACCAGGGTCCTGGGGGGTGCACGGGATGTGGGGATGGGACGATCACAAGGAGGAAGATAGAGCCAGGCTGGAGACACCAGGACTTGGGGCAGGGGCAGGCGTTTCTGTCTGTGGGAACACAGCAGAGGGAGGCAGGGCAGAGAGTGTCCAGCGCCCCCCGCCCTCAGCCAGCGCCTACCTGAACCTTTCAGGTAAGGAAGGAATTTCTTCCACAGTGAAGTCTTTCAAACAAACACAATCAGAAGCACAATTAGAACTATGATCCCTACGATGGTGCATGAGAGGTAATGAGAAGAGGCAGGAGTCCCCGGGCTGGTGATCATTGTCTCTTCAGCAGCTGGGGCAGGAGTCCCCGGGCTGGTGGTCATTGTCTCTTCAGCAGCTGGGGCAGGAGTCCCCGGGCTGGTGGTCATTGTCTCTTCAGCAGCTGGGGCAGGAGTCCCCGGGCTGGTGTTCATTGTCTCTTCAGCAGCTGGGGCAGGAGTCCCCGGGCTGGTGTTCATTGTCTCTTCAGCAGCTGGGGTTTCCACAGTGGCATTGGCACCAAATTCTTCAACACACTGGATATCATCCCAGGACGTACAATTACTGACTTGGACTTCCCCACTAGGGCACCTGGGTACACACAGAGAGGGAGGTGAGGACTCCTGAGGGAAAGCTAGCCAGGTGGGATAAAAGGGGAGCCACCCTCCCTCTCCAATGTCCCTGAGAAGGTGTCAGGGGAAGGACAGGCTCCTGTCTGGAGGGGGTCCCCCAAGTTCCCTCGTTGAGGCTGGGGAAGGGTCTGAGCATGCGCATTTCAGCCCCTCAGCCTCCCTGCTCTGGGGCCACAGGAGCCTTCTGTGCCGGGCACACACTGAGCTTCCCTGGGCTGCAGAGGAGGCCTGCGTTAGGAGGAGCCACACTCCAGGGGAAGGTCACGAGCCCTTGTGGCCACAAGCTGAGCCCCTTCCTCCAGTCAACCCACAGTACAAGTGATCTCTCACCCCCAACTGTCTGCTGGTTCCTCCCTATCACGGCAAACATTAGGGGGCCAGAGAAGAACAAATTACTCTTGGCCCTTAAAGCCCAAATAGGGAAAAGACAGGACTTATTGAGGGATTGGGGCCAGGGGTGAGGCCGGCTGGATTGGCTCAGGCCTTCATGGGAACTTGAAGGAGCTCCACCCACAGCCTTCTTATGACTTTTGTCGGCCGTGACCACTTTTGTCTTTATGGGTCCTGCCTGCATAAAAAATATTAAAAAGAACATTTTTTAAAACAGCTTGGTATAGCAACAAATACAACCCAGACTGGATTCAAGTGTTTTCTTCTCATTTCAAAAGGAAATCGCATTTCCTAGGTTTGCTGAAAAGGATCAAGGGATCCAGAAAGTTGCTTCTTGTGCCCAGTGAACAAGTTGGTCTGGCCAAGGGGACTCGTGCTGGGGAGGGTCTGGGAAGGGGCTGCTGCAGGGGGTAGGGGTGGGGACAGGCAGATGGACCAGGAGCGGCCACTGCAGACCCAAGAGACCCCACAGGCTCAGGGACACCCCATGGGTCTGGAGGCTCCATAGGGTCAGCGGAGAAATAGGGGTACCAGGTGACTCAGGTCTTCTCGGGTTCCTGAAAGCTGTCAGGAGCCCCTGACTGCTGTCTCACCTGCTACACTTCCGGCACATCTCTGGGGAGTTTTCATTCCGGAAGGTGCCTTCTTTACACTGACACACTGTGTCTCTGGTCATGGTGCAGGAACTTTTATGTTTTTGATCTGACAACAGAGCATAAGGTTTTGGGAATGTGTTTCCCTGATGTATCCCTCGATCTTCCTTACCACCCACCCCCTCCCACTCAGCTCAACCAAGTTCACCAAGGAGTTCTAAGGGCCAGTTTCTGCACCAGCACACTCAGGGCTCATACAGGACACCCACCCTTCAGCTGTCACCAGCACTCAGAGGAGTCATAAAAAGGAGCATAATTCATTATTTATTACATCAGATTAGGGGAAAAGCATTGTTTAGATGGCATGGTCAGTAGCAAGGGAGGTGCAAGGGCATCACCTGAGAGACTCTGCAAGGAGACGGAGGCCTTGGGGGACTTCCCCAAAGCCTGGGCCTGCTGGGGAGGAGGAAGGGGCCTGAGAACCTGAAGGCTGAGTGAGGCCGAGCACCTGCCAGGAGCACAGAGCCTGGGGGAGAGAGCCTGGCCCTGGAGCAGACCCGTGCCACTACTGAAACCTAGCCCTGTCCACTGGGCCAGGCCTTCTCTATGCTCTAATGATCCCCCCACCCTCTTGCAGCTGACAGTTTAGACGATTTCCCAGCCAGGTGGCATGCATTATAGAAAAGATTTCTTTCTATTTTTTTAATCAGTCAAATATATAATCATAGAACAGGGTGATGAAGACCAGGTTGGGCTGGAACTTGGTTCCCTGACTCATATCGGCTACAACTCCCACCTCATTGCCCCACGCTCCACCTCTGGACAAGAGGTCCACACATTCTGTACCTGATTTACAAACTGTACATGGGAAGCAAGAAGGTTCATTGTTGGAAGCGTTGGTGTAATCCACACCCTCTGTGCACGGGTTACAGGCTCCAGTATGTTCTGATCTATGAGATCCTGGGAAGGAAGAGAAAAGCCAATGAATGAGTCACCACAGAATTCCCAGAGGCTGACAGTGGTGGGGAAACTTCTTTTTTGGCCCTCACTGGAATTGAGACAGAGAAATCCACTCTTCCAGGCTTGGTCTTGTCATCCATTCAGCATCTATTACATACCTTTGACTGGCACTGCTGACAGAAATATAATACAAAATTCAAATTCTATGCAAAATTCAAATTCTATGAGAGCCATATTAAAATAGTAAAAAGAATGAGGCCAAATTAATTTTAACAATATAGTTTTAACCTAAAATATCTGAAATACTACATTTCAACATGTAATCAATACACATCATTGAGATATTTTACTTTTTTTACGCCGTCACTCACAAAATAACATCCAACCTACTGTACATGTGATCTGCCCATGCTGGTCCACCTGACCTGTTTGCTGTCCACTCACCACAGTGGCCCCCTGTCTTCGCTCAGTCTCCCCAAGCCCCCGAAACCTGGGGTTCTCATTCCTTCAGGGCCTTCTCAAGAGCACTCTTCCTGGCTCTCTGCAAGACTGGCCCTGTCCAACTTTAAATATCAGCCCAAATCACCATCCCCGAGAGGCCCCACCAACCTTGTCTATCTCCTGTCACTTAACTATTCTTCATGGTTCCCATCAGGACATCCTGACTGTTATGTATATTCATGTGTCTTTTTTTTTTTTTTTGAGACAGAGTCTTGCTCTGTCACCTGGCTGGAGTGCAGTGGCACAATCTCGGCTCACTGCAACCTCCAACTCCCTGGTTCAAGCGATTTTTCTGCCTCAGCCTCCCGAGTAGCTGGGATTATAGGCGACGCACCACCACGCCCAGATTTGTATGGAACTACAAAAGACCTCAAATAGCCAAAGTGATCTTAAGCAAAACAAACAAAAGAACAAAGATGGAGGCATCGTACTACCTGATTTTAAAACGTGTTACAAAAGTATAGTAATCAAAACTGAATGGTAATGGCACAACAATGGTAAATAAACTGATGGAACAAAATAGTGAACCCAGGTATAAATCAATGCATTTACAGTTGATTGATTGTGAGAAAGATACCAAGAACACAAAATGGGGAAAGGACAGCTCTTCAATAAATGGTGTTGAGAAAAGTAGGTATTGACATGCAGAAGAATGAAATAAGACCTTTATCTCACATCATATGTAAAAATTAATTCAAAATGGACTAAAGATTAAAACATAAGATCTGAAATGGTAAAACTACCACAAGAATACATAGGGGAAAATTTTCATGATGTTGGTCTGGGCAATGGTTTCTTGACTATGACCCCAAAAGCACAGGCAACAAAAGGAAAAACAGACAAATGAGGTTACATTACACTAAAAAGGTTCTGCATGACAAAGGAAACAATGAACAGAGTGAAGAGACAACCTACAGAATGAGGGTCAATATTCAAAAGATCCAAGATTTTGGTTAAAATCCAAAATACACAGGAACTCAAACATCTCAATAGCACACAATCAAATAATCCAAGTAAAATGGATACATGGGCGTGGGACCTGAATAGACACTTCTCAAAAGGAGACATAGAAGTGGCCAAAAAGTATATGAAAAAAATGCTCAGCATCACTAACCATCAAGTGCCAAATATCACTTCACACCTGTAAGAATGGCTATTACCAAAAAGACAAAAGGTAACAAGTGTTGATGATGGGGAGAAAAAGGAATGCTGGTACACTGTTGGTGGGAATGGAAATTAGTACAGCCATTATGGAAAACAGTATGGAGGTTCCTCAAAAAACAAAAAATAGAACAACTATATGATCTAGCAATCCCACTATTGGGTATACATCCAAAGGAAATGACGTCAGTATATTGAAGAGATATCTTCCCTCCCATATGCATTGGAGCATTATTTACAATGGTCAAGACATGGAATCAACCTACGTGTCCATGGATGGATGAAAAGTTAAAGAAAATGTGACACATAGATACAATGGAATACTATTCAGCCTTTAAAAAGAAGGGAGTTCTGTCATTTGTGTCAGCATGGATGAAGCTGGAGGATACTATGCTAAGTGAAATAAGCCAGGCACAGAAAGGCAAACACCTCATGATCTCACATATGTGGAATCAGAAAAAGTTGGTCTCATAGAGGTGGAGAGCAGAATGGTGATTACCAGGGCTTGAGTTGGATGGTGGGATGGGGAGATGTTAGTCAAAGGATACAAAATTTCAGTTAGACAGGGAGAATAAATTCAAGAGATGTATTGTGTGACATGGCGACTACAGTTATTAAAACAATGTGTTGTACAGTCCTGCCTTCTATCCACAGGGAATATATTCCATGGAACAAACTCTGCATATACTCAAGTCCCTGATATAAATTGGGATAGTATTGCATAAAACCCACGCACATATGCTTTAAATCATCTCTAGATTACTTGTAATACCTAATGCAATAGACATGCTATGTAAATAAGTGCTATACTGCATTGCTTTTTATCTGCTTTTATTGATGTATTATCATTTTTATTTCTTCCGCATATTTTTGATCTGTGGTTTGTTGCAACCATGGATACAGAACCCATAGATAAGGAAGGCTACAGAACCCACAGATAAAAAGGGCAAAGAGGGCTTATCCCAGGGCTCTGTATCCATACAGCTGAAAATTGCTGAGCAGATTTTTAAGTGTTCTTACCACGAATACATGATTAAGTATGTGAATTAGCTTGATTTAGCCATTCCACAATGCGTACATATTTCAAAACATCATGGTGTACATCATAAATACATACAATGTTTATCTGTCAATTAAAAATAAACTGATTTTTAAAAATAAGAGTGCACCTGCTGGACACTCCTCCCCCTTGAAGCTGTGCCTCTGTTGCTGTGGGGCCACTGTCTGCTGGGGAACTTCCTCCTGCCGGGCAGTGGTGGCAGAGTAAGCTAGGACCTGTGGGGACAAAGGAGTGATGGGTGTGAGTGACTTCCAGACCTCACCCCTCCCAGGCTCCATCTCACATTCCCTTCACCCCAAGTGACAAAACCCATCAGAGCTTGGACATTTTTTCCAGCTCCAAACTTTCATTCTTTCATACCTGTGTTTGTCCCTTGGCCTGTTAGGGCCAGCTATTTTCTATAAAAAAAAAAAAAAATACAGGCAAGCGCGATGGCTCAAGCTTGTAATCCCAGCAATGTGGAAGTCTGAGGCAGGTGGATCACAAGGTCAAGAGATCGAGACCATCCTGGCCAACACGGTGAAACCCTGTCTCTACTAAAAATACAAAAATTAGCTGGGTGTGGTGGCACACACCTGTAATCCCAGCTACTCAGGAGGCTGAGGCAGGAGAATAGCTTGAACCTGAGAGGCAGAGGTTGCAGTGAGCCAAGATCGCGCCATTGCACTCCAATGTGGTGACAGTGCGAGACTCCATCTCAAATAAAAAAAAAAAAGAAAAAATGAAAAGAAAAAGAAAAACACTTATGTATCCTTTTCTCATATTATAACATAAATTTACCCCAGATAATGGGAGCAAGAAGAGCTATTTTGTTTTTTTGATACAGAGTCTTGCTATGTTGCCCAGGCTGGAATGCAGTGGCTATTCACAGGTGTGATCATATCTTACTATAGGCTTGAACTCCTGGCCTGAAGTGATCCTCCTGCTTCAGTCTCCCAAGAAATGTGGATAAGAGGCACATGCCACCATGGTTGGAAAGAAAAGATTTTATAAGAATTTTAAAAAACCACACACATATGAGCCCTTCATGCAGAAATAGCATTTAATATATTTAGTTTCACCAAGTGTTTAATTGACCAATAGGTGAATTCTGTCTCTCACTCACACACACACAAATACACACAGACACACACTTAAACATACTCAGCTTTACAAATGAAGGTTATAATATATATAACCTTACAGAAAGTCAGGATATAGCATCAAACATTAAGTAATTAATTACTGCTTTACAAAGGACCTTGTCAAGCTGCTCCCACTAAATATCAAAGAGTGACAAAAAAGATGAAACAGCAATTCAGGGATTCTGGCCATGATCTCTATGTTATAAATGACAACTAGAAGACAACTGGAGAAATCGGAATAGAGTGCGGATAGATAGTGGTAATGTGTTGATGTTAATTTCCTTGTTTGTAGAAAGTACACACTAAAGAATTCAATAATAGCTTTCATCATGCCAACAGCCATTTTTTCAAATGTTTTTATTGTATAGTTTTTGTAACTTTTCTTTAAGTTGGGAGTGTTTTAAAGTAGGAAATTAATTTAAGCAAAACCAAAATGGTTACAATGAAAGCTGCTTATGTTGGGCTCAGTTCAACTGCCTGGATCTAAACAAGACAAAATGTAGCTTTCTTCCACATCAAAGCCTGACTAGCAGTTGGTGACAGTGAAGCTAACCCACTTTTCCCAAATCATTCTTTCCCGGGTTGGAGTCCCTCTAGGTTCAGGCGATGTCTGCGTCTCCTTTCTCTGCTCTCACACTCTTACTCCCTCTCATTTAATGAGGGGTTTATTAGTGTTTTTTAAAATCCTTTCAGAAGACCAACTTTTCATTTTGTCTTTTTTTTTTTTTTTTTTTTTTTTTTGGAGACAGGGTCTCCCTCTGTCCTCCATGTTGGAGCGCAGAGTGCAGTGGTGTAATCTCGGTTCACTACAACCTTTGCCTCCTCTGCCTCCCAGGCTCAAGTGGTCCTGCCACCTCAGTCCCCAAAGACAGGTGTGTGCCACAACGCCCATCTAATTTTCACATATTTTGTAGAGCTGGGGTTTCGCCATGTTGCCCAGAGTGGTTTAACTCCTGAGCTCAAGTGATCTGCCTGCCTGGGCCTCCCAAAGTACTGGGATTACAGGCGTAAGCCACCGCACACAGTTGGTTTTCTCAGTTCTTTCTGTGGTTTGTATTCTTTGATTTATGCTCCTTCCTGTTACTTTGTTTGGTTTAAATTTACACTTATATTTTATGATTGATTAATGTAGCTCCTCAGGCCATAATTTTCTTTTTCTTTTTCTTTTTTTTTTTTGAGATGGAGTCTCGCTGTCTCCCAGGCCGGAGTGCAGTGGCACAATCTCGGCTCACTGCAAGCTCCACCTCCCAGGTTCATGCTATTCTCCTGCCTCAGCCTCCCAAGTAACTGGGACTACAGGTGCCCGCCACCACGCCTGGCTAATTTTTTGTATTTTTAGTAGAGACAGGGTTTCACCGTGTTAGCCAGGATGGTCTCGATTTTCTGACCTCGTGATCCACCCTCCTCGGCCTCCCAAAGTGCTGGAATTACAGATGTGAGCCACCGTGCCCGGCCCATAATTTTCACGTTTTTTCTTTTTTTGACAGCTTTAGTGAGACACAATTCACATAATTAATAATTATGATTATTCATATAATTCACCCATTTAAAGTCCACACTTCAGCAGTTTTTAATATACTCATAGCTATGCAATCATCACTATAATCAATTTTAGAATATTTTTATCACTCCAGAAAGGAACTACATACCCTTCAGCAGTAACTCCCCATCTCCCTAACCCCCAGTTTTTTAATACAAACATTGAAAGCTGTATATTTCACCCTGAGCACTGTTAGCTATTTCGCACCACTTTTGATGTGTTATATTGTCATTATTACTTACTTTGAAATATCTTACCTTCCCTTTTGATTTCCTGTCTGAACCACAGATTTTTAGAAGTGTGTTGTTCAATATCAAAATTTTAGAATTCTCTGTGGATATTGTTACTGATTTCCAGTTTAGTTTCATTAAGTTTAGAGATCATATTGTGTGTTTTATAGCCCAGAACCTGGTCTATCTTGGTGAAAGTATCATGAGCATAGAAAGGAATGAGTGTTCAGTGAATGTTCCACTCCTGCTCTTTAAATGTCAGTTAAATCAAGGTGGTTGATAGTGTGCAGATCGCTTGCCACTTTACTGGCATTTTCATCTAATCATGCTAGCAAGTGCAGAGAAACAGCTGAGTTAATCTCTTTTTAATTCTATTTTTGTGTCATGTGTTTTGAAGATGTATTACTAGGCATATACAATTTGTTGTTATTATACTCCTTGAAGAATTAACCCTTTTAACTACAAAGGTCCCTTTTCATCTCCCATAATATTCAATGTCCTAAAATTGTCACAGTAGGCAGCTAGTTAGGTATGAGCAGGACAGGAGAGGGGTCCCCGCTTCTGACACCAGCAGTGTTGGGCGACCATCAGGTAGTTGATAACTGTGTCTCTAAAGTAATAACTGGTTACAGCCGATGCCAGAAAAAAGCAGTTTCCTAATACATAGAAAACACTTGAAACTGATCAGCAGCTTCCCAATAAGATTTCAGGAGTGGGGAGAAGTAAGGCAAGATCCTGGAAGTAGGCCAACCTATAAAACCCCAACTCAGGCGGTCCGGCTGCGTACTGTTTCTCAAGTCACCTGCTTGGCCATCTTCCAAGTGTACTTTCCTTCTTTTCTTTCTGTTCCTTCCTTTCCTTCCTGTTCCTTCCTTTCCTTCCTGTTCTAAAGCTTTTTAATAAACTTTCACTCCTGCTCTGAAACTTGCCTCCATCTCTGCTTCTGCCTTATGCCCCTCAAACCAGTTCTTTCTTCTCAGGAGGCGAAGAGCTGAAGGTGCTGTGGACGCATACGGATTCGCCGCCTTCAACGTAGGGTAACTCGGATCTCATCCACCGCTAACAAAATCAACTTCATCTGATACTGAGATAGCCATGGCAGTTTTCTTGGCCTTACACTCTGCATGGTGTATCTTTTTCCATCTATTTACTTTCAACAGACAACATCTGTGTCTTCCTTTTAAGGCCCATCTCATATAGACAAGATATAGTTGAGTCTTGCTTTCTCAGCCCTTCCAAACATTTCTACCATTGAACTGTAGTGCTCAGTGGATTTACAGGGAGTGCAATAATTGATATAGTTGAAATAGACCTGTAAGTTTACCATTTAAGCTATGATTGTCTAGTCTAATTTTTTTACTCCTTTTCCCCCTGCACATTTTAATGTTAATTACCTTTTAGAATTCCATTTTAATTGGATAAACTGACTTTTTATGCATACCTATTTCCATGATCTATGTGCAAGTGCTATAGGGAATACAGTATACACTCAAGTGTTTACATTCTATTGAAGGTTTTTTAAAAATGGATTCATTGAGGTATAATGGGCATGAAACAAAGTGTACATTTTTGAAGCATGTAGTTTGGTAGATTGAGACGTGTGTATACATTGTGGAACTACCACCACGATAAGAAAATGACATGTCCACCACACCCCAGAATTTCTTCATTCTTCAATGTAATCCTCTCTTCCGCTTTGCTCCTATGTCCCCAGCAATAATTCTGCTTTTTGTCAGAATAGATTGGTCGAATTTTAATGAGAAATGGAATCAGATGGTAAGCATTCTGTGTGGATTCCTTCACACGACATAATTTTCTGTGTTTTTCTGTTTTTCTGTTTGTTTGGTTTTTTGTTGTTGTTGTTGTGACCGGGTTTTGCTATGTTGCCCTGGCTGGTCTTGAACTCCTGGGCTCAAGTGATCTGCCTGTCTTGGCAGGACTACAGGTGTGAGCCATCGCACCCTGCCCACCCTGGTCAATTGACTATTATGAATTAAAGGCTATTGAAAAACAACAGGTGCAAGAAGATCCTTTGACCTCTTTTGTGTTTCCTAAAAGCAGGAGATGAAAGTCCCCAGGGAAACATAGGACAATCTCCTTTTTTTTTTTTTCTGAAAGCTCTGCTTCCCAGGTTCTCACCATTCTCCTGCCTCAGCCTCTCCAGTAGCTGGGACTACAGGCACCCGCCACCACACTCCGCTAATTGTTTTGTATTTTCAGTAGAGACGGGGTTTCACTGTGTTAGCCAGGATGGTCTCGATCTCCTGACCTCGTGATCCACCTGCCTTGACCTCCCGAAGTGCTGGGATTACAGGCGTGAGCCACCGCACCCAGCTGACAATTTCCTTATTTTTAAGGATGAGAAGTCGAGGCCAAGAGGGTACTGTGCAGACCATGTTAGAATGGATCCACTCTCATCTTTTTAGCTCCTCACATAGTTACTTGCTTCTTCATGAGTTACTTGGTCTAATTCAGTAAATAAGTAACTGACTCTCACAGGTTCTTCCATGCCAGGTAAAACTTGAATTAAATAAATGTGTGTGCTTGTCTCCTGTGGACCTCTCTTAGGTGAATCAAATTCTCAGGCCCAGCTAAAAAAAAAAAAAAAAAAATCGGGTGGGGGGGCATCTAAAGGAGAGCTTCGCTCCCCTCCCTGACCCTCAATGGTGACTGTAATCAAACCACATCTTCCAGGCCAACAGTACCACATCCTATGGCCCTGCAACAGCATGGCCTCTCTCCAGCACAGCCTCTCTGGAGGAGGGGGAGGCAAGGGTAGTGAGATCTCAGGCCTCCTTCATGCTACCTCCTATTAGTTATATAATCCCTGGGTCACCTCTCCCACCACACTGCGGGCTCCAGGGAACAGGATTCACATGGGGTTCATTTGTCCTCCCAAACTCCGGCGGACTCCAGGCACAGGTGTTCTCAGAGTAAAGGGCTCACTGTTTACTTCCTGGATGAATCACTTTCCCCTCAAGCCTATGAAGTGCGCGCAGTTGTGGCCTCAGCTCAAGGCCGAAGGACAGGCTCCAAGAGCCCTGTGAACTCTGCTGAGGAACCATAAGAGCTCCCAGAGGCCAAGGGCAGGACAGAGATCAGAGAAGCAGCTGCTCAGAGAACTCTAGCCCTGAATCTCATTTTACCACTTGTAAAACAGGAAAAACAACCTACCTTCATCTCCCCGGGTTGTTAGGAAATCCACTACATGAAGATGTGCATTCTCTGGCTGGAAGCAGGATACCAGCTGCCCAACGGCAGAGGCTCGGGGCATGGCACTGTCCCCACTGTCCCCATCCCTGACCTAGAAGCTAGAGCCTCACTGCCCTGCCACTCCTGGATACACGACAGAGGACCAGAACTGGGACTGTGGCCTCTCAGTACAGCCTGGGTGAGTAGCCATCTGCAGCCACCTGGATGGAGACATTTCCTGCTCACTCTTCAAACTACAACCCGGGCCAGGCGCCTACCAGAAGGACAACTGGAAGCATGGCAGGTAAACCAGGCTGTGGCCCTGCAGTGCCATCGCTGTCCTCACTTGACGTCTGGCTCCTCTGTTCCTCCATGGCCCCTCCCCGTGGTGCTCCACCCTAGTCTTCAGAAGCTTCTGCCCCAAGCTCAGGGAGCAAGTACCAGGGTGCAGGTAGGAACAGGGGCAGCCTCTGCTGGATGGAGGACAGGTGCCTGGGGATCCAGTCCAGAGTGAGTGACACCAGCCCTGAGGATGTGATTTGTCCTCCCACACCTGGTAACACAGCCCTCTGAGGTTTACACAGGGCTGCTGAAGATTTTTACCTCCTCTTCACTTTACAGGCAGGAGCTGGGGCCACACCAGAGTCACAGAGCCAGAGGGGGAGCACGGCAGGGCCCAGCCATTCACAACCTTCAATCTCAGGAGTCCTTGACAGCCTGAGAGTCCGAGATTCTGAGCCGTTGGAACTTCTCAATTCCTACTTTGATAGAGAGAGGAATGGTGTGGAAGGACCTGGCGCACAGATTGGACCAGCCCAGCATTGACAGAGCCAGGACCTGGGGTCAGGAACTGAACTCAGCTCCAGGCTCATCTGAAGTCACCCTGACAGGCTGAGGATGGAGACCTTATCTCCATTCACAGGCATGGTGGGTGGCAGGGACTGGCCCCAACTGACCAGGGTTTTCCAAGTGCACAGCTCAGAATTCAGTCTTCCCTGCTGTCTCATCTGGATACCCTGGTCTACTCCCAGTACCAAAAAACTCCTATATCCTTGAAAATTCCTAATACCATGAGGAAACAAAAATACATAGCAATGTGATGTGTTATGTTTTACATCTTAGACTAGTAAAGAATGAAAGCTAAGTGTAGCAAAGGTGTAGGGACACAGGCACATTTGTGGACTAGGTGTGACTGTAAGCTGGGTTCAGTGGTTTTTTGGAGGAAAATTCGTGAACATTTAAAGAAACTTCTGAAGTCATTTATCCCACAGAAGGAGAAGTAGAATTCAACTTGTAAGGAGTTGCCCAATAAGCTGGTGTGCATGGATATGTGGACACACGATACATACAAGGGTATTTAGTACAATGCTGTTGGAATTAGCAAAGGCCGTCAGGATGGGATCTAACCAGCTGCCCCTAGGCGGCAACAGTGAATTAAAATGTGGCTTACCCATGCAGTAAAATACAATACCCTTGTTTAAAAGAAGATCAATCTGAATGTACTGCCATAAAACATCTAATGTGATTTGTGTTAGCTCCAAAATTTAACAAAGTGATTGTACATTTAAATGCATTTAATAAGGCAAGACTGATGGAGGGATTAAAGCCTCCTTTGGGACGCATAGAGTTCACATTCCCAAAACCGTGAAACTGATGTTGCTGGCCTTGTCTACACTGGTCATCCATGCATTCTCTCTTCAGGGCCACTGTCCTGACACAGCCATTCTTCTAGCTGCCTCAGGTAAGTCCACCCACTATAAACTATTTTAAAAGTCAGTTGTGTAATTTTTGAGAGGTGAAAATGTTACTGCTTTTCTGAATTTAGCATTAATTTGTAGAAAGACAACATGCAAACTCTCATGGTTTCTGTAACCTTGCTTTGGCCTTTTCTTTTTCTTTTTTCTTTTTTTTGTATTACATAAAGAATCTTAAAAAGGGCTGTTAGCAAAAACCTCAATCAATCTGAAAGAGACCTAGAAGTCTGCATATTTTATACATAATATGTCCTTGCACTCACACTACTACCAATCTCAGTTTCCAAAGCCAACTCACAACAACTTTACACCGTTTATGCTGAAGGAAGGGGCCAGCCCCGGTCCTGCCTATGGGATACAGAGGGGACACACGGGTGGTAGTGGAAGACATTAACCAAGGCAGCACCTTGGTTAACCGCTTCCTGCCACATTCCGGCTTCCTGCCACTTTCAGGACAGAGGAGGTGAAAGTTGCTAAAGACAGCGCTGAAAAGTTTTTTCACTGGCTGTTGGTTAAACCGATCTCCAAGGAACACGTTTAAGAATGTAAACATGGGGTTAATTTTATTAACTAATTAATTAATTAATGAGAGAGGCAACCGCTCTGTGTCTTCAGGAGGCTCACTCTATGGGTTCCACCTTGACTCCCTCCCTCTCTCGATTCTGGAACTTCCCTCCCTTCGCGGGCTCGGGGCAGCCAGGGGGACCGCCTCTCTGCTCCCTCGCGGCCGGGTCCCTCCTGCCCAGCCCGGGGACCCAGTTCTTCCCCTGACTCCGACGGCGAGTTCGTCCTGCCCGGACATGCCCGGCCGCAGGTGACCAGGGCCAGGCATCCCTGCCGTGTCCCCGTCTCCCTGCCCCCTCCCGGCGCCAGGTGCGCTCTTCCCCAGCCAGGGACCGCGGCCGGGACTCACTGGCAGCAGGACCGCGACGATGACGACGACGAACTTTAGGGTCTTGGGGATCCGGGCCATGGTATGGTTCCCGACGCCGTCCTGGGTCCTGGGTCGCACCCTGCCTCGGCCATCAGGCGGCCGGGGCGCTCTGTCCCCAGAGTTCCCTAACGGTAGGAAGCGCTCCTTCACCCCTTGCATCTCTGGTCAAACTCCCAAAAATCTATCAGAAATCGTTGGCTGAGTTCGTGCGCGTGGAGAGGTTCCCACAGCTGCACTGCCAGAATCGGAGCGCAGCGCCTCTGAATTTATACCCGCGGGGGAAAAGGCGTGGTCACTTGTCACTTGCAGCAGTCACTTCCAAGCACTCAGAAAAGGGGCATGGCCTCCCCTAGCACCTCCAGGAAGGCCTGGGTTTTGGTGGTGGGTGCATGGACGGACAGGAACTGGCTCTTTCCGGCAGCGGTGACCCAGGGCCTGCGGTTTGATTCCGGGTCCTGTCCAGGCTGTAGGCAGCAGAAGGGGAAGGAGCTGAGGCGCTGCCCACTGCGCTGCTGTAGTCTGGGTAGTGAGCTCCAGAGGAGGCACTGGAGGCCCATCCTGAGCCTGCTCCCTCCCCGGGACGCCTGTCTCTCCTCTTCTTAAACCCTGAACTACCTCCTGGCCTAAGGACTTCAGTCCACTCTTAGCTTCTGCTCCCACTCCCTCCTCCCACAGCGGCCTCACTGACCAGTGCACTGATGCCACTGATGTCTCCAGCCTCCTTGCTGCTGTGACCCAGCTCCAAGCTTCTCTGGCAGGGGCTTGGTATCCCTCAGTAGCGGGTGCCTGGCACCAAGGAGGGGCCCAGTGAACACATGAGTGGACAGAATGAAGGACACAGGGGCCATGACGGGCACATGCAGAGGCTGAGGAGTAGGTAGGAGGGAGAGGAACCCCGGGGGCATCCCTAGCCACAACCTGGCACCCTTTGCATGGTCGAGGCACAGACACTCTCTGGCCGACCTTGTGGGCTCTAGTATTGAGGCCCCATGGACAGAGGAGGCCCAGGGGAGTGGCTTCCAAAGCCTGTCCCCCAGTCAAGTGTCTATCCAGGTCCAACTATCTGACCTTGGGCTACTCACCTCCCCATTGAGTTAAGCACACTGCTGCTGTGTGGAGAGATCCAATGTGTGGTACTGAAGGGTGCCAGCCTGTGACCCTAGGCAGTAAGGTCAATGGCACAACTCCTAGACCCTTGGGGTGAGTCGGCTCCTGACCTCTCACATGGTGGATAAAAGAGGATAGCACTATAGAAACAAAGATTTTTTTTTCTGCTCATCAGAAACCTGGGAATGATATGTCATCCTCTCCACAGGCTTGGATTTGAGCAATGGAGTGCCCTGGGCACCTGCCAGGCCCCAGGCACTGAGTTCGGATCAGAAATGTGTGCCAGGTCGCAGGCACTGAGAAATGTGTGGAGTCAGGAATGTGTGCTGGGGGCAGATCTAGGCAGGAGGTGAGAGGACAGGACTTCAGGAAGACTGACAGCATTAACACAGAGCCACGAGGGCCTGCAGGAAAGTCTTTAGAGCACTCCAGGCCCCTTGGCCCTGGAGGGTGGACTACACAGTGTAGACTAGAAACCAGACTGCAGGTAACACACATTCTCTGTGCCCTGTGTGGAGCACTGCCTAGGGCTAATGGCAAAAGGCTGTGAGCACCTCCAGGGAACTGGGCCTTTAGACTATAAAGTTTCCATTTGAGAGGCACTTACTAGCTTACGATGGAACACTAGCTGAAGCTCCCCCTGTGACTGAAGGACATAAAATAATCTTGAAACCTGAAAAACTCATGATGTCTTCAGAGATCTTGGAAAAGCTCTAACGGGGAGGGCAGTCCCCGAAGAGTTCTATTACAAAATGGAAATGGTTGATACGGGATCCTGGTGCCTGAGGAAGGCAAAGAGGAGACACTCATGAGCAGGGAGCCTCTGTTCCCCACAGACTGAGTCTGGAACTGAGTGAGGAGCTGCTGGATTCTGTGGTCACTTGGACACTGCCCTATACGCAGCTCTTTACTGACCAACCAAGAGCTACTTAGTTTGTAGACAGTCATTCCTAGGTGAATGGTCAACATCCTATTTGGAAGGCCACCCCTCTGATGGAAGAAGGCAAAGGCAAATTGGCTAGGTGGGTTGGATTGCATGCTGTTTTCCTAGCGTGATGGAAGATTTGACAGCAGCAAAAGCCCCTGTACTTGAGTTGTTTTCTGGCTCATGAACAGTCCTCAACGTCTTGGTCATAGAGTTGGGAAGCAGAATGTGAAAGTTGATTGCACAAATTGGGTCATTCTTGTCACACCCAACTAAAACAGAGTCAAGAGGCCATGGGGAAGAAAAATCACTGTATTACCCCCAAACTGCAATTCTCTGTAAGCCTGGCAGCTGTAACCTGAAACTATTAATAGTCCTATCTAATATCTATGGACATAACCTGCTACTGCTCTAAGACCAGCCTGACCCACTGCAGTCACTCACCAGTCAGAGCACGCCTCTTCTTCAAATTTGACAGTGCCAATGAGCTTCCTAGAAAAAAAAATAATTAGTATTTCTCCTTTTTTTTTTTTTTTTTTTTGAGATGGAGTCTCGCTGTGTCACCCAGACTGGAGTGCAGTGGTGCGATATCGGCTCACTGCAAGCTCTGCCTCCTGGGTTCACGCCATTCTCCTGCCTCAGCCCCCCAAGTAGCTGGGACTACAGGTGCCTGCCACCACGCCCAGCTAATTTTTTTGTGTTTTTAGTACAGATGGGGTTTCATCGTGTTAGCCAGGATGGTCACGATCTCGTGACCTCGTGATCCGCCCGCCTTGGCCTCCCAAAGTGCCAGGATTACAGGCATGAGCCACTGCACCTGGCCAGAATTTCTCCTTTTAAAAAAGCCTCTAAACTTCTCTTTTTGGTCTTTGGACATATCAAAGACAAGTTGGTCTTTGTATATGCCAAGCATTGCAATTCTTGCTTTTCAAATAAAGTGTATTAAATTTGGATATTCGTCTCTACATTCCCCATTGTTTCCAAGAATAATGGAAAACTGGCCTATTGAAGGGATGTCCATATGAGGCCTGACCCCATGGCAATCTCTAGGGGGACTTGAGGAGCGCATTAAAGTAGGACACATCCATACTGCTCAGTAGAACCTGCCTCAGGTTTGGAAAGTGATTGACATCAGCAAGAGATACCACCCACCATGTACTCCCTTGAGGTGGTCACCAGAGGCCATTAAATAAAAGGAGTGGTTATGGGGGAACCACAGTGATGCAGAGATGGGCTGAATCGAAACACATTCCTCTTGCTCTCTCTCAGGCACATAATGCCAATAAGAGCTGTTCTGTCTAGCAGCGGGAGAGACACAGACTGCCTATAGCTATGAGGCAGATTCCCTGATGGGGAGGCCCTCAACATACTTGGAAAGTGAGACTGAGGGCAGTGCCCTGGGGGGTACAGGTGAGTCTTGACAGGAACAGAAACTGACTGTGGATTGTCTTTTGCTTACCTGGTGGAGGCTGCAAATGCCCAGAGTGCTATTAATATAAAAGAACTGAAATAAGGTATTATTCTAGTTTGGACCACTAAGTCGCACTTCCTTGGACCAAGAAACATGCCGTTCAGTGCATAATGTTTAGCAATGGGCAGAGAGATACCCTCCTTAGAGTAATAATTTGACAGGGAAGCAGAACAGTCAACTGAAACATTGATTGTCTAAAATGGGGGGAGACACAGGCATGAAGGGCTGGCTTCCACACCTTCACTGGTGTGTGCCCCTACTCCACACGAGTGGGCTAAAGGAGTGTCCCCACCAGACTTTCCTCCATTTTTCCAGTGGATCTGGGGATGAGGAGGTAGGGAGGATGCTAGTGTGATGACTGTCATTTTGTTGGTGGTGGTGGTGGTGGTGGTAGTGGTTTTTTTTTTTTTTTTGAGACACAGTCTCGCTCTGTTGCCCAGGCTGGAGTGCAATGGCATGATCTTGGCTCACTACAAACTCCACCTCCTGGGTTCAAGTGATTCCCCTGCCTTAGCCTCCCGCCACCACGCCCAGCTAATTTTTATATTTTTAGCAGAGACGGGGTTTCACTGTGTTGGTCAGGCAGGTCTCAAACTCCTGACCTCGGGTAATCTACCTGCCTTGGCATCCCATAAGTGCTGAGATTATAGGCATGAGCCACAGCGCCCGGCCAGTGACCGTCATTTTTGTCTGTCTTCCCTGTATTACCTCACCTCTCCCCTTCTCCCCACCCACCACCTGGTACCTTGGCCACAGGGCCAGGGCTACAACTATAAACGCTGGAAGCAGCGACGACCCCTAAGCCAGGAACAGACTACGTGTTTAGACTTTTCTGTCAATTTTCTTATGGACCTGATGGGACCCCAGTCTTGCAAAACTGGGGCTAACAGTAAATGCAGCTACATAGCCTGATACAGTTTGCATGTGTGTCCCCTCCAAATGTCATATTGAAATGTGATCCCTGAGGTTGGTATGGGCCTGGTGAAGGTGTTAGCGTCATGGGGGAAGAACCCTCATGAATGGCTCACTGCCCTTTCCACAGTAATGAGTGAGTTCTCACTCTGTTAGTTCACTAGAGAGCTGGTTGTTTAAAGGAGTCTGGGACCTCTCACCTCTATCTCTTGCTCCCTCTCACCATGTGATGTGCTGGCTCCTCCTTTGCCTTCTTCCATGATTGGAAGCTCCCTGAGGCCCTCACCAGAAGCTGAGCAGATGCAGATGCCATGCTCATGCAGCCTGCAGGACCGTAAGCCAAATAAACTTCTTTTCTTTATAAATGACCCAGCCTCAGATATTCCTTTATAGCAACACACAATGGACTAATTTGTTGCCTATTGGTAAAATAGCCCACTAGTTCTACACCTGTGTAACCCTGCCCTGTATGAATGGATGTGCACTGAAGGGACACACTTGTTACACTAGTATTGCTGCCAGCCCATCACAGTTATTTCCAAAGTAGAAAAGTTTGAGTAGAAATGAAAACGAGGAGGAGGAGTTGCTGAGAGTAAAGGAATGAATACATGGTTTATGTAATGAGGGAAATCTTATATTACAGTAATACTGAGAAGGAGATGACATTGTCTCTTAGCTCAATTATTCCAGATATCTGGGAGGGGGAAGCTCCATGTTTGCTGAGACCTGTCCTGCTTTTAGGACCTGACAGAGGGAACGGAGGCCTGCAAACCTGAGTGGCCTCATCCTAGGAGACATTTTCATATAACATGATGATGGACTGGACTAATTATCAATGACTGAGGAGGACTAGTAACCTACCAGTATCTTTTGAGTTGCATATCGTTTTGCTGTAAGAGAGTCCAGAGACCTGGTTGTGGACCGTGAAATAATAAGAGATACATATTTGATGTCAGCTCCTGTTTCTTGCCACAAAGCTCCTGAAATCCTTGGAATCTCTGAAGTGATCAATGTCTCTTTGTACACCAGTGAGATGACTGATGGTTAGGGGCTCCTGGACAGCCTCGGGAGGGGGAACCGGCCTATGATTAGAGGGTTGAAACTTCAACCCCTGCTGAAGTTTTGCTTGGGTTTTGCTTACCTGGTGGAAGCTGCAAATGCCCTCCCCATGTCCCAGCCTCTGGTGAGAGAAGAGGGGCTGAATGTTGAGGTGATCACCAAAGGTCAATGATGTAATCACTCAAGCTTAAGCAATGAAGCCTCCAAAGAAGCTTAAGAGGACAAAGTTCAGAGAGACTCTGGGTTTGTGAACAAGTACCCATCCACATGTCGGGAGGGTGGCACGCCCTAATTCCACGAGGACAGAGCTCCTGCACCGGGCACCCTCACAACCCTGACCCTGTGTATCTCTTCATCTGGCTGTTGATTGATAATCATTAAAAATATCCTCTGTAATAAATTGGCAATAGCAAGTAAACTATGTTCCTGGCTTCTGTGAGCCAGCCTAGTCAATGATGAAACCTGAGAAGGGGATCATGGGAACTTCCAGTTGGTGGCTCCCATGTCGGGTTCCAATTAGCCTAGTTGTGGGGGGACCAGGAGGTTTCACAATGACTCAATGGCCAATGAAATTCTTATGAATTTGAAGTAGAAAAATTAAAAGATATTAATTGTCCTTATAAAATGAAAAAATACAGAAAAAGTAAAGCTGTAATGGGCATTAGTGACCACCCCCCCAAAGTAAGAGCTAAGAAAGAATATTAACTGCCTTTCTGTAAAGACAGTGAGGCATTAACCTTGTCTCTTTCCACATACCTTGTAGTTTCTGTTTCTCTTCATTTATACTTACTAAATAAGCATAAGTTACAGCACATGCTTTCCCAAAATGTAAGCTAAAGAATGTTACATGATAATTCACTGTCTTTGTTCTCCCTTCTGTAAGTCTGCTTCCAGGATCAGGTAACTCCTGCCACAAACTGCTTAAAAGGTGACTGCTTTCTTTGTCTGCTGCTCAGACTTTCAGGACACATGTCTGCTGAGCCGGTATACACCTAAAATAAAAACTCTCCTGCACCCTGATCGGTCTCTCTGGTTCCTTAATTCCCTGCAGCAAATTCACAGTTTATTGTGTGGCTTTTGCACATACACACTCATGCAAATATAGTCAACACACACAGGCGGTGATGAGACGGTGGGGAAGTGACCACAGTGAGCGTGTCAGGAGACCAGCATGCTGACTGACACACTGGCAGGTCCGGGTTTCCTCAGAACATGGACCGGTGGGGGGCTGTCGCTGCTCTTCTTCCATAGCCCATGGGAAAGAGGCCTCTGAGTTTTCATGGGCAGAGTTGCAGCAGCTGCTTGGCTGTGGTCAGGGTCTTTGCAGTTTTTATGGCCCTCTGCAGGCTTGTCTGTAGCCAAGATCTCAGCTGCATTCTGGCTTCACTTGCTTGTCTGGTCTAGGGGGTGCCTGTCCACAGCAGGTCCTCTCATCACCTCAGTCCACCACACATACGCTTCTCACTCTGAGGGGTCAGCAATTTCAATGTGGGCTGATCACCTGTCATAAGTGACTCCATTTTTAGACATTTAGGGTCACCAAACACTATTATGTATCAGTAGCTAAGTCAGACAGAAGGTGTGGATGACTTGGGGACCCTGTTTTAGTCCATTTTCACCCTGCTATAAAGGGATACCTGAGACTGGGTAATTTACAAAGGAAAGAGGTTTAATTGACTCACAGTTCACCATGGCCGGGGAGGCCTCAGGAAACTCACAATCATGGCGGAAGGAGATGGGGAAGCTGGCACCTTCTTCACAAGGCGGCAGGAGAAAGAGAAGAGAGTGAAGGAGGAACTGCCAAACCCTTATAAAACCATCAGAAGTCGCGAGAACTATCATGAGAACAGCATGAGGAAACCACCCCCATGATCCAGACATCTCCCACCAGGTCCCTCCCCTGACCCATGGGGATTACAATTCAAAAGGAGATTTTGGTGGGACACAGAGCCAATGCAAAATGAAATCTGGATGGGGACACAGACCTCCTACTTGTGATTTGCCCCTGAAGTGTGGGGAGTCTTGTGGGACTGAGTCTTTACCCTGTGGGGTCAGCACTACCTCTGATTAGTGTCAGAAGTGAATTGAATTATGGGCAGTCATCTGTTGTGGAATAATTGATCAGGGTGAAGAAAATCCACACATCTGTTCACAGAAGTGTCTTGAACTATGAACATATTGCTCACTGTAATTTGTTAATATTCTCTCAGCTAGAAGTTTGCCTTTTTGTCTGAGCCTATAGCACTCAGAGTTTTTGGTAGTAGGGCTGGTACCTCGTGTTTCTTAGATCTGTTAGTGAGTGGGACCAATGTCTGAGCTCAGATGGTCAGGCCAATATCAGATGGGTCCCTGGCAGAACATTTTTTCCTAACACATTCCTCCATTAGTTTCTAGGGGTCAGTTGATGTCAATATGGGTTGTGTGGTGTAATTTCTTTAAATATTTCATGGCTGGGAGCGGTGGCTCACGCCTGTAATCCCAGCACTTTGGGAGGCCAAGGCAGGCGGATCACGAGGTCAGGAGATCGAGATCGTCCTGGCTAACACGATGAAACCCCGTCTCTACTAAAAAATACAAAAAAAGTTAGCCAGGCATGGTGGCGGGCGCCTGTAGTCCCAGCTACTCGGGAGGCTGAGGCAGGAGAATGGTAGGAACCTAGGGGGCGGAGCTTGCAGTGAGCCGAGATCGTGCCACTGCCCTCCAGCCTGGGAGGCACAGCAAGACTCCGTCTCAAAAAAAAAAAAAAAGAATTTCATGAAGGCCTCAAAACATAATTAAATATAATTTTTAAATTTTTCTTTTCTTCTATACAGAGTATTTATGCTAAATCTTTATGCAGAAATCTAACGACTGCAGAGAGACCAGGTTCCTGAAACAGCCAATCCACACTACAGTATGTAGTGCTAGAACTCTGATTCAGGAACCACCAGAAAACAGGGTCCAGCTAGTCCCACATTAGCAAACATTTGCCATCAATCACACTCCTCATCCACACTTTTTCCTTCCGACCATGGCCTCTCCCCTGAGCGCCATGGTAAGCAGCTTCTGAAAGGGCTCCAGTGATCCTCTCTCCTGGTATTCATGGCTGGGATATAATAAGGAACATCTACTTTTTTTCTCTGCTCCTGGCTCTGGGAACAGAGCTTTAAAACATTGAAGTTTCTTGAGTAATTGTGGTGAGAGGGGCTTTATTTTTTATTCATAAAATGATTTCCAGCATTCCTGAGTTGATACTGATGAGGTGGCTCTTGCCAGAGAGGGACCAGTTACCAGTCGAACCAACCACGTGATCAGAGCACTGCAACTTTCAACACTACCACACCCCTCAGCTCAGAGCAGGGAGATGCCTGAGGACTAATCACCCGAGATTAATGATTGACGCCTTCGTGCTACGGAATGAAGCTTCCATAAACACCACAAAGTTCAGAGAAAGGGAATAATCAGTGGCTCGCTGGGGTTGGACAGATGAGAGTAACTCAGAACAATGAAGGGGAACACTACACTTTCTATATCAAAAATAATGTCCATGTACTTTACACGATGATATGCTACAAATCTAATCATTTAATAAAACCTCCCTAAGAAATTAGAGTTCATCTTATTTTATACAACTATATGCTACAAATCTAATCATTTAATAAAAATCTCCCTAAGAAATTAGAGTTCTCTTATTTTATGTTGGGCAAAGGATTTTCTAAGCTTATGACCATAAAAAAAATAAGTGTACCTATAGATTCAACTACTTAACATTTAAAACTTCTGTACATTAAAATCTAAGACAAAAAGAAGAGGCAAATTAAAAAGACTAGAAATTTGTTATTAGTATTTGGGAAGCATGGAGTCTGTCTTCCCAGACAATACACAAATCCTAAAAAAATCAGCTTGAAAAAAGAAATTCAAACAACACATCAATACATGGGACACAATTCAATAAGCAGAGAAATGCATATTGGCGTCAATTAATTATTTCCTAGTTAGCAGAAGTGAAAATCAAAGAGCAGTGATGTCAGATCTAAAGTGATGTATTGTTGGTAGGAATCACAGCTCTGTGTGTGTGTGTGTGTGTGTGTGTGTGTGTGTGTGTGTGTGTGTGTGTGTGTGATATTCTACTTCTAGGGAGCCACCTAATGAAGGTGATTAGAAATGTGGCCAAAGATGTATTCACAAATATTCACAACTTCTTTGCCCTCAGCATAATGGTGATTGAGGTTTTGGGGAGAGGAGCTGGTATTTGGGTGGAGCAGGACACTGAACTCTCACCTTTGCCCATCTCGAGAACATAGGCCATCCTCTCCATCTTTGGAGGGGGACTCACAGAATTTTATTGACTGTATGTTTTGGGGGGCTTCGAGTAGAGGCCAAATGTTAGGAAAAAGGGCACAGAGTTGAAGAATAAGGGTCGCCTGTAATGAAGGGTCACACATGTAGAGCCCTACCTAGTGGTGACTTGGAGGAAAAGGGAAGGAAAAAAAGGGAGAATTGAGCAGGAGGAAAAGCATGGTCAACTCTAAGAGGAGGAAAGATGAGACTGGAGGATTGTGGAGGATTCAAACCATAGCTCACAGCCCATGACTCCAAGTGAGGCTGAGGAGCTCATGGGCAGGGCAGGAGGGAAGCAGTGGGGAGCACAGAGCAGCCCCACCTCTCCTCTGGGGAAGGTGGACAGTGGGTGGCACGCCTGGGCCTCCCAGGAGCTGTGGGCGAGAGGGAGAGCGGGTCCTCCAGGGCAAGGGGAGCGGGAAATGGGTCTCCCAGGTGCTTCCAGGTCTGAGCAACCTGGGCCCACTGATGAGGATGCAGGAAGGGTTGACGGAGAAAAAGTGAAGGTCCGCCCAGGGTTGGAGGAAGCCACAGGAGAGGGACCATAGGACTCCCCCAGAACCAGGACTTCCCCAGAAACCAGGGCCAGTTCACCACTCAGGGACCCACTGCCTCTTCCCTGACAGCTCCATCAGAGCTGGACTGCAGCACTCAGTAGCCCCAGGTGCAGCCAGAGAACCCCGGGGGAGGCTGTGGGTGAGCCAAGCCAGTGCTGGTGTCCCTGTCCCCACATGGAGGGGAAGAAGGAGGTGCTGGATTCCAGTCCCCAAGACTATGTCACTTTAAATTCCAGGGAGTCCGGGGCAGGAAACAAGCCCCCACCGACTTCAGCAAGCCTGAAGGAAGAGAAGGCAGGGAGGTGTGAGTCACAGCAAGAACACAGCCTGTGTTACTCAGAGCTGTTTCAGGGCAGAATGGGAGGACAGGGGCAAAAAGAAAAACAAACAAAGCCTCTACACTTCTTATGTAAGTTTCCATAGTTAATTTGGTCATTAACTCATACATACCTCAGGATTTTACCCCTAATTACTGTCTTCTTATGCTTGATGTTAACAACACACTCTTCAAAGATAGGATCATCTACTGCTTTCTCTAGTGTGAGAAAAGACAAGCAAGGGAAGGTCTGCTTTTGTGAAGCAGTTCTGCCCTCCGTGCACACCGCAGAGGCTCTCTGGCCTATTCTTTTCTCCTATCTTCAAATTAGCGGATTCTTTCTTCTGCCTGATCAAATCTGCTGTGGAATCCCTCTGCTGTGTTGTTTACTTTATTTTTTTTGGCCCCAGGATTTCCACTGGGGACCTTTTAATAATTCTTATCTCTTTATGCATATTCTCTATATGTTCATACAAGTATGTATACATATCTATAGATGCATCGATGTTTCCCCAAGGGAAAGGTGTAGGTGCTGCTCTGGGTTTCCCCAGAATATTTCCCTCCAGCACCTGCCCATCCTGGAAGCCATGGGCTGCGAGCTACTGTTTTAATCCTCCGCAATCTTCTAGAACACACACACACACACACACACACACACACACACACACTCACATACACACACACACACACTTCCTTTAAATATCTGAGCATATTTAAAATTGTTGATTTAAAGCATTTGCCCAAAAAGTCCAATGTCTGAGCTTCCCCAGATATCTGTCAATTTCTTCTTTCCCTGTACATGAACCATATTTTCTTGGTATGGTTTTGTGGGTTGAATGTGTCCCCCTAAAGCATATTTTGAAGCCCTACACTCTGGTACCTGTGAATGTGATCTTTTTTAGAAATGGGTTCTTTGCAGATATAATTACTTAAGAAGAGGTCATATTGGATAAGTTTGGGCCCTAAACCCAGTAGCTGGTGTCTTTATGAAATGGGAAAACTTCCCTTGCCCCACTCATAGGGCGTGATCTTTTCACACTTGCTGTTTTTCAAGTATCTTTAACTTAAATAGTCAATATGCTAAAATAGCATATTTTAACCCCCTCATTTCCCTCGTCTGGAACTTCCCGAGAAGTTTCATGTATTAAAAGTCGAGTTGATGGCCGTGGAGAGAAGAATCAGGTTAGTAACTGAGTGGCAAGAGACCTATAAAGGAAAACAGGAACATAAATTGCAACAGGCAGGACATAAGTCTAACTATATTGCCCCATATCTTATTGAATAAGTCTTTTAGTCATGAGAAGAGTTTTATCCAGTTAGGTAGTTGTATCTCATTTTAGGAGGTGATGTTACAGGTGGTCTTTCACCTAGGTCAGGCCTCTATAAGGTGTGGTCAGTCAGGTATTTAATAAGAGGCATTTCTATGGAAACAAAAGAAAAGTAAAGGTTAATGGTTGGAGCAAATGATACAAGCCCAGTTTTTGAGTCCAGAGGACAGTCAGTTGAGATTTCTAGATGTTGGGCTTGAAGCATCTTTAGATGGAGGAATGACAAAAAGTAGTAGTAATTTTGATGAATTTCCTGGTATGTAGTTTATATTAGTTGTTCTGGTGAACTTTCTGAGCAACCCATAGAGCCACAGGCATGAAAATTGTCCATAGGTAAGTTGTTCTTGTTCCTGAAACACCAGAGTTTTGGTCTAGGTCCTGCTGCTTGATGCACAGATGGCCAATCACTGAGACAACAAGTATTCCCAGGGAAAATTAAAGGTTTATATAGCAGGGAAGAAATGTAACCATGTGCGGGAAAACAGGAATTAGAGAGGGGCAAGGAAAGTAAACATGTGTGAGAAAACAGGAACTAGAGAGGGGTAAGGAATGTAACCATGTGCAGGAAAACAGGAATTAGAGAGCAGGTAAGGAAGAGAGGCTGGTCAACAGGAAGCATGTGGTTGGTTAGGCAATTATGGTGGTGAGGGGCCTGGCATCTCACTGTTCAAATGCAGTGATCTCAGGAAGTTTCAGCCCCTTGATATTGTCTGGGAAGTTTGATGGTGGGTTTCCTGATAAAGGAACTCAGTTAAGACAAACATAACTTTCTCAAGTTCTAACACCAGGAGGATAAATTTCTATGTTTTTTCAAAGAAAACATAAACATCAGCTCTATGGGAGAATTCGGCTGGTTTCAGTCCTCCTTTCTACTTACCAACTCCCCAATCCTGGGGAACCTGGCCCTGGATCTTTCAGGATGCTTCATGCTGAGAAGGGCGTTGTGGGCAGCTCCATGCCATGGGTGACCTCGTGGCCAGCCAGGAATCACAGGTTAATCTAATCCTGCCGTTTTCTTCTGAAACACAGATTTATAAATGTTACTATTCTTTTCAAATAGCTATGCTGTCTGTGTTAATTTCTTTATTACTTTCAGGGTGTTCCTGTTTCCTATTCTATAGTTTTCCTCTTCTGATTATTGCCTTTCTTATGCTTATTCTGGGTTTATATTACTCTTCTTTCTCCAGCTTTTAAGTGGAAACCTGGATCATTGTTTTCTATCTTTTTTTCTTTACTAATATAAGCACTCATACTCTCTATGTCCTGTAGTTACATCCTATAAATTTTGATATTTTGCATTATCATTTAGTTTGAAATATTTCTGATTTCCATAAGGTTTCTTCTCTGGCCCATGGTTGTTTAAATTGCAAACATGAAAGTCTTTTCTATATCTCTTATTCTTACTGATATCTAATTCAATTCCTCTGCAACCTAAAGAATATATTCTGTACAATTTCAATTCTTTTGAATTTATCAAGACTGTTTTTAAGGCCCAGAATAGGGTCTACCTTAGTGAACATACTATATGCACTCAAAACGAATGAACATTCTACAGTTGTTCAGTATAGTGCTCTATAAATGTTTATTACCTCAAGGTGGTTGTTAATTTTTTCAGATTGTCTATGACTTCATTGATTTTTTTTTTACTGGTTCTATCAGTTGTTCAGCGGGGGATGTTAAAAATCTCTAGTTATGATCGTGCATTTGTCTGTTTCTCTCACTAATTCTGTCTGTTTCTGCTGCAAATCTTTGAAGCTCTGTTATTAGGTACACACATATTTTTAATACGTTTTTAAACTTTATTTTAGGTTCAGGGGTACTTGTGCAAGTTTATTATATAGGTAAACTTGTGTCATGGGGGTTTGTTGTACAGGTTATTTCATCACCCAGGTACTAAGCCTAGTACCTAATAGTTACTTTTTCTGATCCTCTCCCTCCTCCCACTTTCTACCCTGAAGTAGGTAGGCTCCAGTGTCTATTGTTCACCTCTTTGCATCCATATTAGGTACACACCTTTTTTTTAGTGTTATGTCATTCTGATGAATTGATCCTTTTATCATTATACATCCCTCCTTATCTTTGCTAATATGCCCTATCTTGAATCTACTTTCTTTGACATTAAGAAAGCCACACTAGCTTTCTCATGCTTTACAGTTGTGTTTTATATCTCTTCCCATCTTTTACTTTCAATCTATCTGAAGCTTTATATTTAAGGTGCATATATTTTAGATAGTTTATAATTTCAGCTTGCGTTTTTTTCCAGTTGGGGAAACTTCCTTTTAATTCGTTTGTTTATTCTGGTTACATTTATTGTTGTGGCCAAATTTGGAAAATACAATCTCTCACAACTTATTCCTTTCTCCTTTGTTTTTAAAGGATATTTTCACGGGGTGTGAATAATAGGTCAACAGGGTTCTTTCACCACTTCACACATCCTGGGCCTCCGTTGTTTTGGGTCAGCTGTCGTTCATATCTTTGTTCCCTGTGAATGCACAAAATTTGCTCTGTATGATTGACTATGATGTGTCCAGGTAGGGTTTTCTTTACATTTATTTTTCTGAGGAGTTTATAAGCTTTTTGAATTGGTAAGTTGACGTTTTTTCACTACATTTGAGAATACAGCAACCATTTTTTTCCTCATCTTTTCCAGCCATTTCTTCTTGGTCCCTGGTTCCATGTGTGGTGCGTGATATTGTACCACAGGTCACTGAGACTCGCTTCCTTGTTTTCTTTCAGTCCCATTTTCCCTTGTACTTCAGATGGAATTGTTTCTACTGATCTCTTTTCAAGTTCACTCATTCTTCTATAATGTTCAATCTCTCTCTCTCTTTTTTTTTTTTTTTTTGAAACAGAGTGTTTGCTCTTGTTGCCCAGGCTGGAGTGCAGTGGCATGATCTCGGCTCACTGCAACCTCTGTCTCCTGGGTTCAGGCGATTTGGCCTCAGGCTCCCGAGTAGCTGGGATTACAGGCATCTGCCACCACACCCGGCTAATTTTTTGTATTTTTAGTAGAGACAGGGTTTCACTATGTTGGCCAGGCTGGTCTTGATCTCCTGACCTCAGGCGATCCACCTGCCTTGGCCTCCCAAAGTGCTGGGATTACAGATGTGAGCCACCGCGCCCAGCCCTGTTCAATCTCTCTTAAGAAAATTCAAATAAACTTTTCATTTCAGAGAGTGGAATTTCCAGTTTTAAAATTTCCATTTGGTTCTTGTTTTATAGTTATCATATGTATGCCGAAATGGCTTATCTTCCACTCATATCAACAATCTTTTCTGTAGACCCAGCATATATTTTACAGCTCCCTAAAAGAGATTCTATTATGAATCAGCATTAAAAACCACTGTGAAGGCAGAAACTCTACCTAGAAGAATGAGGCTTTCTTGTTTTTGTTTTTTTGAGACAGGATCTCACTGTGTTGCCCAGGCTGGAGTGTAGTGGCGCAATCATGGTTCATTGCAGCCTCGACCTCCTGGGCTCAAGAGATCCTCCCACCTCACCCTCCTGAGTAGCTAGGACTACAGGCACAGGCCACCACGCCTAGCTAATTTTTGTAGGAACAATGTTTTGTTGTATTGCCCAGGCTGGTCTTGAACTCCTGAACTCAAGCAATCCACCTGCCCCAGCCTCCCAAAGTGCTGGGATTATAGGCAGGAACTACTGTGCCCAGCCAGGAATGAGTTACCTAATGAGGAGTAACAATAACAGAAAATGTTTATTACCTCCTGCATACAATGATTTTACAAGTATTTAGTGAGAATTGATTTTGTACCAGGCAAAATGTATGCCAAGATTAAAATATGCAGTACCTGCTCTAAGGGACTTCCCACATTAGTAGGGAAATAGTAAAACAATTGTAATAAAATGTGCTATTTTTCATAATGCTCTCTCTCCCCCCACTCCACTCCAATTATTGCTATTTCTTACTAAGGCTGTTTCTTTGTATATTATGTGTTCTGTAACCCTTTTGAAATGAATGCTCTCGTAAATACATTTTCTAAATGGTTATCTGCTATATTTTGTGCACATTCATCCACATATACATGTTTTAAATGACTATTGTTATACCTTGCAGTTTGTTAAGTATGCAATCATACTGAATATCATGATTTTTTTTTCTTCTCCCTTTCAGGAGACCTGTCTCTGTTTTTGTTCTATGTCTTGTGGCATAGGTCAGAACTCTCAGGATGATGTTGAAGGGTGTTTAGAGAAGGCAGGCATTTTGATCTTGATTTGATTTCATTGGGAAAACCTAGGCCTTTCACCATTAATTGGCTCTTGTTTTCTTACAGAAATTCTTATCATTGTGAAGTGTCCTCCTGTTCGTTCTAAGAGCCAGAATAGGTGTCTAATTATCCTAAATGCCTTTTCAGCCTCCATTGAGACTATCTGATGTTTGCTTATTGATACTATTGTTATGGTACCTTATTTTTGAACACATTTACATTCTTGGAATACGCTTTTACTTGAGATTTTCCTAAGTACCCTCAGATATATGAAAATCATTAGTCTCCTAAAAGCCAGTGAGGAAGTAGCTGTCTCTTGTCCAGGTGGTGGAAATTGCCTAAAAGGGGCAGAAAAGGACTTTCTGGGGGTGGTGGAAATTTTCTGTGTCTTGATTGCATAATAGTTACATGTGAGTATACAGTTGTCATACATGAAATGAAACACTTAAGAAGTGAACAGTTGAAACCAGATGCGGTGGTTCACGTCTGTAATTCCAGTACCGTGGGAGGCTGAGGTGGGCAGACCGCTTGAGCTCAGGAGTTCGAGACCAGCCTGGGCAACATGGGGAAATCCCATATCTACCAAAAATACTAAAATTAGCCAGGCATGGTAGTGTGCACCTAGTCCCAGCTACTCAGGAGGCTGAGGTGGGAGGATTGCTTGAGCCCAGGAGACCAAGGTTGCAGTGAGTTGAGATCGCACCACTGCACTCCATCCTGAGCGACACAGTGAGACCCTGTTTTTCTTTTTTCTTTTAAAGTGAACAGTTTACTGCAGTTAACTTATGCCTCAGTGAGCAAACAGGGACAGAGAATCAGTGAACTCTACAGGATGGGAGGTTTATCTTCATTTCCATGGAGGGGAGGTGACCTGTGCCAGGTCCCACAGCTGGCTGCTTCTCAGGGTCAGTGTTGGAATCCAGGACTCCCGACTCTGACTAAGGAGATTCTCCATTGTCTTTCACAGACACCTAAAAGCTGAAGGGTCTCAGATGAAATGGATGAATGAGTATCAGTGAATGTCATCTGTTTCTTTTCATGTTCTTTAAATGAGGCTATGCAAAACACAGACTCGAATTCCGGGCCCTCTCTGTCTCTAAGGAAGGTGGTGTGCAGTGCATTGCACACACATCTCATTTAATCTCTTCTAAAAAGAAAATAATACCAGGACTCCAAAACCACTAAGCCAAAGGGAAAAGTCAAGCAGGGAACTGTGTCAGGCAAACCTGCCTCCCACTTTACTTCTAAATAAGATAGCTACAAGGATAGAAAAGCTACATAGCTCCCTCCCAATTTGCCCACAAGGAAATTCTTTCTGGGCCTCAAGATCCTTACCCTAAAACAGTTATGCTGAGTTTCACCCTGGCAATGTACATTGATAGCTGATCTTCACAGGTGTGGGACAGAAAGTCATCCCTCTGCTCACCTGAGACTGCATATCTGACTGCTTCTTACGCCCCATTGTTTATGCAAAAATGCAGATTCACTGAGCTAAAGGCATAAGTGACTATTCCTCTACCTCTACCCTCTTACATATATGTTGTGTATTCAGTGAAAGGCTGATCAAAGACCCAAAAGAATGCAACCTTTTGTCTCTTATCTACCTATGACCTGGAAGCCTCCACTTCTAGTTGTCCCGCCCTTCTGGACCAAGTGAATGTACATCTTACACATATTGATGAATGTCTCATGTCACCCTAAAATATACAAAAGGAAGCTGACGCCAACCACCTTGGGCACATGTTGTCAGGATGGCTTAAGGTTGTGTCATGGCCGCTTGCTTAACCTTGGCAAAATAAACTTTCTAACTTGATTGAGACCTGTCTCAGGTATTTTGGGTTCATACCCTCATAGGCCCCAGATCTGGGCAGGGTTGCTCTGTCTTCGGGTTCGCTTCTTGCTCAGAGTCTGTTTGCCCCCACCTACGTCTGTTCCAGTCTCAGGGAACGAGGCTGAACTGGGTGTAAACAGAGGTCCCCTGCCCCAGGCCCTGTGCTTTCCACAGATGCAGAAGTGGCCGCCCTGGGACCTGCTCCCATGACAAGTGCAGCCCAGGCAGCCTCCTCCCTCCTCTGAGCTCCCGCTGCAGCCACTCTCTCTCCCTCCCTCCCTTGGACTCTCACCCATTTTGCTTTCTCCCTCTGTAGGGTTCCTCCATACTCCCCGGGTGGGTTCTCAGCCCTCTCTGAGGACAGATTATCTGGTGACCTTGTCTTCTGGCAGCGCCTTGGGTGCCAGGGAGGCCAGGCAGTGTGGGAGGGCTCTCTGTGGACGCGAGGTGGGTGAGCGATGGAACAGTAAGTTGGCCCACGCAGGGGGCTCTCCAGGTTCCCCCGCTGGGTTCTGGGCCTGTTGTGGGACCCTCTGCCCTTTCTGAACTGACTCCCAACTCACCTGGCTGTCTCCATGGCTTTCTCCACGCAGCTCAGAGGCTGTTCTTTGATAACTCCTGGAACCTGGTCATCAGGAGAGAGCAGGCGGTGGGAGGACAAGCGAGTCTCACGCTGGGGGAAGCCATGTTGTTCAGGCTCAGGCCTCTCCAGGACTGTGGCTGCCTCCCCTCCACGTCCTCCAGGGCGGCTGGCTGGGAAGCCGCGCGTGTGCTGCCCTCTACAGGCTGCTCAGCCTCCCTGCTGCTCAGCCCAGCCCAGCCCAGGGCTCCAAGTGAGGCCCAGAAACCCATGGGCAGGGCAGGGGGAAGCCCCAGAGCACCCCCACCGCCGCTCTGGGGAAGGTGGATAGCATGGGGGCACGCCTGGGCGAGAGGGAGAGCGGGCTCTCCAGGGCAAGGGGAGCGGGATATGGGTCTCTCAGGTGCCTGCAGGGCTGAGCAACCTGGGTACACTTATGGGGATGCAGGAAAGGCCGGGACAGAGAAAGTGAAGGTCGGCCCAGGGCTGGAGGAAGCCGCAGGAAAGTGTCCACGGGACTCCCCCAGCGACCACGGCCGGCCACCTCTCAGGGACCCACTGACTCTTGCCCGACAGCTATCAGAGCTGGATGCAGGAACCCGGCTGCCCAGAGAACCCTCCTGAGAGGCTGTGGGTAAGCCAGGCCAGCACTGGTGTCCCTGTCCCCAGACGGAGGGGCAGGCAGAAGAGAGAGGGGGGAAGGAGGTATGAATTCCAGTCCCCAGGAACCTAGCACTTTAAACTCCGGGGACTCGGATGCAGGAAACACCCCCAGCAGGCCAAGCCTGAAGGCAGGGAGGGGAGGAAGGCAGGAAGGAGTCCTAGCAGGAACACAGCCTGGCCTCCTGTCACTCAGAGCTGATTCACAGGAGGAGGGGGAACAGGGGGAAAAAAAAACACACCTCTTTTAATATAAGATTTCATATTTATTTTGGTCAAAATTCATAAACATATGAGCATTTTCTGTATAACGTGCTTCCTTGTATTGTTTGATATTACAACATAGTCTTCAAATAGGGTCCATAGGGCAGAAACATCAAAGGACTCTAACCACGAGTGACACACTGTCTTAAGTGGCTGTCGTGTGTCATGTGCTGTTTGGCTTGGGGATAAAGCAAATCCCATACAAACCAAACAACTCCAGAAAACCCCAACAATTTCATGTTGTCAGGAAGCTTACTTTAAAAGAATAAGCTTAACAAACACTGATAAGGCTGACACTCTAGATGCATCTTCAAGGAAGGCCTCTACGGAAGGCACAAGGGAGCTGGGGCTGGACTGGCTCCCTCTGGGCTTTGAGGCCAAGTGTCCTGCACAGAAGGCCCTGCAAAAGCAAAGACCAGGTGGCAGCAGCACCTTGTGTCTTCCAGATGTGCAGGGGACAACGCATGGGACGCCAGATGGAAGTGGGAGAGGATGGAAGTGCAAAGACCAGAAAGGCTACCCCCTCCTAAAACTCCATGGACACAACACTGAATGTGCCTAAATCTTCAGGCAATTCTAACTTTGTCCCAGCCAAACCAGTCCCGGAACAAGACAAAACACATGGCTTGAGATGGAAAAGACCAAAATCCCTTGAACGACTACATCCATAATTTATCCTACCACTACTGGACTGCTATGGAGAAGAGTTTGCTGGAAAGAGGCTAAAATGATTACTGAAGTTTTTAAATAAAATAATAGAGCGTGACACAAGGACAAAGCCTTAATGTGTCAGCCATTCTAGGTCCTGTTGTCACAGTGTTTAAGAATTGATATTTCTGAGATGAGTCAGATGCTGCAGCTCAGGAATCTTTACCGTAAAATGCAGCTCAGGGGCTCAGGGTCACAGACCACCAGAAGCGAGAGGGGCCCATCCACTCCTGAGTCAGCAATCATTTCACACCATTCCCAGGCACCGTCCACTCTTCCCTCTTGATGCCATAGCAGATGCCGGGGCAGATAAACACCTGCTCTGCCCTGAGCCCAAAGAAGGCCCAAGATTCACTAATGTTCAGCTGTAATGGCACTTGAAAGAGAAGCTATTTGTAGTCCCAGATCTAACCTAATTCTCACTGTCCTCATCTGCTGTGGACAAGGACGAAGATGCAGTCCCATGACTGTCCCAGCAGGACAGACCAGACACATGGCTTCCCAAAGATACCAGGCTCTTCAAAATCCTGGGCATATGTAAACATCTACTTATAAATAAATATTTGTTTATTTGTAAATAAATACCTCTATATACCTCTAAAATCATCAACTAAGACAGACCGGCCCCTTGAGAAGTTGCCAGTCATCAAACCCTGGTCCAGTCTCTGGGCGTAGGAGGGAGAACTGGAATGTAGTCAGTGCCTCCCACAGAGGGAGGATTTCTCCTCCCATTGCTAGTTGTGTATGTAGTCATTTTTGACTGCTGATTTGCACCAGGCAGCCCATGTAAACAGCCTAATAAATACATTTCCTAAAATTTTTCCATGCTTACATCAACATGCACGAAAATAGGAAAACAGAAAAATGTACATCATATAGTATTACACAATACAGATGTTTCTCTACTTAAGATGGGGGTAAGCCCCAATAATCCTATCTTAAAGCCGAAAAATCTAAATTGAACCATTATAAGTCCACATGCTCATGACTTAGCATGGGGCTATGTCTTGATAATCTCATCGTAAGTTGAAAAGATCCACATTTAAAACGCATGTAATACCCAGATAAACCAGATATAAAGTTAAAAAACTCTAAGTCAAACCACCGTGGTATTACACCATCTTTAGTTGGATGTCATTAAATGCACATACCACTATAGAAGGAGCTTACAATATAAGAAAGTTTTTTCTCATGTGACTTCTCTCATGAAAAGGACTTCTGTCATGATGAACTGAAAAAAAAATGACATCCTAAAACTACCCTTAATACACAATCGTATAACTCTATGCCACCAACATCTTATATAAATTTCCACAGTTTGCTTATCACACACAATATTTCATAAAAATTACTCCAAGTGCGTTGACAAAGTTCTAGGACCTTTGGTAAGCTGCACCATATTGATAGCAGAGTTTGTTGAGGCATGGGTCAAGTACTGGACTCTTTCTTCCAGGCTGCTTCCCTTTGTAGGAGAAAAGGTAAACGAGGGAAGCTCTGGTTTCCTGAAGGGATTCTTTCACAGGCAGGACGTAGCAGAGCCTGCATTCACCTTCCTCATAGAAGAGATTTTTGGAGCCCACCAGTTGGTCCTGAATTATTTCCTTTGCATGTCTTTCTTTCAGTGTTTGAGGCCTCCAGCAAGGTGTTGACTGAGAAGAAGAGGAAAGAGAGGGATTTAGGGTCTTCATGCTCCAAAGATCATCAGCACAGGATCGGCATAGGACCCCCTACTTCCAGCAGGGAATGCTCCAGAAGAGCACTCTCAGCTATGGGGCTAGCAGTTAGGACATCGTCCCTATTGCCTCCATTCCTTCTACATCTCCAGGCACAAAACACTTACTCTCAGTGGGGTCAGCGCCATTCACTGGAACCAGCAGCCTCCTCCCATGACCCTTTCAGCTTTTGCCTGTTCCTGTAACACACAGTGGGGAATGCTCTGGTCAGAGTCAGGAATCCTGCAGTCTAGTACTGACCCCGATCACCAGCCAGCAAGAGACCTACAGAGCTTCCCCTCTCAGGTCTCTGTGGAGATGGAGACAAACCTCTGGTCCTGCATAGCTCTTGGGCTCTGTGTGCTGGTGACTCATTGAAACAAAAGTGACAGGGAGTAAATGCTCACTTCATAAGTGTTCTGCCCAACTTTGACTACTGTATACACCTGTGTAATAATCCTATGATCAAGACATAGAACATTGCCACACCCCAGAAAGTCCCTTTCTTCCCCATCTCATCAATTTCCACCCACCCTCACAGGAGAGAATCACTTCATTACAGAATTTTTACCAACAGAAGTCTCAACAGAGGACTATGTATGAGAGCGCTCAGGAAACATCTAACAAAAGAATTTATTCCAAGACTCCAAAAGTTCTTTGATCATCAATACTGTACCATATCAACAATCTAAATAAGGAAATAAAGCATCAGTCTCTATGGAGGCTGAAAAGACATTTGGTGAAATTAAACACCAATTCTGAATTTTTGGAACCCCTTTAGAATAGGAGGCTGCATTCTTGATGATGTGAATTTCTTTCTATATGAAACCAAAAGTGAACACCATTCCTAAAGGTGGCATGTTAGAGGCCTTCCCCGGAAATCAAATCAGGACCCAAACACCTGCCTTCCCTAAGCGCAGCTGAACATGGTTCTGAAATTTCTGGCCTGTGCAACAAGATGGAAAACAAAAATGAGGCAAGATTCTTGGAAGTGGGCAGACACAATAATCATTATATTCAATGTCACTTAAAAACCCTAAGAATGGGGCCGACCAGGCACAGTGGCTCACGCCTGTAATCCCAGCACTTTGGGAGGCCGAAGCAGGTGGATCACGAGGTCAGGAGATTGAGACCATCCTTGCTAACACGGTGAAACCCCGTCTCTACTAAAAATACAAAAAAAAAAAAAAAAAACTAGCCAGGCATGGTGGCACATGCCTGTAGTCCCAGTTACTCGGGAGGCTGAGGCAGGAGAATCGCTTGAACTCAGGAGGCGGAGGTTGCAGTGAGCCGAGATTGCACCACTGCACTCCAGCCTGGGCGACACAGCCAGACTCTGTCAAAAACAAACAAACAGAAACAAACAACCCTAAGAATGAAACTATGATATGGAAATATAAATGTATGTCTGAAGGAATGTTAAAAACATAGTAGATGCAATAAATTAGCAAACAGAATTACAAGGCTATGCAACTTATAACGATTACAAAATACCAAACAGCCATGAAAAGAAATAGGAATAAATTTATCTGAAGAGGAAAACAAATCACAACTCAGTTATAATAAAATACTTGACTTCAAAATGGATAAGGAAATACTGAATATTGATAAGATATTAAGTATTTCTAGATTAATTTTTAGTTTTAAGATAAATTGATAAAAATGCCACTGATTTTCTTTGGAAGGGGAGAATGGAAGAAATCTTACAATTATAAGCTTTATCTGGGTAAAATAATAAATTTTGAAAAAGTACGGAAGAGGTGTTTGCTCTCTTGGATATTAAAACACATTAGAAAGTTCCCATTGGAACATGCCTTAAAATAATAAGAGCCATCTATGACAAATCCATAGCCAACATCATACTGAATGGGCAAAAGTTGGAAGCATTTCCCTTGAGAACTGGAACAAGACAAGGATGCTCATGCTCACCACTCCCATTCAACATAGTACCAGAAGTCCTAGCCAGAGCACTCAGGCAAGAGAAAGAAATAAAAGGCATCCAGATATGAAATGAAGAAGTCAAAGATATATCTTAATGGACAATATAATTCTGTACCTTGAAAACCGTAAAGACTCCACAAAAAGGCTACTGGAACTGACAACAACTTCAGCAAAATTTCAGGATACAAAATCATTGTATAAAAATTGGTAGCATATCTATATACCAATAACATTCAGGCTGAGAACCAGGCCAGGCGTGGTGGCTCATGCCTGTAATCCCAGCACTTTGGGAGGCTGAGGCGGGCAGATCACGAGGTGAGGAGATGGAGACCATCCTGGCTAACACGGTGAAACCCCGTCTCTACTAAAAATAAAATAAAATAAATAAATAAATGTCAATTAAATCAAGGTGGTTGATAGTTTGCAGATTGCTTGCCACTTTGCTAGTGTTTTCATTTGATTGTTCTATCAATTGCAGAGAAAGAGCTGATTTAATCTCATTTTCATTCCATTTTTGCTTCAAGTGTTTTTAAGCTGTATTACTAGGCATATACAATTTGTGATTATTATACTCCCTGATGAATTAACCTTTTTAACTGCAAAGGTTCTTTTTGATCTCCCATAATATTCTATGTCCTAAAATTGTTACCCTGTGTAGCTAGTCAGGTATGAGCTGGGCAGGAGAGGGCTCCCCACCGCTTCTTACACTAGGAGGGTTGAGCGAACATCAGGTGATGGTTAGGTGGTTTTTAACTGTTTCTCTAAAGTAATAACTGGTTACAGCCGATGCCAGAAAAAGGCAGTCTCCTAATACATAGAAAACAACTGAAACTGATCAGCAACTTCCTAACAAGATTTCAGGAGTGGGGAGAAGCAAGGCAAAATCCTGGAAGTATGCCTACCTATAAATCCCCAAGTCACAAGTTCAGGCTGCACACTTGGCTTCTCAAGTCACCTGCTTGGCCATCTTCTAAGTTGTACTTTCCTTCTTTTCTTTCCTTTCCTTCCTGTTCTAAAGCTTTTTAATAAACTCACTATTGCTCTAAAACTTGCCTCCATCTCTCCTTCTGCCTTATGACCCTCAGTCGAATTCTTTCTTATCAGGAGGTGAAGAGCTGAAGTTGCTGTGGGCCCGTATGGATTCGCTGCCATCAACGTAGGGTAACTCGGATCTTGTCCACTGCTAGCAAAATCAACTACGTCTGATACTGAGATAGCCACGGCAGTTTTCTTGGCCTTAGGATTTGCATGATGTATCTTTTCCCATCCACTTACTTTCAACAGACAGTATCTGTGTCTTCCTTTTAAGTCCCATCTCGTATAGACAAGATCTAGTTGAGTCTTGCTTTCTCAGCCCTTCCAACCATTTCTACCTTTGAACGGTAGTGCCCAGTGGATTTACAGTTAGTGCAATAATTGATACAGTTGAAATAGACCTGTAAGTTTACCATTTAAGCAATGATTGTCCAGTCTAATTTTTTTGCTCCTTTTTCCCCTGCACATTTTAATGTTAGTTACCTTTTAGGATTCCATTTTAATTGGATACTGCCTTTCCTTTCTTTTTTTTTTTTTTTTTTTTTTTTTTTTTTTGAGAAGGAGTCTCTCTCTGTTGCCCAGGCTGGAGTGCAGTGGCGCGATCTCGGCTCACTGCAAGCTCCGCCTCCCAAGTTCACGCCATTCTCCTGCCTCAGCCTCCCCAGCAGCTGGAAATACAATTGCCCGCCACCAGCCTGGCTAATTTTTTGTATTTTTAGTAGAGATGGGGTTTCACCGTGTTAGCCAGGATGGTCTCGATCTCCTGACCTCGTGATCTGCCCTCCTCAGCCTCCCAAAGTGCTGGGATTACAGGCGTGAGCCACCGCAACCGGCTTATTTTATTTTATTTTATTTTCTTGAGACGGAGTCTCGCTCTGTTACCAGGCTGGAGTGCAGTAGCATGATCTCGGCTCACTGCAACCGCCGCCTCCAGGGTTCAAGTGATTCTCCTACCTCAGCCTCCCAAGTAGCTGGGACTACAGGCTTGTGCCACCACACCCAGCTAATTTTTTGTATTTTTAGTAGATGGGGTTTCACCATGTTGGCCAGGATAGTCTTGATCTCTTGACCTCGTGATCCACCCACCTCAGCCTTCTAAAGTGCTGGGATTACAGGCGTGAGTTACTGCACCCAACTGGATACTGACTTTTAATGTATACATATTTCCTGATCTATGTGCAAGTGCTATAGGGAATACAGTATACACTCAAGTGTTTGTATTCTATTTGAAGTTTTTTAAAAAATGAATTTATTGGCTGGGCTCGGTGGCTCATGCCTGTAATCCCAGCACTTTGGGAGGCTGAGGCGGGCAGATCACGAGGTCAGGAGATCCAGACCATCCTGGCTAACCTGATGAAACCCCGTCTCTACTAAAAATACAAAAAAAAAAAAAATGCCGGGCATGGTGGCGGGCGCCTGTAGTCCAGCTACTCAGGAGGGTGAGGCAGGAAAATGGCATGAACCCAGGAGGCGGAGCTTGCAGTGAGCCGAGATCGCGCCACTGCACTCCAGCCTGGGCGACAGAGTGAGACTCCATCTCAAACAAAAAAAAAAAAAAAGAATTTATTGAGGTATAATGAATATAAAACAAAGTGTACATTTTTAAAATGTGTAGTTTGGTAGATTGAGATGTATGTATACACTACGAAACTATCACCACAATAAGATAATGACATGTCTACCACCCCCCAGAATGTGTTCATTCTTCAGTGTAATCCTCTCTTCTGCTTTGCTCCTATGTCCCCAGCAATGATTCTTCTGCTTTTTGTCACAATAGATTAGATTAGTTGCATTTTAATAAGAAGTGGAATCAGACGGTATGCATTCTGCTTGGATTCCTTCACATGACATGATCATTTTGAAAACCATCCCTGTGGCCATGTGCAGTAATACTGCCTTTTCATGGCTGAGTTGTGTTGCTGAATTAATTGTGTGATATTAATGTAAAGTGTAAGAGACTCGCAACAAGATGTGTCCATTCATCACCACCCAGTATTCCTAAGCCTTAACTATGCATACTTTACGAACCTCACAGCAATGTTATCATCATTGATAATACATATTTTCAAGAAACTAAGAAGAAGTAATAATCCTTTACATTTTCCCCAACTTTATATTTCTGGTGACCTTCCTTTCTTCCTTAAGATCCAGGTTTCCATTTGGTGTCAGATCTCTTCTGCCTGAAGCATTTTGTGTCCTGCAGGTCTACTAGCAATGAAGTGTCCGTGGCGTCTCCAAAATCATATTCACATTGCTAATTCTTAAAGCCACTTTATGCCCATTTGCTCCTTCTTATTTGGTAATGATCTCAGCCAAATATCAGATTATGAAAACCAGAATCCACCTTGAACTTCTTTCCTCTTCTTACCAAACCTATTGCATCACCGGCCTGCATTATCATCATCATTTCCCTCAGATCCGCCTCAGCTGCCACTTGCCTCCTTCAGGATAATGCAACCTGACCCTCACCCTAACCACTAGGACCCATCCCAAATGCTGCCCAGGCCATGTCTGAGGTCACCCACCTAATCCACTCTGCATTGGGCAAACAATGATCTCTGAAGTGCTGATCTGATGGGCGATGTCTCCGGTGAAAACTTGACAATGGTCCTGGTGACTCAGGATGTGGGTGATCCTCTGCATGCTATTCAGATCCTCTGTTCTGTCCTCAGCCTGCCTGCCACACTCCCCACCTCTCACGTTTAACACACTCTATGAGCAGGCTGAGAACGCAACATCTGCATTAGTGCAGCTTCCTAGAATCCACGTTACTCATTCATTCACTCATGGAAGAAATATAGGCGTCTGGCGACCACACATACAAGGAGCCGTGGAGTATCGGGAACACAGCATGGCCCTTCCTTTCCTTAGCACAGTTTCCATTCACAGGAGCTGAGGCACAGCCATCATTAACCCCAAAGTCCATGAACTTGTGAAGAGTCTGGAGGGGCTGCTCAGGCAGAGGTGACAAGTACCATAAGTGGCAGAGACATTAGTGGACATAGAGGGGAAAGTCCACACAGACAGAATCCCAGACAAATAGTAAGTCAAAGTAATGGGGGAGGGGAGTAAAAACAAGTGAGGTTGGGACGAGGCTGTGCAGGATGCGGGCCTCTGATTGAGGGAGAAGGGGTGTGTGGCCAGAGATGTGTGGCTGTGTCAGTCCATAGAATTTTGTCAGACTTGAACTTTTCCTGGTGTGTGTGAGTGAGTGTGTGTGTGTGAGAGAGAGAGAGAGAGAGAGAGCGCAGCATGCCAGAGGCATGGTGGAGAGAGAAGGAGAATGAGAAGGGAGGAGGGTGGAGGCTTGCTCAGGTCCTCTCCTGCAAGGCTCTGCAGATCCAGGCTTCTCCCCAGATGAGTCATTAACTGGGGGTTTCCTGGTCATGCACATCCCCCACTGGTGATGCAATAGGTAGGTGGTTGCAAAGCCCAGTGTGGCCCTCACCCTCCCTCAAGCCAAGCAGGCTCCTCTTTCCTCTGCAGGGCACACACACCCTTAAAGCTGCCAGTTGACCCTGAACTGAGCAATCACTCAGAAGACCAGACATCAACTCAGACTTGTTCTCTCAGTCTGTGGCCTGGGATCTACTTCTGAGTTTTGTGGAGTTTCTTTTTATCCCTGTACAAGACCAGGGCCAGCCACTAAAGAGCTGCAGGAGTCCGGGGAAGTCACTTCCCTTCCTCTCTAAACTTCACGTTTCTCTCTCCTGAAAACAGGAAGTGGCATTAAATGAGCTCTCAGAGGCCTCCCAGCAGTGACCCAGAATGAGGTGAGCAGCAAATTCTCCCTTGGGAAAGGCAGCAGAAGCCAGTTGGGCAGTGGGTGCTGCTCCCCTGAGGTTGGCTCACCCATCCCCCAGCCCCCCACCCCAGGAATAGCTGTGTGACCTTCAGCAAGTTACTGAGTTGATCTGTGTCTCACGTAAGAGAACCAACTTAATTATAGTTCCGGCACAGTCAGGTTGCTGTCAGAATTAAATGTGTGAATTTGTATGAAGGGATCTGAATAGAGCCTGACTTATGGGAAGTGCTGTATTTCAGCGCACACTCTGAATAGCATAATCATTACTAAAAGAATTTTTTTTTTGAGACGGGGTCTCACTCTGTCTCCCAGGCTGGAGTGCGGTGGTGTGAACACGGCTCACTACAGCCTCAACCTTCCAGGCTCAGGTGATCCTCCCACATCAGCCTCCTAAACAGCTGGGACTACAGGTGCAGGCCACTGCACCAGGCTAATTTTCTGTGGGTTTTGTTGTTGTTATTGTTTGTAGAGATGGGTTTTGCTATGTTTCCCAGGCTGGTCTTGAACTCCTGGGCTCAAGTGATCTGCCCGCCTTGGCAGGACTACAGGTGTGAGCCATTGCACCCTGCCTACCCTGGCCCATTGACTATTATGAATTAAAGGCTATTGAAAAACAGCAGGTGCATCGCTGGCAAAAGTATACTTGTGTAACGAACTTGCACATTCTGCGCATGTATTTCAGAACTTAAAGTAAAAATAAAATAATAAAGTAGGCCGGGCGTGGTGGCTCACGCCTGTAATCCCAGCACTTTGGGAGGCCGAGGCAGGTGGATCACAAGGTCAGGAGATAGAGACCAGCCTGGCTAACATGGTGAAACCCTGTCTCTACTAAAAATACAAAATTTAGCCGGGTGTGGTGGCGGGCACCTGTAGTCCCAGCTACTTGGGAGGCTGAGGCAGGAGAATGGCGTGAACCCAGGAGGCGGAGCTTGCAGTGAGCTAAGATCATGCCACTGCACTCCAGACTGGGCGACACAGCAAGACTCTGTCTCCAAAAAATTAAAAAAAAAATAATAAAGTATTCAGGGATAAAGAGAGAAAAATAAATTTAGATTGTATACATATGTAAAATATATTTTAAAAGGTAAGCTTGTCTTTTTTATTCCTTAAAGGAGCAGATATTAAAAAAAAAAGAATAGAATAACTCATCTTTTTAGCCTCCACATATTTACTTGCTTCTTCCCAAGTTACTTGGTCTAATTCAGTATATAAGTAACTGACTCTCACTGCTTTTTCTGTGCCATGTAAAACTTGCATTGTATTAATTTGTGTGCTTTTCTCCTGTGGACCTGTCTTATGTCAACTTAATTCTCAGGCCCAGCCAAAAAAAAAATACCCTTAAAGGGAGCTTAGCTTGCCTCCATGACCCTCAATGGTGGCTGTAATCAAACCACATCTTCCAGGCAAACAATACCACATCCTATGGCCTTGCAATGGCATGGCCTCCCTCCAGCACAGCCTCTCTGGAGGAGGGGGAGGCAAGGGTGGTGAGATCTCAGGCCTCCCTCATGCTACCTCCTATTAGTTATATGACCCCTGGTGTCACCTCTCCCACCACACTGTAGGCTCCAGGGAGTAGGATTCACATGGGGTTCATTTGTCCTCCCTGCCTTCAGCAGACTCCAGGCACAGGTGTTCCCAGAGTAAAGGGCTCACTGTCTGCTTCCTGGGTGAATCATTCTCCCCGCAAACCCATGAGGTGAGTGCAGTCGTGGCTTCAGCTCACCGCCTGACAGGCTCCAGGCTGTAGCACAGGGAGGGCCCTGTGGACTCTGCTGAGGAACCATACGAGCTCCCAGAGGCCAAGTGCAGGACAGAGAATAGAGAAGCAGCTGCTCAGAGAACTCTAGCCCTGTAGAGGTGCAAATATGGCTGCTATTATACAGAAGGTGAGGCCAAAAATGCTGGAGACACTGCTCCTGAATCTCAGTTTTGCCACTTGTAAAACAGGGAAAACAACCTACTCTCATGTCCCCAGGTTGTTAGGAAAATCCACTACATGAAGATGTGCAGTCTCTGGCTGGGAGCAGGACACCAGCTGCCCAACAGCACAGGCTCAGGGCATGGCACTGTCTCCACTGTCCCCATCCCCAACCTGGAAGCTAGAGCCTCGCTGCCCTGCCACTTCTGGATGCAGGACAGAGAACCGGAACTGGGACTGTGGTCTCTCAGTAGAGGCTGTGAACAGCCATCTGTGGCCACACGGATTGAGACCTTTCCTGCTCACTCTTCAAACTGGGGCACCGGCTGGGTGCCCAACAGAAAGACAATTGGAAGAGTGGCAGGTAAACCAGGCTGTGGCCCTGCAGTGCCATCACCGTCCTCATTTGAATTCTGGCTCGTCTGTTCCTCTACGGCCCCTCCGCATGGCGCTCCACCCCAGTCTTCAGAAATTTCTGCCTCAAGCTCAGGGAGCTGGTACTGAGGTACAGGTAGGAGAAGGTGCAGCCTCTGCTGAGTGGAGGACATGTGCCCTGGGGATCCAGAGTCTAGAGTGACTGACACCAGCCCTGCAATTTGTCCTCCTAGACCTGTTAACAGAGCCTGCAGAAGTTTACACAGGGCTGCTGAAGATTTTTATCCCCTCATTTTACAGGAAGGAGCTGGGGCCATACCAGAGTCAGAGCTGGACCGGGAGCACGGCAGGGCCCAGCCATCCACAGCCTCCAATTTCAGTACTCTCTAACAACCTGAGAGCCTGAGCCTTCGGATCTTCTTGATTCCTACTTTGATAAAGAGAGGGATGGGGTTGGAAGGACCTGGCATAGAGATTGGACCAGTCCGGCATTGACAGAGCCAGGACCTGGGGTCCGGAACTGAGCTCAGCTCCAGGCTCATCTGAAGTCACCCTGACAGCCTGAGGATGGAGACCTTATTTCCATTAACAGGCATGGCGGTTGGCAGGGACTGGCCCCAGCTGAGCACGGTTTTCCAAGTACACAGCTGGGAATTAAGTCTTCTCTGCCGCCCTCCCCTGTAGTCTTGCCTGGATCCCCCCAGTCATCTACTCCCAGTACCAAAAACTCCTGTATTCTTGAAAATCCGTAGTACTGAGAGGTGACAGCTTGCTGGCAGTCCTCAACAGCCCTCGCTCGCTCTCGGCGCCTCCTCTGCCTGGGCTCCCACTTTGGCGGCACTTGAGGAGCCCTTCAGCCCACCGCTGCACTGTGGGAGCCCTTTTCTGGGCTGGCCAAGGCTGGAGCCCGCTCCCTCAGCTTGCACGGAGGTGTGGAGGGAGAGGCGCGAGCGGGAACCGGGGCTGCGCGCGCGGCACTTGCGGGCCAGCTGGAGTTCCGGGTGGGCGTGGGCTCGGCGGGCCCTGCACTCGGAGCAGCCGGCCGGCCCTGCCGGCCCCGGGCAATGAGGGGTTTAGCACCCGGGCCAGCGGCTGCGGAGGGTGTACTGGGTCCCCCAGCAGTGCCGGCCCACTGGCGCTGCGCTTGATTTCTCGCCGGGCCTTAGCTGCCTTCCCGACGGGCAGGGCTCGGGACCGCCATGCCTGAGCCTCTCACCCCCTCCGTGGGCTCCTGTGCAGCCGGAGCCTCCCCGACGAGCACCTCCCCCTGCTCCAGGGCGCCCAGTCCCATCGACCACCCAAGGGCTGAGGAGTGCGGGCGCACGGCGCGGGAGCACGGCGCGGGACTGGCAGGCAGCTCCACCTGCAACCCCGGTGCGGGATCCACTGGGTGACGACACCTGGGCTCCTGAGTCTGGTGGGGACGTGGAGAACCTTTATGTTTAGCTAAGGGATTGTAAATACACCAATTGGCACTGTGTATCTAGCTCAAGTTTTGTAAACACACCAATCAGCACCGTGTGTCTAGCTCAGGGTTTGTGAATGCACCAATTGACACTCTGTATCTAGCTAGTCTGGTGGGGCCTTGGAGAACCTTTGTGTCCACACTCTGTATCTAGCTAATCTGGTGGGGAAGTGGAGAACATTTGTGTCTAGCTCAGGGATTGTAAACCACCAATCAGCGCCCTGTCAAAACAGACCACTCCGCTCTACCAATCAGCAGGGTGTGGGTGGGGCCAGATAAGAGAATAAAAGCAGGCTGCCAGAGCCAGCAGTGGTAACACTGTGGAAGCTTCCTTCTTTCCCTCTGCAATAAATCTTGCTACTGCTCACTCTTTGGGTCCACACTGCCTTTATGAGCTGTAACACTCACCTTGAAGGTCTGCAGCTTCACTCTTGAAGCCAGCGAGACCACGAGCCCACCAGGAGGAAAGAACAACTCCAGACCCACTGCCTTAAGAGCTGTAACACTCACTGGGAAGGTCTGCAGCTTCACTCCTGAGCCAGTGAGACCACGAACCCACCAGAAGGAAGAAACTCCGAACACATCCGAACATCAGAAGGAACAAACTCCAGACACGCCGCCTTTAAGAACTGTAACACTCACCGCGAGGGTCCGAGGCTTCATTCTTGAAGGCAGTGAGACCAAGAACCCACCAATTCCGGACACAGTACCATGAAGGAATGAAAATACATAACAATGTGATGTATCATGTTTTATTTCCTAGACTAGTGACAAATGAAAGCTAAGTGTAGCAAGGGTGCAGGGACACAGGCACATTTGTGGACTAGGTGTGAGTGTAAGCTGGGTTCGATGGTCTTTTGGCCAACATAGTGAACCCCTGTGTCTACTAAAAATACAAAAATTAGCCAGGCGTGGTGGTGCAGGCCTGTAGTCCCAGCTACATGGGAGGCTGAGGTGGGAGTATCGCTTGAACCTGGGAGACGGAAGTTGCAGTGAGCCGGGATCACACCACCGCTCACCAATCTGAGCCACAGAGAGACTGTCTCAAAAAATAAACCACAAGGAAGGGAGGTAGGGGGAGGGGGAGGGAGGGAGGAAAGAGAAAGAGAGAAAGGAAGGAAAGAGAAAGCAGGAAGGACGGAAAGAAGACGAAAGAACGAAAGAAAACGAAAGAAAAAAGGAAAGAAGAGAGAAGGAGAGAACAGAAGGGGCAGGTGCCCCTGGGAAGGGGAGAAGATCAAGACGCGCCTGGAAAGCGGACTCTGAACCTCAAGACCCTGTTCACAGCCAAGCGCGCGACCCCGGGAGGCGTCAACTCCCCAAGTGCCTCCCTCAACTCATTTCCCCCAAGTTTCGGTGCCTGTCCTGGCGCGGACAGGACCCAGAAACAAACCACAGCCCGGGGCGCAGCCGCCAGGGCGAAGGTTAGTTCCGGTCCCTTCCCCTCCCCTCCCCACTTGGACGCGCTTGCGGAGGATTGCGTTGACGAGACTCTTATTTATTGTCACCAACCTGTGGTGGAATTTGCAGTTGCACATTGGATCTGATTCGCCCCGCCCCGAATGACGCCTGCCCGGAGGCAGTGAAAGTACAGCCGCGCCGCCCCAAGTCAGCCTGGACACATAAATCAGCACGCGGCCGGAGAACCCCGCAATCTCTGCGCCCACAAAATACACCGACGATGCCCGATCTACTTTAAGGGCTGAAACCCACGGGCCTGAGAGACTATAAGAGCGTTCCCTACCGCCATGGAACAACGGGGACAGAACGCCCCGGCCGCTTCGGGGGCCCGGAAAAGGCACGGCCCAGGACCCAGGGAGGCGCGGGGAGCCAGGCCTGGGCCCCGGGTCCCCAAGACCCTTGTGCTCGTTGTCGCCGCGGTCCTGCTGTTGGTGAGTCCCCGCCGCGGTCCCTGGCTGGGGAAGAGCGTGCCTGGCGCCTGGAGAGGGCAGGGAGAGAGGGGGACACGGCGGGGGTGCGTGGCCCGGGTCGCCTGCGGCCGGGCATGTCCGGGCAAGACGCACCAGTCGTCGGAGTCGGGGGAAGAGATGGGTCCCCGGGTTGGGCAGGAGCGACCTGGGCCGCCAGGGAACAGAGCGCGCGCTCCACTTGGTGTAAATTCCCGAATCCAGTGGGGGAGGGCGACAAGGAGGGAATTCCCGAGTAAGCTGCGTGAAGCCACGGAGAGGTCGTCGGACTTTGATTTTGTTTTCTTTCCTTACTTTCTGTTTCTTTCTCTTTTTCTCTTTCTTCCTTTCTTTCCCTCCCTTCCTTCCTCGCTCAGTTCCTGCCTTAATTTCTTTTTCTTTTGCGCCTTCGAATGAATTCCTAAAGGCGCTCATTGCAGATCGCTTTGAACCTGCGGCCGGCGAAGAACTCCCCTGTGGTCGCTGCGGCCCAGTGGTTCCGTTCCGTGCGCGGGAGTCGTCGCGGGCGCAGCTGGAGAGGCCCCTTCCCCTCCTTAGCGGCTGCGCCCCTACGCGTGCGGGGCCGCTCATCGCCAATGCCATTGTTTGGGGTTCCTTGGGAAAACGAGATTTAGGAGAAGGGAGTTGTGGCACTTGGGGCCTGACCTGCTTGATAATAGCAGCTGCATTTTGGCCTGGGAAGAGCCTTTCTTGCCACCTCTTGGCAAGTATCCGTGATAATGGGGAAGGGACAAAGAGTCGGCTTTGTAGGGAACAGCATGGTGTGCTCAGCGCCTGGAACTGCGCTTGGGGCCAGGAGAGGTTCTGAATCATCACATTTTACAGAGGAAGAGACCGCAGCTCAGAGTGGGGAAGTGTGTGGGCCTAGACCTAACTCAAGACTGTACAGAGGGGCTGGAAGGGAGAGGAGGAACAGTGAAAGGAAGGTCAAGAGAATGCTGGTGTTGACCTAGAAGAATGTCAGTGTGAAGCATTGGAGTTTCATGGGATATTGTTACACACCTCATGTTTTCACTGTTTCCGCCCCACACCACAGTATGTCCTTGGTCTCACCTCTGAGTGGAGGGAGGACCTAACTGTCCTAGTGAGGAGAGTGTACAGGGGCCTCTGCCTCCCCCTCCTGCTGTGGTTTCTGTGGGCCTAGGTCCCCAGGGCATCTTGCCTCTCTTTGGGTGGTGGATCTTTGGTCTCTGGCTGCTTTTAAAGATTTTTCTTAGCACTGGTTTGCAGTGATTTGGTTTGTTTGCTCTGTTGTGGGGTTTTTTTTTTATCTCTATAAAGAATTTTTTGGATTTTTGGCTTTAGACTTTCATGTTCTTTCTACTTGGAAGATTTTTCTGTAAAGAAAGCCACAACTGGGTTGTGTTGAATTTCTTGGATTTGGGGTTTTAGAGTTTATGTTCTCCTTGGAGACTTTTCTGTAAAGAAAGCCACAACAGCCGGGTCTGGTAGCTCATGCCTGTAATCCCAGCACTTTGGGAGGCCGAGGCGGGCAGATCACATGAGGTCAGGGATTCGAGACCAGCCTGACCAACATGGTGAAACCCCGTCTCTACTAAAAATACAAAATTAGCTGGGTGTGGTGGTGGGCACCTGCAATCCCAGCTACTTGGGAGGTTGAGGCAGGAGAATCACTTGAACCTGGGAGGCAGAAGTTGCAGTGAGCAGAGATGGCGCCACTGCACTCCAGCCTGGGAGACAAGAGCAAGACTCCAACTCAAAAAAAAGAAAGAAAGAAAGCCACAACAGAGTTATGTTGAATTTCTTGGATTTGGGGTTTTAGAGTTTATGTTTTTGTTTGTTTGTTTGTTTGTTTTGAGATGGAGTCTTGCCTCTGTCGCCTAGGCTGGAGTGCAGTGGTGGGATCTCAGCTCACTGCAACCTCTGCCTCCTGGGTTCACGCCATTCTCCTGCCTCAGCATCCCGTGTAGCTGGGACTACAGGCATGCACCACCACGCCCAGCGAACTTTTTGTATTTTTAGTAGAGACGGGGTTTCACCGTGTTAGCCAGGATGGTCTGGCTCGTGATCTGCCCGCCTCAGCCTCCCAAAATGCTGGGATTACAGGGGTGAGCCACCACGCCCAGCCGAGTTTATGTTCTACTTGGAAGATTTTCAGCCATTATTTCTTCAAATACTCTGTCTCTTCTGGTGACTGAGATCTTATTATATTTACGTTAGAATGTTAGATTTTGTATCAGAGCTAACTTAGTATCTGTTCTTTTTTTTCCCCCATCATTTTCTATGTTTCACTTTGGACATTTCCCTGTGAGGGCTCTTCAAGTTCATTGATCTGCTTCTGCAGAATCTAACCTGCTGTTAATCTCATCTACTGTATATCAGATATATATTTTTTGAACTTTAGAAGTTCTCTTTTGGCATTTTTAATATCTTCCATCTATTTCCTGGTCATCTTTGTGTTTTTCTTTTTTGAGACAGGGTCTTACTCTGTCACCCAGGCTGGAGTGCAGTGGCACAGTCAGAGTTCACTGCAGCCTCAACCTCTTGGGCTCAAGTGATCCTCCCACCTCGGCCTCCCAAGTAGCTGGGACCACAGGCACTTGCAACCACACCTGGCTAATTTTTGTATTTTTAGTAGAGACGGGGTTTCACCATGTTGCCCAGGCTGGTCTCAAACTCCTGCGCTCAAGGAATCCTCCCACCTTGTCCTCCCAAAGTATTGGGATTACAGGCCTGAGCCACCGTGCGCAACCTATGATTTTGGTGGTGGTGTTTTTTGTTTTTCTGTTTTTTAAATATTCTTGAGTATATTTGTAAGCTTTAGATGACCTGTTTTAAGTTATTTAATCTATCAACACCATTATATCTGTTATTACGGCCACTGTTTCTGTTGATTACATTTTTTTTCCTGCCCATAGGGACTTTTTTTTTCATGCATAGTAATTTCTTATTGCTTGACATTGTGAATTTTGCTTTCTTGGGTACCGAACATCACTGTGTTCTTTCAAAGTCTATTGGGCATTATTCTGGTCACAGAAAACTGAGGATCAGTTTGCTCCTCTGATACTAGCTTTTATCTACATATAACTATATACCTTGTGTTCAGTTGCCTTATTCAGGGGCTCATTTAGTTAACTACTAAAGTTATAGTGGTTGACTTCTGATGGTAACTCGCCAGCACCCTGGCATGCGTTCTGTCCACTGTGGGAAGGGGAACATGCAGATCTCCCAGCCCTGAGTGGTCCACAATCTAGTCTCTCCTTCCCTGGGTGGCTTCTTCTCAGGCACCTAGAGTCAGTCTCAGCAGACACTGGACATGTCTTCTGCAAGGATCCAGAGTCCTCCAGGCAGCTGCTTCTCCCAGTCTCTGCCCTGCACTTGGCCTCTGGGAGTTCCTGCCTGTGGTTCTCAACAGAGACTACAGAGCTCTACAGGGTCCTCTGCCCCTGCTGTAGCTGGAGGCTGTCCTTACGCAGTGAGCTGAGGCCACAGCTAGTCTCACTGCATGTGCTTGGCGGCGGGGACAGGAGTGATTCATTCATCAGGTAGAGGAGGAACCCTTTACTCTGGGAAAATCTGTGCCTGGGTTGGGGAAGGACAAATGAGCCCTGTGTGAATACTGACTACTCCCTGGAGCCCACAGTCTGGTGGAGCAGGTGACAGCAGGGACCTAAATAACTATCAGGAAGCATGAGGTCCCACCACTGTCACCTCCCCCACCTCCAGAGTGGCTGTGCTGGCTCCAGAGATGTCATCCCTCCATATTTGACTGACAGAGGGAGGCTGTGCAGTCCCAAGGCTCCAGGTCATGGTAGTTTGGCCAGGATAATATGGTTTGCTTAAAATCAACATTGAGGGTAATGATCGTACTAATCAGAGCATGTGTTTAAAGTTCTGTGTTTTAAGCACTTTCCATACATATTAACACTTTCAGTTCACACAACAACCTATGCAGGAACTGTGATTATCCTGGGCAGTTTTAAGGATGTGGGTGACTCAGAGAGGAAAGAAGAGGTTACTCGGGTTAATTTTTGACGAGAAATATTAGCAGGTTTTATGCTCAAACTTGGTGTAAAGCAAGGAGCCTGAATCACAGGTGGGTGAGTCACAAGACAGGGAAACCCCGCCAATGGCTCATGTCCGGGAGGAGGCAGGGTCCCTAGAATTCAATGGGACAAGAACTGAAATAAGCCAAACCCCTGACCTCCCTTCTTCTTGTTTTCCTTCTCTCTCTTAACCATGCCCATGGACACCCCCATGAGCCCATTTCTGTGGCCCAACACAGCTGTGCATCTCTGGCCACACGCCCATTCTCCCTCAATCAGAGAGGCCCACGGACGGCACAGCCTCGTCCTGCACAGCAGAAAGAGTGAATGGTGATGAATGGATCTATATTATTTCAACTCTCCTACATTTTGTAATCATATTACAATATTAATTCAGCAGTACCTCTCTTGTTTTTACTCCCCTCCCCCATTACACTGGATTCCTGTCTGTCTGGGATTCTGTCTGTGTGCACTCTTTCCTCTATGTCCACTACTGTCCCTGCCACCGATGGCATTTGTCACCTCTGCCTGGGCAGCCCCTCCAGACTCTTTGCAAGTTCATGGACTTTGGGGTTAATGATGGCTGTGCCTCAGCTCCTGTGAATGGAAACTGTGCTAAGGAAAGGAAGGGCCGTGCCATGTTCCCGATACTCCACGGCTCCTTGCATATGCGGTCGCCAGGCGCCTACATGCCTTCCATGAATGAATGAATGAGTAACGTGGATTCTAGGAAGCTGCACTAACCCAGACGTTGTGTCCTCAGCCTGCTCATAGAGTGTGTTAAACGTGAGAGGTGGGGAGTGTGGCAGGCAGGCTGAGGACAGAACAGAGGATCTGAATAGAGTACGGAGGATCACCCAAGTCCAGAGTCACCAAGGCCATTGTCAAGTTTTCCCCGGGGACATCCCTCATCAGATCCACCCATTAAAGATCATTGTTCACCCAGTGGAGAGTGGACTAGGTGGGTGCACTCAGGTGTGGCCTGGACAGCATTCGGGATGGGTCCTAGTGGTTAGGGTGAGGGTCAGGTTGCATTATCGTGAAGGAGGCAAGTGGCAGCTGAGGCAGATCTGAGGGAAATGATGATAACGCAGGCCGGTGATGCAATGGGTTTGGTAAGAAGAGGAAAGAGGTTTGTGGTGGATTCTAGTGTTTCTAATCTGAGACTTGGGTGAGGTCATTACCAAATAAGAAAGAGTAAATGGGCATAAATGGCTTTAAGAATTAGGAACCTGAATGTGCTATTGGAGACAGTATGGGCACGTCATTGCTCATAGACCTGCAGTACACAAAATGCTAAAAGATTTCAATCTGAATAGAGATGAAATGAAATGGAAACATGGATTTTTTTTTTTTTTTTTGAGACAGTTTCACTGTTGCTGCCCAGGCTGGAGTGCAATGGCGCAATCTCGGCTCACTGCAACCTCTGCCTCCTGGGTTCAAGCGATTCTCCTGCCTCAGCCTCCTGAACAGCTGGGATTACAGGCGCTTGCCACCACACCCAGCTAATTTTTGTATTTTTAGTAGAGACCGGGTTTCACCATGTTGGCCAGGCCAGTCTCAAACTACTGACCTCAGGAGATCCACCGCCTTGGCCTCCCAAAGTGCTGGGATTACAGGCATGAGCCACCTTGCCTGGCTGGGAACATGGATCTTAAGGAAAGAAGGAAGATCATCAGGAATAGAAATATGAATGCACATATAAAGAATGATTATTTCCTCTTAATTTCTTGAAAATATTCACTATCAAGTAATATAACACTTTGTAGGGTTTGTAACATATGAACATGCCTGAGACAACTATAGCAGAAAGAATGAGTAGTGGAGATGAATCAATCTGTATTATTTCAAGTCTCCTACATTTTATAATATTACCATATTAATTCTGCCATACAACTCAGTAATGAAAAGGAATGGAGTACTGATGCATATGAAAATATGACCGAATTTCAAAATAATTATGCTGAGTTAAAGAAACCAGACAGAAAAGCATATATAGTATCTGATTCCATCTATGATATTTATAGCCAGAAATGGTTTAATTAAAAAAGAAGAAGGATCTTAAATCAACGAGCTAAGTTTACAAATGTAGGAATTAGAAAAAGAATGAACCAAACCTAGAGTTAGCATTATAAAGGAAATAATTATTAGAAGAGAAATAAATAAAACAGAGAATAGAAAAACAGTAGAGGCCGGATGTGATGGCTCACGCCTATAATCCCAGCACTTTGCGAGGCCAAGACAGGAGGATTGCTTGAAGCCAGGAGTTTGAGACCAGCCTGGATATGGCAAAACCCTGTCTCTACAAAAAATATAAAAAGCAGCCTGGCCCGGGGGAGCACACCTGTGATCCCAGTTACTCGGGAGGCTGAGGTGGGAGGATCACTTGAGCCCCGGAGATGTAGGTTGCAGTGAGCCAAGATCACATCACTGCACTCCAGCCTGGGCAACAGAGTGAGACTCTGTCTCAAAGAAAGAAAGAAAAAGAAAAAAGAAAAACCATAGAGAAAATCCACAAAACCAACATTGATTCTTCAATACTATTAATTAAACTGACAGAATTCACTAGTGAATTCTAACAAGCTTTTAATGAAGAGCTAATACCACTACTTCTCAAACTCTTTCAAAAACTTGAAGAGAAGGGAACCTTTCTTGACTCTTTCTGTAAGGCCAGCATTGCTCTGATACCCAAGCAGATAAAGATATTACAAGAAAATAAAGCTATATCCCAGTATCCCTAACTGATGCAAAAATCTTCAACAAAATACTATCAGAGAGAATTCAACAGTACCTTAGATGGATTATACACCATGACCAAGTTGGATTTATTTCCGGAATGCAAGAATGTTTGAACAAATGAAAACTGAACAATGTAATACATTGCATTAATAGAATGAAGGGGGAAAAAGACACATGATCATCTGAGTTGATACAGGGAAAGCCTCTGATAAAATTCAAAGCCCTTTCATGATGAAAACACCCAGCAAACTAAGAATAGAAGAAAACTTCCACAACATCATAAAAGCCATGTAAGAAAACCCCACAGCTAACATCATACTCAGTGTTGAAAGACGGAAAGCTTTTCCTTTAAGATTAAGAACAACATAAGGATATCTACCCACCTTTGCCACTCAGCATAGTACTGGAAGTTCTAGCCAAAACAGGCAAGAAAAAGAAATAAGAGCATCTGGACTGTAAAGGAAAAAGTAAAATAATCTGTGTTTTCAGATGATATGATCTTACTGGTAAAAAATCCAAAAGATTTCACAAAAAATTAAACTGCCAAAAATAAAATAATATTAAATTTTTAAAATTTTGAAATTTATTGTTGTTCAGTAAAAGACAGTACAGATTGCAATCTGGGAGATTTCAAACCAAGTGGTAAGAAACTTGCCTTACAGCAGGTATAGTACAGGCTATAAAGGAGGATGTATTTTGACAATTTCATGATTGACTTATAAATTTATATTCTTTTTAAAGGCAATCAGAGCTGTTTAAGCTGATTTTTCTATAGCTGCTTGATTTAACTTCACTGAACCATATTATGTCATGATGAAGGTGTAAAACTTATATTTTGTGGGATTTTTTATGATTATAGCTAATGTTTCAGGGATATCAGGATGTCTTAAGTTTTGGCTACATGGTTATGGGTAATTGCCGTGGGGTATATCTAAACTGTGTTTTTAATTTTTATTTAGTAGTACTAAAATGAATTCATCAAAGAAGCGGAATACAAAATCAACTGGAAAAGTCAATTGCATTTCTATACACTACCAATGAACAATTCAAAAAAAGAAATTAGGAAAAAATCCATTTACAATAGTATCAAAAATAATAAAATAGGAGTAAACTCACCAAGGAGGTGGAAGACTAGTACAATGAAAACTATAAAACATTACTGAAAGTAATTAAAGAATACAAAAATAAATGGAAAGATATGCCATGATTATGAATTATAAGACTAATTATGTCAACATTTCCTAAAGTGATCTATACATTCAATGTAATCTCTATCAAAATCCCAAGGACATTTTTGCAGAAATGAAAAAATGTATCCTAAAATTCATATGGAATTTCTAGGGACCAGAATATCCAAAACAATCTTGAAAATGAATAAAAATGTAGTAGGATTCACACTTCCTGATTTTCAAAACTTCCTACAAAGCTGCAGTAATCAAAACAGGATGGTACTGACATAAAAGCAGATAAATCGATCAGTGGAATAGAATAGAGGAGCCAGAAATAAACACTCACATATATGGCCAAATTATTTTTCACAAGGATGCCAAGACTGTTGAATGGAGGAAAGGGCCGTCTTTTCAATGAAGGGGGCTAGGAGAACCGGATATCCACATTCAAAAGAATGAAGTGAACCTTAGCCTAACATTGTATTTAAAAAATAGCTAAAAACAAATAAAAGATGTAAATGTAAGTGCTAAAGCTATAGAACTCTTGAAAGAAAATATAGGATAAAAATTCTGTGACATTGGATTTGGCAATAATTTCTTGGATGTGACACCATGGACATAGGCAACAAAAGAAAAAATAAACATTTTGGACTTCTTGAAAATCAGTAACTCTTGTGAATCAAAAGATACTATTAACTGGATAAAAAGGCAAAACCCACAGAATGAGAGAAAATATTTTAAGTTATATATCTGATAAGGGCTTAATATCTAAAATATATAAAGAATTCCTACGATCTAACAAAACAAAAACAACCCAGTTAAAAATGGGCAACTGATTTTTATAAACATTTCTCCAAAGCAAATATACAAATGGTCAATAAGTATATGAAAAGATACTTTAATCACTAATCATTAGGGAACTGCTGGTCAAAACGACAGAGATACCATCCTATACCCATCAGGATGACTATTATAAAAAACACACACAGGCCGGGTGCGGTGGCTCATGCCTGTAATCCCCACACTTTGGGAGGCCAAGGCAGGCGGATCACGAGGTCAGGAGATTGAGACCATCCTGGCTAACATGGTGAGACCCCGTCTCCACTAAAAAAAAAATACAAAAAAATTAGCCCGGCGTGGTGGCAGGCGCCTGTAGTCCCAGCTACTTGGGAGGATGAGGCAGGAGAATGGCGTGAACCCAGGAGGCGGAGCTTGCAGTGAGCTGAGATGGCACCACTGCACTCCAGCCTGGGCGACAGAACGAGACTCTGTCTCAAAAAACAAAAACAACACACACACACAATAAGCATTAGCAAATTTGTAGAGAAGTTGGAACCCTCGTGCCCTGTTAATGGGAATGTAAAATGGTGCAGCCACTATGGAAAACAGTATGATAGTTCCTCAAAAGTAAAAACAGGATTAGCAGATGATCCATCATTCCCACTTCTAGGTATACGTCCAAAAGAATTGAAAGCATGGTTTCAAACAGATATTTGTACACCCACGTTTATAGCAGTATTATTCACAATAGCCAAAAAGTGGAAGAAACTCAAGTTGGACAGATCAATAGATAATGTGGTATATTCATACAATGGAGTATTACTCAGCCTTGAAAAGGAAGGAAATACTGGCACATGCTACACAATGGATGAACATTAAAGACATGCTCAGTAAAATGCCATTCATAAAAGGACAAATGAAATAGGATTCCACTTGAGGTACCTAATGTAGTCAAATTCATAAAAACCAACAGTAGAATGTTGGATGCCAGCGGTTGTAAGGAGGGAAGAATGGGAAGATGAAATAACTTCTGAGGATGGATAGTTGTGATTATTGCACAACAACATTAATAAATGTAGTGTCACTGAACTATGTATTTTAAAAGATTAAAAGATAAGTTTCATGTTATATATAATTTACCTTAGTTTTAGATTTAAAAAAACAGCATTTATTTTAGTCACTATAACAATTACACATAAAATGGAAATATTGTTGATTTAAAAAGCCAATGCACAAGCTGGGCACGGCGGCTCACACCTGTAATCCCAGCACTTTGGGAGGGTGAAGCGAGCAGATCACCTGAGATTGGGAGTTCAAGATCACCCTAACCAACACGGAGAAACCCCATCTCTACTAATAATACAAAATTAGCTGGGCATTGTGATGCATGCCTGTAGTCCCAGCTACTCGGGAAGCTGAGGCAGGAGAATCGCTTGAACCTGGGAGGCAGAGGTTGTGGTGAGCCGAGATTGTGCCATGGCACTCCAGCCTGGGCAACAAGAGTGAAAATCCATCTGAAAAAAAAAAAGCCAATACACAATTAAAATGGGATTCTAAAACATACTCAATTAACATTAAATATACAGGTAAGAAGGAACAGGTAAAAAATAGAATGGACAAAAATTGGTAAAATTATAGAACTATTTTGGCTATAGTAATAATTACACTAACTGTAAATCCACCAAACACTATAACTCAAAGGTAGATATGGTTAGAAGGATGAAAAAGCAAGACTTAACTACATAATGTTTATAAGAGATGGAATTTTTTTTTGAGACAGAGTCTTGGTCTATTACCCAGGCTGGAGTGCAGTGGCGAGATGTCAGCTCACTGAAACCTCCTCCTCCTGGGTTCAAGCGATTCTCCTGCCTCAGCCTCCCAAGTAGCTGGGATTACAGGCATGCATCACCATGCCCGGCTAATTTTTGTATTTTTAGTAGAGATGGGGTTTCACCATGTTGGCCAGTCTGGTCTCGAACTCCTGACCTCAGGTGATCTGCCCGCCTCGGCCTCCCCAAGTGCTGGGATTACAGGCATGAACCATTGTGCCCAGCCAAGAGATGGAATTTAAAAGCAAAATGCAGGTATAGTAGGAGCAAATGGATGAAAATAGATATACCATTCAAGTAATAAGCCTAAGAAAACTGCTGTGGCTATCTTAATATCATATGAGGTGGATTTTAAGGTAAAGAATATTATAAGACATGAAAAGGGACCTTTGTAGTGTTAAGAGAGTTAATTCATCTGGTAGACATAATAATCATAAGATATATGTCCTCAATAATAGAGCTTCAAAATAAATGAAGCAAAAATTTACCCAGCACTTTGGGAGGCCAAGGTAGGCGGATTCACCTGAGGTCAGGAGTTCAAGACCAGCTTAGCCAAAATAGAGAAACTTGTCTCTACTAAAAATACAAAAATCAGCCAGGTGTGGTGTCATACACCTGTAATCCCAGCTACTGGGGAGGCTAAGGTAGGAGAATCACTTGAACCCAGGAGGCGGAGGTTGCAGTGAGCCGAGATCATGCCACAGCACTCTAGCCTGGGCAACAGAGTGAGACTCCAATCTCAAAAAAAAAAAAAAAAAAAATTACAGAATTCAGAGGAAATTATAATACACTGTTCTAAGCAATTAATGGAATGGTTTGACAAAAATATTAGTAAAGTCATAAAAGGGCCAGGCGCGGTGGCTCACGCCTGTAATCCCAGCACTTTGGGAGGCTGAGGCAGGTGGATCACAAGGTCAGGAGATTGAGACCATCCTGGCTAACACAGTGAAACCCCATCTCTACTGAAAATACAAAAATGAGCCGGGCATGGTGGGTGGTGGTGGGCTCCTGTAGTCCCAGCTACTCGGGAGGCTGAGGCAGGAGAATGGCATGAACCTGGGACGCAGAGCTTGCAGTGAGCCAAGATTGCACCACTGCACTCCATCCAGCCTGGGCAACAGAGTGAGACTCCGTCTCAAAAAAAAAAAAAAAAAGTCATAAAAGATCTGAACCACCTTGACTTAATTGACATTTATAAGAGGACACATGCATCTACTGAAAACTCATTCTCTTCTAGTGAAGATGGTACCCTCACTCATTTTATAGCCCATATTCTGGGCTATAAAATAAGTCTAAGTAAAGTCTCTTTTAAAAAAGAGAACTCATATATGTTCTCTGATCTCAATGAAATTCAATTGGAAATAGATAACAATGTCTAGAAAGACCTCCAAATTTGGATGCTAAGCAACACACTTATAAATAATCCATGGTTCAAAGGAGAAATTAAAAGCTAATACAAAAATATTTCAAAATATAATGAAGGTTTAATGCATCAAAACTTGTGGGAAGCTATTAATATGGTTCTCTTTTTTTTTTTTTTGAGATGGAGTCTTGCTCTGTTGCCCAGGCTAGAATGCAGTGGCACAATCTTGGCTCATTGTAACCTCCACCTCCCTGGTTCAAGGGATCCTCCTGCCTCAGCCTCCTGAGTAGCTGGGATTACAGGCATGCCCCACCATGCCCGGCTAATTTTTGTATTTTTAGTAGAGACAGGGTTTCACCATGTTGGTCAGGCTGGTCTCAAACTCCTGCCCTCAAATGATCGCCCGCCTCGGCCTCCCAAAATGCTGGGATTACAGGCGTGAGCCACACTTAACTTCACATTTCATAATTCCTGAGTCTTATCAGGCAAAAACAAGTCCTGAAAAAACAAAGTAAATCTACTTATTATAGTAGGGCAGATAATACAAAGTTGGGCATTAAGGTAATATCGTATTTATAGTTTTAAAGCTGATGACTCTATAAGGACAGTATGTGCTTCAGTGAAATTATAAACATGAAAACTCTGCTTTCAGTTCTTTTGGATACATACCCAGAAGTGGGATTGCTGGATCATCTGGTAATTCTACTTTTAATTTTTTGAGGAACAACCATACTGTTCCTGGACCAAACTGAGGGTCGGGCTGCTATTTCTTGCCACCCATTAATGAGATGCCAATGAACTGGGAAGAAAGAGTTTTTATTTCTGTAGCTGGTTACAGGGAGAAGGCCTGGAAATTATCGCCAGACCAACTCAAAATTACAAAGTGTTTCAGAGCTTATATCCTTTCTAACCTATATGTCTACATGTAAGTGTGCATTCATCTAAAGACATAAGTGATTAACTTCTTTTAATCTATAACTAAGGTCTGAGTCCTGAAGACCTTCCTGTGGAGCCTCAGTAAATTTACTTAATCTAAATGGGTCCAGGTGCTGGGGTGATTACCCTGCTAAACCATGGAGGTTTGGGGAGTTCCTTCAAACCTCCAATACCCTTGTTTGTGGAGGCCTGGGGAGTTTCTTCAAAACCCCCAATAAAACTTGTTTAATCCTAAATGGGTCCTGTTATGAATTCCTCCATTATTTTGTCATGCTTTAAGGCCCAGGAAAGGCCTAAGCAAAACTCTTGATGGGCTTTTGTTACATTCCAGCCTTTGTATAAGGGCACTGGCTTTTTTTTTTTTTTTTTTAAGCATTTAATAGTTAACTTAAGCACTTGATTAGTACTGAAACAGTTGTGATGGAGGCCTGCATTAGTGAAACCTGGCCTGCTACAATCCCCACTGTCAATTTGCGCATGATTTCTATCATGCTTGTGTATTTATTTATCATGAGAATCGTAGGGAGATGGGGTGTCATAATCTTTCTGGCTACTTTCAGCTGAGAGAGGGTCATTGTTATGGGGCACCAAATGCAGTACTGGAGTGGAGGAGGTTGATTTGTTCCCGGTAGCACTGTCTATTTTAGGGGCTTAGAGAGAGTGCCTGCTGAAACACCTAGTTTTCAGTTCACAGGGCTTTAAGAAAGCAAAGCTTAGGTTTCAGTGATTTCCAGTTAGGGAAAATGGAGAAAAAGGAAAAGAAAAAGGAAAAAATTGAAAACATTTTGAGACTTGCAGCCAGAAAAATTAGAATTTAATCCAAACTGTAGAAAATAATAAAAACTGAAAAACATCGAGGAAGACTAGAATTTAACAGGTGTAACTATAATTTTTGAAACATAATTTTTCTCTCTTGTTTCCCATTTTTATTAAAAGACAAATCATGGTAGGACTGGTTTGCTTTATTATACTTGGCCTAATTACTTATATACCGTGCAGCAAGAATAATTATTTTTTACATAGGCGTTTTAAATGGGCTTTGATGGAACTTTGTTCCATAGCAGGAATCTGAGATAAGACCTTTTTAAAGCCGAGCCCAACCATGGATTTATACCATCAAATACCTATGAGTTGGGTGAATTCCTCTCTTCTTGAGGTTCCAAGATAACTTGGGGTTCCTGGCCTGTCAGAAAGTGACATTCTTTACTTACCACAGGTCAGAAACCCTGTACAGGGTCTATGTACACAAATTATGAGGCCAGTTTCCAAGGGCTTTCTTGGCTTCCTAAGTCAAGTTTGATTCCTTAAAGGAGAGCAAAGTCAAAGCCTTGGTAAAATAACCAGTTTTTCCAATTGTGTCCTGTTACAAAAGAAAACAGATTCTTACTGCACTTATGCAAATAACTATATTGCCATAACTTAAGAATACTCACAGTTTCGAAATTCTGGAGAAAATCAGGTAGAGAGAAACAAATATGCTCCAAATTTTGTTCATAGGAGTATACTGTACTTAAATGTTAAAAGGTGTTAATAGCTCAAAAGAAAAGTTTCCTTGCCTCTGAAAAGCAAAACAAAGGATTAGCAACATTTTAAGCCGAAAGTCAAAAAGATCACTTCAGTCTCCTATTAGTTCAGTTCATGCAGTTAATTCCTGTCCTGTTTGATATTAATGAACATTTTAACTCTTCAAGAGTCATCAACGTTTTTCCTCTATTTTGATGTCACAATCTCCAAAGTTATCAGAAACCTGCATTCAAGAGCACCTGTTAGAGCTTTACAGCTGATTATAAAACCACCTTCTAAAGAGGACCAAAACAAGACAGACAACAATTATTTATGGAGGACAAAAGGTTTTAGGGTAGCCATAGTTAAAGACACAATTGATGACAAGGGTATCTGTTACCTCTGTGGCACACAATAATTTTAACATAACAATTATAATTATTAATGATAACATACACTAAGATATATCAGAATTATAGGAGTCTTCCATAACTTTGGAACACATACCAATAATATATTTATGCACATACAGCCCAAAGAAAGCCAAACACCATTTCATGTTTGACAATGCTTCCTGTATAATTTTATATCAAATAAGCCACATTTCACCTTTACATTAGTGTACTATTAATGTTAAATCCAATTTTTAATAAAACCTTATAGACACATTTACCCAATTTTAATGTTTGACCATAAAGTAAGAGTTTTATAGACCTTTCATAACTCTTTACAATTTTTGTTAAACAGAAGGTTAGTGCTCTAAGAGAAACCCATTGTGCTTTTATTTTAATGCTCAATTTACAGAAAAACTGGATGATATCCCTTTAATTTTAGCCAATACATTTACACACAGAATTGTCTTTACAATTACCCTTCCACAGCTTGCTTAAACTTTCATTTTTATTTTATCCAACTTAAAACAATCCTTTAACCTTTTAATCTAGTAAAAAATATCCACATTCTCATGCCTCCTTATAATCTTTTTACCAAAAGTATATTTTACTTTCCTTACACAACTTGCATGTAAACTGTTTTTTCAATAGTCTTAAATACACATTACATTGTTAATTCTTAGCAACCTTTTCTTTTGGTGAAAACCTTGGTAAATTTGGGATTTTAATTATATACTAGGTATGGAGCCTACGACCTAGACAGAAATGCAGGTAAGGTCTGACTTATTCTAGCATCTAGCTCCATGTGTCCTAGGCCTTACCTAGCTGCAAAGCAGGCAAGTTGTACAGCTAAGAGTCATAGTGGCATTTTATAAAGCATTTAGGAGGCCTAATCACCTTTAAATTGTACAACATTTCTTGCATAAATTTCCTTTCATAAATTCTTTCACAACTTACACAGACAATCTCTGACATGCCTTGACTTTCTGACTTGTTCTAAACATCCCTCTCTTTAAACAACCAGTTAATTTACTTTAGGACAAGAATTTACCATACAGGAGCCCTTCTTGTATAAATTCTCTTTTCTTTAAAACTTTTTGCATAGCTAGGGGACATGGCTAATTTCACATGTCCCCAGGCCGTATCTAGAATTTAACAGTCCAAAATAAATTGAACACTTTTTAAGTCAAAGAAGCATTTTATGACCTAAAGCATTTAGCAAACCTAGTATTTGACCTGCATAATTTAGACCAACTATTTACATTTTTGAAGATACTTTTACCAATAATCTTTAAAATTCTCCTTATTTTTATAACTTTCTGTATATCTCTCTTATTTCCTGGTTTCTTTTACCTTGTTTTATATATAACCTTTAAATAAGCTTTGAATAAGACAACAATTAGTTACCCTTGGCCAGGCGTGGTGGCTCACGCGTGTAATCCCAGCACTTTGGGAGGCTGAGGCGGGCGGATCACAAGGTCAGGAGATCAAGACCATCCTGGCTGACACGGTGAAACCCCGTCTCTACTAAAAAGTACAAAAAATTAGCCAGGCGTGGTGGTGGGCACCTGTAGTCCCACCTACTCGGGAGGCTGAGGCAGGAGAATGGTGTGAACCTGGGAGGTGGAGCTTGCAGTGAGCAGTAATTGTGCCACTGCACTCCAGCCTGGGTGACAGAGCAAGACTCTGTCTCAAAAAAAAAAAAAAAAAAGTTACCCTTTAAAAAGGACACAATCTTTAGAAAGAATGTTTTCCTACGATATATTTTTATTAGAAAATACCCAAATAATTAGATATCTGTTGTTTAATATAACTTTAGATTCTAAATTATGACAAGTTTACTTATGAGTATGTATCCCATTACATTTATCTAATTATTTATTTTAATCATTTACCCAGATTATATATGAAAACTGCGATAGTTGTCATTAAAGTTAGGAAACCACCATTGCAAAATTATGACCGAGACAGTGAAAATGATCTGACCTAACTGACTCCATCTTCCTTCTAACCTACAAGGTATTCTTGTTTATTAACTTAGTTTATAATTTAGCTTTGAAACAAATGTGATAACAGTCCTTTCCCAGAACAAACTTCCTTCATGTCTGTGGACTAGACTGCTTAAGGCCAGAAGATTAGAAGTTAGGGTATTTTGGCCAGGCACGGTGGCTCACGCCTGTAATCCTAGCACTTTGGGAGGCCGAGGTGGGCGGATCAGAAGGTCAGGAGATGGAGACCATCCTGGCTAACATGATGAAACCCCATCTCTACTAAAAATACAAAAAATAACCAGGCGCGGTGGCGGGCGACTGTAGTCCCAGCTACTCGGGAGGCTGAGGCAGGAGAATGGCGTGAACCCGGGAGGCAGAGCTTGCAGTGAGCCGAGATCGCGCCACTGCATTCCAGCCTGGGCGACAGAGCGAGACTCCATCTTAAAAAAAAAAAAAAAGAGTATTTTACTAAATAATTCAAGATGTAACTATCTTCATTAAAACAATATTAATGTTTCATTTATTTAAAAATTACACATGCAAAGATTATTCTGTTTGCACTGAATTATAGTTTTGTAGCCTCTATGCCAGATTTTGACACCTTATAATATTTGGCAGAGATAAGTATGAAATTGCTTGATCAATAAATGCAAACTAAAATGTATGCTGGAAACTCTTAAGACATTTCTAATATTACTTTACCAATAATTTTTAAAACCAGCTTACTTATTAAAGATTTTAAGTCACATAAACTTGAAAAAGCATTTGACTAGTCTTTCCTTTTTTCTGTTATTCAAGTGCTTTTTTCTTTGAGCCATTTAATTAGACCTCTTTTGTATATCTTCAGTAGTGAAACATGGTGTACACAAGACAAATACATAAGTGTATTATGCATGCCAATAGAAGTACATTTTATAGATTCGTAAGACCTCATTTTTCAGTCTCCCTCTACTGCCTAGGCCAGAGTACAGTGGCATGATCTCTGCTCACTACAACCTCTGCCTCCCAGGTAAAAGCAATTCTCGTGCCTCAGCCTCCCAAGTAGCTGGGATTACAGGTGCCTGCCACCATGCCTGGTTAATTTTTGTATTTTTCTTAGAGATGGGGTTTCACCATGTTGGCCAGGCTGGTCTCGAACTCCTGACTTCAAGTGATCAGCCCGCCTCGGCCTTCCAAAGTGCTGGGATTACAGGCATGAGACACCACGCCCGGCCTTAACTGGATGTTTGAGCTCTGGGTGGAGCCCATACTGAATCCTGGGTTTTCAAAAAGGGAGAATTATTATGAGGCTAGACCATGTGATGCTTTTACAGTGCACTTAAACAATTTTTTCCCAAAGACATTTCTAAGTGTCTAAATTACACTTTTTCTTTAAAACCCCAGAGTAGCTTCTGTTTAATAGCTATTAATGAAGAAAACAGAATTCAGTCAACTGAGAAGAAAAAAAGTTTTGCTCAAAAAGATAAGGCCCTAGGAGAGAGAGAAATAAAACCAAAAACACGAAGGCCTTTTAAAGGCCTTCACGCCCCCGTGCGCACACACACACATATGCACATACACATTTTGGATGTTAGCTTTTAATTAAGCTGACTCCCAATCATTGAGCTTCAAAAAATCTTTCTCCTTCCCAGAGGCCTCTCAGCAGAGATGGACCCAATACTTCCCATTTTCAAGTTTACATGGTATCAAAAGGAACAAGACAGACACACAAACAAATGGAAACATTTCAGAAAAACCCAAGGGGAAGTGCACTACGGCAAAACAGACTCTCAAAACTAACGCAAAACCTGATATCAACCAAAGGGAAAGTGGGTGTATGAGCCAGCCCTGTTGCTTCCCTTGGCAGTACCGGATAAATGGCTTAACCAGCCCAAATGGGAAAACAATAGGCTCCTGGCCTAAGATCCCATTGACTCACCCTTTGAGCACGTCCGCTCCTTATCTCTGTTCTTCCCCAGTAGAGAAAGGGACGTGTAGATTTGCACATAAACAGCCCTCTGGAGGGTCCCCTGGGGAAACCTCACCTGACAGCTGCTGGGATCCTCCTGAAGACTGTCTCATCGCAAGCTACCAGCCGCTGAACGCGGCACTGTCCTTATCTTCTGGCTGGCGACTTTTTTGTTCCCAGACCAAACTGAGGGTGGGGCTGCCCAATAATGAGATGCAGGTGAATCTCGCTGCCCAATAAGAAGATGCAGGTGAATCTCGCTGCCCAATAATGAGATGCAGGTGAATCTCACTGCCCAATAATGAGATGCAGGTGAACTGGGGAGGAAGAGAGTTTTTATTTCTGTAACTGGTTACAAGGAGAAGGCCTGGAAATTATCACCAGACCAACTCAAAATTACAAAGCTTTTCAGAGTTTATATCCCTTCTAAGCTATATGCCTACATGTAAGTGTGCATTCATCTAAAGACATAAGTGATTAACTTCTTTGAATCTATAACTAAGGTCTGAGTCCTGAAGACCTTCCTCTGGAGCCTCAGTAAATTTACTTAATCTAAATGGGTCCAGGTGCTGGGGTGATTACCCTTATCTTGTCTCCTGCTAAATCATGGAGGTTTGGGGAGTTCCTTCAGCCCTCCCACACACTTGTTTTTGGAGGCCTGGGGAGTTTCTTCAGACCCCCAGTAAAACTTGTTTAATCCTAAATGAGTCCTTGTTAAGAATTTCTTCATTATTTTGTCATGCTTTAAGGCCCAGGAAAGGCCTAGGCAAAACTCTTGGTGGGGTTTTGTTACATCCCAGCCTTTATATAAGGGCACTGGCTTTTTTTAGCTTTTAATATTTAACTTAACCACTCAGTCAGTACTGACACAGTTGTGATGGAGGGCTGAGTGAAACCTGGCCTGCCACGATACTGTTTTTCCCAGTGTGTGTTTTACATTCCCACCAACAGGGCACGAAGGTTCCAGTTTCTTCACACCTCACCAGCACTTGTTATTTTCCATGCTGTTGTTTTTAATATAGTAGACGTTAGTGGTGGTGAGCATCTTTTCATGTGCTTATGGGCCATTTGCTTATCTTCTTTGGAGAAATGTCTTTCAAGTCCTTTGCCCTTTTTAAAATTTTTTAAAAATTTTTATTGTAAATTAAGAAATTACGGCCAGGCACAGTGGCTCATGCCTGTAATCTCAGCACTTTGAGAGGCTGAGGCAGGAGGACTGCTTGAGCCCAGGCGAACGTTCAAGACCAGCCTGGGCAACATGGCAACTCCCAATAAATTGTATGTATTTATGGGGATTTATAGGGTACAAAGTTATGTTATGATTTATGAATACAATATGGAATAATTAAATCAGCTAATATGTCCAACACCTCAAATACTTAACATTTTTATGGTGAGAACATTTGAAATTTATTCTTTTAGCAATTTTGAAATGTACAATATGCTGTTATTAACTACATTCATTGCACTGTGCAACAGATCTCAAAAATCTTATTCCTCCTGTCTAACCAATGGTTTGTACCTTTGATTATCATCTCCCCATTCCCCCGTGCCCAGACTCTAGTAACCACCATTCTATTCTCTGCTTCTGAGTTCAGTTGTTTTTTTTTTTTTTTTTTTGACACAAAAATTTCACTTTTGTTGCCCAGGCTGTCGTGCAATGGTGCCATCTCAGCTCACTGCAACCTCCGCCTCCCGGGTTCAAGTGATTCTCCTGCCTTAGCCTCCTGAGTAGCTGGGATTACAGATGCCCACCACCACGCCCAGCTAATTTTTGTATTTTTAATAGAAACAGGGTTTCACCATGTTGGCCAGGCTGGTCTCGAACTCCTGACCTCAGGTGATCCACACCCTACCTTGGCCTCCCAAAGTGCTGGGATTCAGGCATGAGCCACCGTGCCCAGCCTCGTTGTTTTCAATTTCATGTATGAAAACATACAGTATTTCTCTTTTTGTGCCTCACTTATTTCACTTAGCATGATGTATTCCAATTCCATCCATGTTGTTTCAAGTGACAAAATTTCTATCTTTTTAAAGGCTGAATAGTATTCTGTATTGTCTACATACCACATTTTCTTTATCCATTTATCTGTTGGTGGACACAGGTTGATTGCATAACTTGGCTGTTGTAAATAGAGCTGCAATGAACATGGAAGTGCAGATATCTCCTTGATATACTGATTTCAAATCTTTTTGGTAAATACCCAGAAGTGGGATTGCTGGAGCATATAATAATTCTATTTTTAGTTTTTTGAGGAAGCTCCATACTGCCTTCTGTAATGGCTGTACTAATTTACATTCCCACCAACAGTAAGCAAGGGTTCCCTTTTCTCCATATCCTCACCAACACTTGTTATCGTGCATCTTTTTGATAATGGCCATTCTGATAGGTATGAGATGATATCTCATTGTGGTTTTAATTTGCACTTCCCTAATGATTCGTGATGTTGAGTTTTTTTTTTTCAAATATCTGTTGACCATTTGTGTGTCTTCTACTGAGAAATGTCTACTCAGGTCCCTTGCCCATTTTGTAATCAGATTATTTTTTCTCTTTGAATAGAATTATTTGAGTTCCTTATATATTTTAGATATTAACCCCTTATCAGATGTATGGTATGCAAATATTTTCTCCCAGTCTGTAGCTTATTGCTTCACTCTGTTGTTTCCTTTGTTGTGCAGAAACTTTTTTTTTTTTTTTTTGAGATGAAATTTCACTCTTGTTGCCTAGGCTGGAGTGTAATGGCATGATCTTGACTCACGGCAACCTCCACCTCCTGGGTTCAAGTGATTCTCCTGCCTCAGCCTCCTGAGTAGCTGGGATTACCGGTGCATGCCACCATGCCCAGCTAATTTTGTATTTTTAGTAGAGATGGGGTTTCTCCATGTTGATCAGGCTGGTCTTGAACTCCCGACCTCAGGTTCCGCAGAAACTTCTTATGTTGATATAATTCCATTTGTCTATTTTTGCTTTTGTTTTTTGCACTTTAGGGGTCAAATTTTAAAAAATGTTGCCCAGATAAATGTTGTGTAGTTTTAGCCCCTGTGTTTTCTTCTAGCAGTTTAATAGTTTAAGGTCATATATTTAAGTCTTTAATCCATTTTGAGTTGATTTTTGTATATGGTGTAAGATAAGGGTCCAGTTTCATTCTTGTGCATATGGATATCCAGCTTTCCTAACACCATTTATTGTGGAGACTTTTTTTTCCCACTGTGTATTCTTGGCACTTTTGGCAAAAATCAATTGACCATAGCTATGTGGATTCATTTATAGGCTCTGTATTTTGTTCCATTGGTCAATATGTCCATTTTTATACCCGTGCCATGCTGTTTTAATTATTATTGCTTTGTAGTATAGTTTGAAATCAGGTAGTGTGATGCCTCCAGCATTGTACTTTTTGATCATGATTGCCTTGGCTATTTGTGTTTTTTTTTTTTTTTTTTTATGGTTGCATATGAATTTTAGGATTGTTTTCTCTATTTCTATGAAAAATGATATTGGAATTTTGATAGTGATTACATTGAGCCTATAGATTGCTTTGGATAGTATGGACATTTTAACAATATTAGTTCTTCCAAGTCATGAACATTTATTTTCATGCATTTGTGTCTCTTTCCGTTTTATTTGTCTCTTCTGTTTTGTTCATTAGTGTTTTACGGTTTTTAACATACAGGTCTTTCACTTCCTTAGTTAAATTTACTAATTTTTTTTTGTCATTGCTCTTAATAGGTTTGTTTTCTTAATGTCTGTTTCATATAGTTCATTATTAATATATAGAAATGCTACTGATTTTCATATGTTGATTTTGTATCCCACAACCTTACTGAATTTGTTTACAAATTTCTAACAGTTTTTTGGTGGAGTCTTCAGGGTTTTCTATACAGAAGATCATGTCATCGGCAAATAGACAATTTTACTTCTTCCTTTTCTATTTGAATACCTAATAATTCTTTTCTTTTTCTTGCCTAATTGCTCTGGCTAGGACTTCCAGTACCATGTTGAAAAGAGGTGGTGAGAGTGAGCATCCTTGTGTTGTTCCTGATATTAAAGGAAAAGCTTTCAGCTTTTCACTGCTGAGTATGATATTAGCTGTAAGCTTGTCATATAAGGCTTTTTTTGTGTTGATACATTCCCTTTACACCTAATTTGATTAGAGTTTTTATCATGAAAGAATGTTGTGTTTTGTCAAATGCTTTTTCTACATCTAATGAGGTGATCATATTGTTTTTGTCCTGCATTTTGTTAATATGGTATATCACATTTATTGATTTTCATATGTTGAACCATCTTTGCATCCCAGGAACAAATTCCATTTTATCATGGTCAATGATTCTTTTAATGAGCTATTGAATTTGGTCTACTGGTATTTTATTGAAGATTTTTGCATCTGTGTTTATTAGAGATATTGGCCTATAATTTTCTTTTCTTACAGTGTTCTATTCTGGCTTTGGTATCAAGGTAATGCAAGCCTTGTAAAATAAGTTTGGAAGTAGTCCCTCCTCTGTAATTTATTTGGGAAAGTTTAGAAAGGATTGGTTTTAGTTCTTGTTTAAATGTTTTGCTGAATTCAGCAGTGAAGCCTTCTGGGTCCTGGGTGTTTCTTTGATAGGAGACTTTTCATTACTGATTCAATATCCTTAATCATTATTGGTCTGTTCGGATTTTCCATTTCTTCATGATTCAGTATTGGTAGGTTGTATGTGTCTAGAAATTTATCCATTTCTTCCGGGTGGTTCAATCCTTTGGCATATAATTGTTCATAATATTTTCATATGATCCTTTGCATTTCTGTGGTATGCATTGTAATGTGTCTCATTTTTTTTTTTATTTGAGACAGAGTCTCCCTCTGTTGCCCAGGCTGGAGTGCAGTGTGACAATCTCAGCTTACTGCCACTTTCACCTCCCAGGTTCAAGTGATTTTTGTGCCCCAGCCACCCAAGTAGCTGGGATTACAGATGCACACCTCCATGCCTGGCTTTTTTTTTTTTTTTTTTTTTTTGTATTTTATTAGGGACGAGGTTTTGCCATGTTGGCCAGGCTGGTCTCCAACTCCTGGCCTCAAGTGATCCATCCGTCTCGGCCTCCCAAAATGCTGGGATTATAGGCATGAGCCACTGCACCTGGCCTCCTCATTCATTTTTGATTTAATTTATTTGTCTTCTTTCTTTTTTCTTAGTTAGTCTAGTTAAAGTTTAGTGATTTCATTTATTTTTTCAAAAAACTAACAGAATTTTGATAATCTTTTGTATTTTTTTCAGTCTCTATTTATTTTTGCTCTGATTTTTATTATTTCTTTTGTTCTGCTAACTGTGGGCTTAGTGTATCTTTTCTTCTATTTCCTTGAGGTACAACATTAAGTCTTGTATTTGAGATCTTTCTTCTTTTTTGATGTAGGCGTTTATTGCCATTTCCTCTTAAAACTGCTTTTGCTGCATCCCATACATTTGGTTATGTTATGTTTCCATTTCATTTTCTAATATACTCTTAAAATTCCCTTTTGATTTCCTCTTTGACACATTGGCTATTCAGGAGCTTGTTACCATTCAAGTTCTTTGTTCATTTCTTAATCACATTGTTGGCTTTTTGTTGTTGTTGTTGAGTTGGAGTTTTTTATATATTTTAGATATTAACCTTTTATCAGATATACAACTAGCAAATGTTTTCCTCTTCCTGTGGGTTGCCCCTTCACTGTTGATCATCATTGGATGCACAAAAGTTTTTAATTTTTACATAGTGCAATTTATCTACTTTTTTTCCTATATTGCTTGTGTTTTGGGGATCACATTCAAGAAATCATTGCCAAATCCAAGGTCAGGAAGAATAGTTCCTATGTTTTCTTCTAAGTTTTAGGGTTTTCACTTTTATGTTAGATTTTGGATCCATTTTGAGTTAATTTTTGTATACGTGTAAGTTAAAGGTCCGAGGTCATTGTTTTGTGATGAGTCAATGTCTAGATTTCCCAAGACCATTTTTAAAAAGATTGTCCTCTCAATTAAATGGTCTTTATACCTTTGCCAAAAATTACTTGATCATATACAGTCATGCACCACATAACAACATTTCTGTCAACAACAGACTGCATATGTGATGGTGGCTCCATGCAATTATGTAACATGCTACACAGGTTTGTAGCCTAGGAGCAAAAGGCTATACCATATAGGCCAGGTGTGTCATAGGATACACCATCTAGGTTTGTGTAAGTACACTCTTCTGATGTTCACACAACACAATTGCCTAATGACCCTTTGCTCAGAACAATGTTGAGCAATACATGGTTGTACGTGCAAGTTCATTTCTGGGCTCTCTGGTCTATATGTCAGGCACCTTTTAAATCAGAAGTTCACTATTTAATGTTTGATCCTGTATCCCAATTTTTTAAGTTTGCTATATTATAACCCCCATTTATAAAAATGTGTGTCTGTGTGTATGTCTGTGTGAGAGAGAATAAGAGAAAGAGAGAAAGAGAGAATAGGCATACCTATGGAAAAATAGTGGAACTAAATGAGACAAAATATTAATGGATGCTATCTTTAGCTGAGAATATCACGTGTGGTCTGTGTATTCTTGTAAAAACTTTCCTTGCCCACATTTTCTGGAATGAACATGTTTAGAAGAGTTTTGCAGGTGTATGTTACTTGGCCTTCCCTGAAATATGAAGGGACAAACAAACACTAAAGGATGTTTGAGAGGTGAGAGCTGCAAGAAAGATGAGGGTTCTGTTTAGCTTGGGTGCCTGGGCTCAAGAGAATGTGAGTGGATCCTGGGAGGGGTGAGGTCTGGAAGCCACTCATGCCCATCCCTGCTTTGTCCCCACAGGTCTCAGCTGAGTCTGCTCTGATCACCCAACAAGACCTAGCTCCCCAGCAGAGAGCGGCCCCACAACAAAAGAGGTCCAGCCCCTCAGAGGGATTGTGTCCACCTGGTATGTTCAAGATGGGTCTCTAATCCTTGCCCCTCCTCCCCTTGTCTCCATGAGCTTCCAGTCTGTTTCCTTTGCACTTCCTTGTTCTTTATTCCACAGAGAGGCATTGGGTGCCTCCAGTTCAAGGCTCTGTCCTTCTGGAGCCTTCCTGCTAGGATGGTATCAAGACACACAAATGAATGAGACAGCCAAAGAAACTGATAGGAACCTTGAGAGAGAATTGAGTGGGACAGAGATGGGGCTGGTGAGGCCTCCAGGCAATGGTGACTTTGGGCTGACATCCGGAGGAGGGCAGGGCCAGAGGTTCAGAGAGCCAGGAAGAGTGCTCCTAGGAGGGTTCCACTGGAACAATTGCCAGGGGGCAAGAGTTGGAGAAGATGGAGCAACAGCAGGGGGCTGCTGTGGGGAGTGGAGGGTTAGGAAGTTAGAGAGACACGTGGGGTCAGATCCCACACAGATGAAGCTGGATTTTATTTCATGAGTGATGGATGTCCCTGAGAAGTTTTCAGCAGAGGGCCACCAGCATCGGATGTACATCTTGAGTGCCCACTCCTGGACTGAACCGGAGCAAGACAGGAAGCAGGTGGAGGGCCTTGAGTGTGAGGCGCTCCCCTGGGATGTTATGTGGTGTCCCGTAAGGTCATTTGAGCCCCCAGAGATGCAGCAGGAACCTGGCCTGAAGTGTGCTTGACTGTTGTGTTCGCCTCGCACTTCTTCCCCCTTTTCCCCCATGTGTATGAGTTAGGAATTGATTGCTGCATGAAGGTTTCCAGGGCAGGCAAGTGTGGCAAGCAGTGGCTTTTAAAATCCATTTACAAAGTTGCATTTCTTTTCCATGACTAAGGGCCACAGGAAAGGCTTGCCTGAGGGCAAACCCTCACATTGCACATGTGGGCTTGCCAGGAGCAGAGCATGGAGAAGGAAGAACCCAGCGTGAAGCAGACACAAACTCATCTGTAAATGCTCCTATTGCTGTGGTCCAGGGTCAAGACCAGGAAGCAGGACGGGAATAGGAAGGACTCAAGACATATTTGGGGTGTGGATGGATGACGTGTGGGGAATGAGGACAATCGAGGCACCAAATTCAACTGCTCAGGGTAACTTGGCCTCTGAGGGGACAGTGTGTGGCAGGGCTAGCAGTACACATTTGGGGACCCTAGCACATAGGTGATGCTTGAAGCCGCTGTCTTGAGTGTGTCCACCTGGAAGAAGTTGTAAATACTGAGGAGGGGCACAACTGAGCCCATGAGGATTTGAAGTTGGAGACGATAGGCCAGGGAGACAGGACTGCAATGGGCTGAGCAGGAGCAGTTGGAGAACTTCCATCCTAGAGGAGAGATGGCCCTTCCAGCCACAGGGAGCAGGCCATAGCAAGTGTCAAGGACTGAGATGTGGAAACTCCTCGAAATGTGCATTTCTCTTCCTGTGAATGAGGTCAAGAATCTGTTCATGACACAGACACTGTTTGTACACTGGTTCTCCTAGGTTTTCTTCACTCCTAGTAAGAGGTTAGGTTTTTTTTTTTTTTTTTTTTAAATCATTGAGTCACATGAATTCTTACAGATTAGGGAAATTATACATTGATTGATTGATTGATTGACTGATTGAGATAGGATTTCACTCTGTTGCCCAGGCTGGAGTGCGGTGGCAGGATCATAGCTCACTGTAGCCTCAACCACTTGGGCTCAAGCGATCCTCTCACCTCGGCCTTCCAAAGTGTTGGGATTACAGGCGTGAGCCACTGCGCTGGGTCCAAAATTCTAATAAAAATTCCCATATAACGCCGGGCGCAGTGACTCACACCTGTAATCCCAGCACTTCGAGAGGCCAAGGTGGGCAAATCACTTGAGGCCAGGAGTTTGACACCAGCCTGACCAACATGGCGAAACCCTGTTTCTACTAAAAATACAAACATTAGCTGGGTATAGTGGCGTGCCTGTAGTCCCAGCTACTTGGGAGGCTGAGGCAGGAGAATCGCTTGAACCCGGGAGGCAGAGGTTGCAGTGAGCTGAGATCACGCCATTGCACTTCAGCCTGGGTGACAGAGTGAGACCCTGTCTCAAAAAAAAAAAACAACAAAAAAAAAATTATCATATATCTTTGCAGTCATTTTGTGGTTTCCTATTTTGTAATTAAGTCATTGAGCCACATGGACTTCATTTTGTAGTAAGAGGAGAGTGAGGAAGACACATTATTATTTGACAGCCACCTTTTTGGTTGCCCCAACACTATTATTAAATAATCACGTTTTTATCAGTGACATGAATCACTATGATTATGTATGATACTTACATTATTAAGTAAGGTTTGTGTAATTTGGATTTTTTAGAATGTCTTTCAATATTAATAAAAATAATTCAGGAATCTTGTGGCTAGCATATAGGTGATTATGGTCTATTTTTTGCGTTTGTTTTTACTCATTCTGCCACTCTCTGCCTTTTAATTGCAGAGTTTAAACTATTTTCAATTAACATAGTTATTGACAAGAAAAGATTTGTTTCTGCTCTTCAGTTATTTGTTTTCTTTATGTCTTATATATATTTTGTTCCTCCCTTATCACCTTTTGAAAAAACTTTAGTTTATTTCTTGGCATGTACCATTTTCACTCACTTCTTTTCTTTTCTGCATATTTTAAAATATATTTTCTGTTTTTCTTAAATATATATTTTGTGTATATATATTTAATAAATATATATTTTGTATATATATATTTAATAAATATATATTTTGTATATATATTTAATAAATATATATTTTGTATATATATTTATTAAATATATATTTTGTATATATTTAATAAATATATATTTTGTATATATATTTATTAAATATATATTATATATATTTAATAAATATATATTATATATATATTTAATAAATATATATTTAAATATATACTTAGTATATATCTTAAAGATACATATCTTAAATATATATATAGATATATATATATTTTTTGAGACAGGGTCTGCTCTGTCACCCAGGCTGGAGTGCAGTGGTGCGATCTCAGCTCACTGCAGCCTATGGCTGCTGGGTTTAAGCGATTTTCCTGCCTCAGCCTCCTGAGTACAGGGAGTAGCCACCATGCCTGGATAATTTTTGATTTTTAGCAGAGACAGGGTTTTACCATGTTGGTCAGGCTGTCTCAAACTCCTGACCTCAAGTGATCCACCTGCCTCGGCCTCCCAAAGTGTTGGGATTACAGGTATGAGCCACGCACCTAGCCTAAAACTTATTTTCTTACTGGTTTCCTTGAAGATTACAATTACCTTCTTAAGTATCTAAACAGGTAGTTTTATAATACCGGCAGAATTTCATTGCAATCCAAATACTGTGCTCCTGTACCACTCCATCTCTCCAGCTTTCTATTGTTGCTGTCATAGATCACATCCTTGCACGTTGTGTGACCACTGACGTCGATCTTAAGGACATGTATGTGTATGGAGCAAGGTTGACTTGTGATGGTTGATTTTATGTGTCAACTTGGTTACCCAGATACTTGGCCAAATATTATCCTAGATGTTTCTGTGAAGGTGTGTTTGTTGTTGTTGTTTTGTTGTTGGTTTTAGATGGGATTAACATTTAAATCAGTGGGCTTTGAGTCAAGCAGATTACCCCCTTAATGTTGGCAGGTCCCATCTAATCAGTTGAAAGCCTCAATAGAAAAAAGACTGACCTCCACCAAGAAAGAGGGTGTTCTGCCAGCAGGCAGCCTTCAGACCTGAGCTGTGACTCTTCTCTGCTGGCCTATCCTGTACCTTTTGAATTTGCCAGCCTCCACAGTTATGTGAACCAATTCCTTAAGATAAATCTTTATCTCTCTAGAGCAGGGGCCCCTGACCCCCAGGCCATGGACCAGTACTGGTCCGTGGCCTGTTAGGAACCAGGCCACACAGCAGGAGGTGGGCTGTAGATGAGTGAGCATTACTGCCCGAGCTCTGCATGCCGTCAAATCAGCGGCAGCATTAGACTTCATAGGAGCGTGAACCCTATTGTGAACTCCACATTTGAGAGATCTAGGTTGCGCACTCCTTATGAGAATCTAATGCCTGATGATCTGTCACTGTCTCCCATCACCCCCAGATAGGACCATCTAGTTGCAGGAAAATAAACTCAGGGCTTCCACTGATTCTACGTTATAGTGAGTTGTATAATTATTTCATTATATGTTACCATATAATAGTGATAGAAATAAAGTGCACAATAAATGTAACATGCTTGAATCATCCTGAAACCATCCCCATGCCCCCAACTCCAGTCCGTGGAAAAATTGTCTTTCAGGAAACCAGTCCCTGGTGGCAAAAATGTTGGAGACCCCTGCTCTAGAGAGCCCTGACTAATACAGAATTTTTAAAGATTTGAAATTCTTTTAAACCATACTTGATCTCCAAGTAATGGAAATAATAAGATTATATTTCCACCTAACATAATACAGCTATCCTGTATACAACTGAAAACGCACTAACCCTTTCTCCAGAAGAGGATGCAAAGTTCTTGAGTGGTGTTTACTCCTTTCCTTGATACCCTGGAACATAAATACTATAAAGTGAACAATACTTAAATACTATGATATAAATTCAAAATATCTTGTGTTACATAACAAGGGGATAAGAGAAGGAAGAAAACACAGATATTCGCTTAACATATATTTACACATAAACACACACACATAACACAATAAGGAAGAAATACTTATAATGATTACAGTCCTTATTTCCATAGCTGGTCATGTCATTGTAGCTGGTATTTATAAGAAGCTTCTTTCGCTGTGCATTCTGTATTCCCTGTGCCCTCACTAAGCACCTCAGCTGGTCATGGCTCTGTGCCTGGTAGAGTGAACTAACCTTTATTCCTGAAGGGTCTGAGCTATAAGTGGTCCTGCTTTAATAGGGTCGTGGTAGTTTTCCATTGACTTTACTCACAGGGCATGGTAATACTAAGAGATGCCCTAAGGAATCTCCTGTATTCTAGACATCCTCTTCCTTACGTCCATTGTGGAATAACAGTCCAATTTTCCCTTCAATTTCCCCTTTGTGTTCAGAATCAGTCAATCCAGCCAGCAGGGTTTGTGTAACTGGTTTTCGCCTGTTGATTCAGAGGCATGAGGAACCCAAAGTGGCCAAGTGGCAGTCTTCAAGTTACACAGAATCACTGTTGTGTCTCCTCATGGAATCATTCCTCCCTCTGAAACTCAGAGCTCTAGCAAAGCATAAAGCAGCAAAAATTTTGATAACAGGCCACTAAGGGTAATGTGGAGTGGGGCCATTCCTGCTTCCACCCCTAGATTCCTGGACACATGAATCCTAGCAATGGAAGAAGCAACCGCATGTATTGGAGGATAATTCAGAGCATAGACAGTCTCCTGGAGAACCTTGTTGCAGCCCTTCAAGGTACTGCCACCCAGCTGACATTGTAAATGAGTTTTCAAAAAGCCATATCCCACCATCTTACCAAGCCAGCAGTTTTGAGATGGTGGGGAACATGGTAAGACCAGTAATTCCATGAGCACAGGCCCATTATAGTGGGCGCTTCATTTGCCATCAAGTGAGTCCCTCAATCAGAAGCAATGCTGTGTGAATACCATGACTGTGGATAAGGCATTCTGTGAGTCCACAGAGGATAGTTTTGACAGAAGCATTGCATGCAGGGAAGGCAAGTCTATGTGCAAAATAAGCTTCTCTTCCAGTAAAAATGCTGCCCCCTCCATGATAGAAATGGTTCAGTGTAATAATCAACCTGCCACCAGGTAGCTGGCAGACTGACCCTCTGAATGGTGCTATATCAGAGACTCAGTGTTGGACTCTGCTGCCTATAGATTGGGCACTCAGTAGCAGCTGTAGCCAGGTTGGCCTTGGTGAGGGAAGTCTGTATTGTTAAGCCCATACATAACCTCCATCCCTGCCACCATGCACACTTTGTTCATGAGCCCATTGAGTGATGACAAGGATGGCTGGGAAAGAAGCTGACTGGTAGTCACAGAACAGGTCATCCTATCCACCTGATTATTAAAATCCTTCCCTGCTAAGATCACTTTTTGTGAAGATATTTGTGTCACATGGGGCACAAATATCTTCATGGTTTTTTTACCCATTGAGAAAGGTCTATCCACACACCTCTTCCCCAGACTTCCTTGTTATCAGTTTTCCTTCAGAGCCTCTGACCCTCCAGCCAAATCATTGACCACAGCTCATGAATCAGTATATAACTACATGTCTAGCCATTCTTCCCTCAAGCAAAATGAACAACCAGGTGTACTGCTCAGAGTTCTGCCCAGTGGCAGGATCTCTTTTTTTTGAGACGGAGTTTCGCTATTGTTGCCCGGGCTAGAGTGCAATGGGGCGACCTCGGCTCACTACAACCTCTGCCTCCCGGGTTCAAGTGATTCCCCTGCCTCAGCCTCCCAAGTAACTGGGATTACAGGCATGTGCCACCATGCTCGGTAATTTTGTATTTTTAGTAGAGACGAGGTTTCACCATGTTGGTCAGGCCAGTCTCGAACTCCTGACCTCAGGTGATCCACTCACCTCGGCCTCCCAAAGTGCTGGGATTACAGGTGTGAGCCACCACACCCGGCCTAGCGGATTTCTTTTCACCACTGTCCTTCAGGGACGTCCCAGACAGTGGATGTGATGCTGCAAACATCCACTTCTAAGGGTTACCTGTATGTGGTGCAGAACCATCTGTAAACCTTCTTCTGGCAACTGACCATAGGGAATTCCTCATGAGGCCATAAGTGCAGGCCAGGCAAAAGAAAGTAATATTGCAGGAGTGGGGATCATGGGCACTTGGGCCACTTCTTCATGTAACTTTCTTGTGCCTTCAGGGCCTATTTAAGCCCAATTTTGTATATATACCAATTACATTTGAAAATGGAAATGGAAACTTTAGGCTGTATGTGCCCAAACTTATGGCTTGGTAGGCAAAATAACACTCAGTTCACGATGAGCAGTCAGGTCGTAGAGTAATTTGGTGGCCTATGGTTAACCATTCAGTCTGCACTAAGGCCCAGAAACAAGCCAAGAGCTGTTTCTCAAAAGGAGAGTAGTTATCTGCAGAGGATGGCAAGTCTTTGCTCCAAAACCTAAGGGCCTGTGCTGTGGTTGACCTAGAGTGGGCTACTAAAGGTTCAAAACAGCATTGCTGTCTGCCACCAATACTTCAAGCACCGTTGGGTCTGCTGGGTCGTATGGCCCAAGTGACAGAAAAATGTCTACGGCAGCCTGGACCTGTTGCAGAGCCTTTTCTTGTTCTGAGCACCACTCAAAACTAGCACATTTTTAGGTGACTTGATAAATAGGCCAGAGAAACACACCCAAATGAGGAATATGTTGCCACCAAAATCAAAATAAGCACACTAGGCATTGTGTCATTTTCTTGGTTGTAGGGAGGTGGGGGTGGCAGATACAACAATTTATCTTTTATCTTAGAATATCTTAGAAGAGAAGGAATATCTTATGTGCCACATCATTCAACAACTAGGAATTTGTTTCCCAGTTGTTGTCCTTCTACTGAGGTAAAAGGCCCTTGAAATTTTGTCAGATTTATTTCCCACCCCCTGACATGCAAATGTCTTACCATTAAGTCTAGAATAGTTGCTACTTCTTGCTCGTGAGGTTCAATCAGTATAATGTCATCAGTATAATGGATCGTCTTGTGTGTTATCTTGTGGAAGGGAAAGGCCATCAATATCCCTGCAGGCCAGATGTGGTGGCTCGCGCCTGTAATCCCAGCAGTTTGAGAGGCCAAGGTGGCTGGGTCACTTGAGACCAGGAGTTCTAGACCAGCCTGGCCAACATGGTGAAACCTCATCTCTACTAAAAATACAAAAATTAGTTGGATGTGGTGGCACACATGGGTAATCCCAGCTACTTGGGAGGCTGAGGCATGAGAATCGCTTGAACCCAGGAGGTGCAGGTTGCAGTGAGCTGAGATCATGCCACTGCACTCCAGCCTGAGAGACAGAGCAAGACTCTGTTTAATTAAAAAAAAAAAAATACCTGCAAACTAAATTATGACATAGGGCTGCGAGTTGATGCATCCCGGAGACAGGATAGTGAGGGTATATTGCTGGCCTTGCCAACTGAAAGCAAACTGCTTCTGGGAGTCTTTATTGACAGGTATGACCAACAAAGCATTTGCCAGTTCAACACCTGCATACCAGGGTACCAGGGATGTGGCGATTTGCTCAAACAATGAAACCATATCTGGGACAGTTATAACTGGAATCACCACCTGGTTAAGCGTATGATAATCCACTGTCATTCACCAAGATCCATCTGTCTTTGGCACAGGCCAAATAGTCAAGTTCAATGGGCATGTGATGGGAATCACCACAGATGCATCCTGGATGGTGGTAATGATCTCTGCAATCCCTCCAGGAATGTTGTATTGCTTTTGTTTTTTTGTGCTTTACAGGCAGGGTATCACTCTGTCACCCAGGCTGGAGTGCAGTGGCACAATCATAGCACACTGCAGCTTGAACTCCTGGGCTCAGGCAATCCTCCTGCCTCAGCTTCTTGAGCAGCTAAGACTACAGGCATGTACTGTCATACCTGGATAATTTTGTATGTGTGTGTACAGATGGAGTCTCACTGTGTTGCCCAGGCTGGTCTTAAACCCCTGGCCTCAAGTAATCCTCCTGCCCTGACCTCCCAATGTGCTGGAATTACAGACATGAGCCACCATGCCCATCTGGTATTGCTTTTGATTTACTATTTTTTTTAAGTAAATGCAAATCTGGTGGCTTCCACCTGGTCTTTTCCACCATAATAGTCTTCACTTCACATGTCAGGGAATGAAGGTGGGGATTGTGCCAGCTGCTGAGTATGTCTATTCCAATTACACATACTAAAATGAGGAAATCAGACAGGATGGGTGTGGGGACCCACTGGCCCCTTTCTGAGATGGACTTGAGCTTAGTTTGAGTAATGACAACATAACTTCAATGGTATGCAAACACTGTGCTCCTGTACTTCTCCGTCTTTCCTCCTCCATCTTGTTGTTATAGATCACATCCTTGTACATTGTGTGCCCATTAACATCAATTTGTAATTATTGTTTTCTGCATTTGCTCTTTAAATCATATAAGTAAATAAGAGGATTTACAAACCAAATGTACCATAATACTGTGCTACAGACTGAATTGTGTCCCCAAAATCATATGTTGAAGCATTACCATCCAATGAGATGGTATTTGGAGATGGTGCCTTTGGGAAGTAATTGGGTTTAGATGAGGTCATGAGGGTGGGGCCCTCATGATGGGATTAGTGCCTTTTTAAGAAAAGACCCAGACAACTTGCTCTCTCTCGCTTGCTCGCTCTCTCTCTCCCCCCCTCTTCTGGTGTGTGCAAGGAAGAGGTTACGCAAATGCACAGCAAGATGGTGGCCATCTCTAGAACTATGATAAATAAATGTCTATTGTTTAAGCCACTTGGTCTATGGTATTTTATTATAGCAGCCTAAGTAGCTGCGTACCAGCATTTATATTTACCTAAATAGTTACCTTTTCCAGGGTTCTTTTTTTTTTTTTTTTTTTTTTTTTTTTTTTTTTTTGAGACGGAGTCTCGCTGTCGCCCAGGCTGGAGTGCAGTGGCGTAATCTCGGCTCACTGCAGGCTCCGGCCCCTGGGTTTCACGCCATTCTCCTGCCTCAGCCTCCCGAGTAGCTGGGACTACAGGCGCCCGCCACCTCGCCCGGCTAATTTTTTTTTGTATTTTTAGTAGAGACGGGGTTTCACCGTGTTAGCCAGGATGGTCTCGATCTCCTGACCTCGTGATCCGCCCGCCTCGGCCTCCCAGAGTGCTGGGATTACAGGCGTGAGCCACCGCACCCGGCCTCCAGTGTTCTTTATCTCTTCGTATGCCTTTGAGCTATTATCTAATGTCATTACATTACCTCCTAAAGGATTCCTTTTAGCATTTCACAGGGCAGATCTACTAGTAATGTGCTCCATTACCTTTCATTTATCTAAGAAGGTCTTAATTTCTTCTTCATTCTTGAATGATAATGTTCCTGGATATCAAATTCTTGGTTGCAGGATTTTGTATGCTTGTGTTTTTGTTTCTTGGCACTTTAAATATGTTACCCACTCCCTTCTGGGCTCTATGGTTCCTGGTGAGAAATTAGCTAATAACCTTATTGAGGTTCCCTTGTACATACTGAGTGGGCCACTTGCTACTTTCAGGATTTTCTGTTGGTGTTGGGCTTTTGTCCATTTGACTATAATGTGTCTCAGTGTAGTTCTCTTTTAACTTATCCTGCTTGGAGATCATTGAGTTTCTTGGATGTGCAGACAAATGTTTTTTAAAAGTCTTGCACCTCCTTGTTAAATATCATTCCTAAATGTTTTATTCATTTTTATGTCATTGTCAATGAAATTGTTTTCTTAATTTCCTTTTTGGATTGTTCTTTGCTACTGCAAAACTTTTACGCTGAAAACTATCAAACATTGCTGTAAGAAATTTTAAAAAAGCAAAATAAACAGGAAGATATTCCATGTTCATAGATCAAAATGGTGTTAAATTACCCAAAGCAATATACAGATTCAATGAAATCCCTACCAAAATCTCAGTGGTGTTATTTTAAAAATGGAAGAACTTATATTCAAAGTCGTATGGAATTAAAAAGACTTATTGACCAAAAACAATCTGGTAAAAGAAAAGCAGAGTTGGCGGGACTCACACTTTCCAATTTTGAAACATATCCTCATTCCAGGGCAGCTTTAGTCCCCTTTTCTTTGGATCATTCTTTGACTCTATAGAGATTCCTCCCGTTTTCTTCCCATGGCTGATGGTGTGAGCTTTAATTTTGAAGGCTTTTCCCATTGTTGTATGACTTCTGCTCCTGGTGTATCTTCCACTGGCTAGGAGCTCATTCAGAACAGGTATTAGGACATTCTTCTGTGCATTTTAAAGGTCTAAGATGGCACTGTCTAATATAGTAGTCCCTAGGCCCATGTGATTGCCAATCACTTGAAATATGTGAGGCAGGTGGATCACGAGGTCTGGAGTTCGAGAACAGCCTGGCCAAGATGGTGAAACCCCGTCTCTACTAAAAACACAAAAATTAGCCGGGTGCGGTGGTGGGTGCCTGTAATCCCAGTTACTCGGGAGGCTGAGGCAGGAGAATCACTTGAACCCAGGAGGCAGAGGTTGCAGTGAGCCGAGATCGCTGCACTCTAGCCTGGGCAACAGAGCAAGACTCCGTCTCAAAAAAAAAAAAAAAAATGCTACTGCAAATTGAGATGTGCCATGAGTTAAAATATACGCAGGATTTGAAGACGTACTGTGAAAAAAATGCTGTAAAATATCTCAATGTTTTATGTGGATTACATATTTAAGTGATATTATCTGGGGTACATTAAATTAAAATGCATTATTAACATTAATTTCACCCCTTCTCACCTTTTTTAATGTGCTGAGTGTGGATTTAAATTTCATATGTGGGCTGGGCACAGTGGCTGACACCTGTATTCCTAGCACCTTGGGAGTCCAAGGAGAGTGAATCACTTGAGCCCAGGAGTTTGAGACCAGCCTAGGCAACATGGTGAAACCTCGTCTCTACAAAAAAAAAGTACACTAAAAATTAACCCGGTGTGGTGGTGTGCACCTGTAGTCCCAGCTATTTGTGGGTCGGGGGGAGAGGGAGGGTCCGGGAGGTCGAGGGTGCAGTGAGCTGAGATCACACCACTGCACTCCAGCCTGGGCTATAGAGCAAGACCCTGTCTAAATAAATAAATAAATAAATAAATAAATAAATAAATAGGCCGGGTGCAGTGGCTCACGCCTGTAATCCCAGCACTTTGGGAGGCCTAGGCAGGCAGATCATGAGGTCAGGAGATCGAGACTAGCCTGGCCAATACGGTGAAACCCTGTCTCTACTAAAAAAATACAAAAATTAGCCAGGTGTGGTAGTGTGTGCCTGTAATCCCAGCTACTCAGGAGGCTGAGCCAGGAGAATCTCTTGAACCCAGGAGGCGGAGGTTGCAGTGAGCCGAGATCACGCCACTGCACTCCAGCCTGGGTGACAGAGTGAGACTACGTCTCAAAAATAAAAAATAAAATAAATAAATGTGTGGCTTATATTTCTTTTGGCAGTGCTGGTTTAAGGTGTGTAAATGCAGAATTGATGAACTGACCAAGCTAGGTAGAGGAGATTTCCCTCTTTTGGTTCCACACATCCCTGAAAGAGGAGTCCCCCAGCCACCACTGCCAGCTTCTGGGAATCCTGTGGCATTTCATTCACCGGCTTTTCTCTCCCCTCCCAGGACACCATATCTCAGAAGACGGTAGAGATTGCATCTCCTGCAAATATGGACAGGACTATAGCACTCACTGGAATGACCTCCTTTTCTGCTTGCGCTGCACCAGGTGTGATTCAGGTACAGAACATATGGACCCCATGCCTAAAGGTGGAATGCGGGGTGATGACATAAAAGTTGTAGCTAAAATGGGATCAGGAGACCTAGATTCTGGTCCACCTTGGTCTTCATCATACCATGTTCCATGATTTTGTCTTTGAGCTTTTTAATAAATAAAACAGGCCCGGCACAGTGGCTCATGCCTGTAATCTCAACACTTTGGGAGGCATCACTTGAGCCCAGGAGTTTGAAACCATCCTGGGCAACATGAGAAACCCCGTCTCTACAAAAATATAAACATTAGCCGGGCATGGTGGCGCGTGCCTGTATTTCCAGCTACTTAGGAAGCTGAGGCAGAAGGATCTCTTGAGCCCAGGAGGCCGAGGTTGCAGGGAGCCGAGATTGTGCCACTGCATTCCAGCCCAGGCAACAGAGCAAAACCCTGTCTCAATAATTAATTAAAATAATAATAATACAGAAATTATTTGTATAATGTATGCTACATGGTAAGGAAATCTTTTAAACTGTCAGCTGCAAGGGGGTGGGGCCATGAGCCAGGCCAAGTGGACAGGGCTGGATCTCAGCAGTGGCACAGGTCTGCTTTGGGGCCAGGCTCTCTCCCCTGGGCTCTGTGCTCCTGGCAGGTGCTCGGCCTCACTCACCCTTCAGGTTCTCAGGCCTCTCCCTCCTCCCCAGCAGGCTGGGCCTTGGGGAAGTCCCCCAAGGGCTCCTCTCCTTGCAGTCTCTCAGGTGATCCCTTGCACTTCCCTTGCTACTGGCCATGCAATCTAAACGATGCTTGTCCCCTAAACGGTGCTTTCCCCTAATCTAATGTAATAAATAATGAACTGTGGTCCTTTTGTATGACTCAACGAGTGTTAGTGACAGCTGAAGGGTGGGTATCCTGAATGAGCCATGAGTGTGCTGGTGCAGAAACTGGCCCTCAGAACTCCTTGGCAAACTGAGTTGAGCTGAGTAGCAGGGTCTTGGGGTGGGGAGGAAGGGTCAAGGGACACATCAGGAAAACACATTCCCAAAACCTTATGCTCTGTCGTCAGGTGAAGTGGAGCTAAGTCCCTGCACCACGACCAGAAACACAGTGTGTCAGTGCGAAGAAGGCACCTTCCGGGAAGAAGATTCTCCTGAGATGTGCCGGAAGTGCCGCACAGGGTGAGACAGGAGCCGGGGGCTCCCAGTAGCTCCATGGAACCCCAAAAGACCCAAGTCTCCTTGTACCCCTGTCTCTCCCCTGACAGCACCCGCAAGGGGCATCCTTGAGGCTGTGGCTGCCCCTCCTGGTCCCTCTGCGTGTCACCACCCCTGCCCCCTGCAGCAGCCTCTTTCCACCCCTCCCCAGCACGAGTCCCCTTGACCAGGCTGACTTGTTCACTGACCACAGAAGGCCATGACTTGGGGCCCATGATAATTTTAGGGGCCCATGAAATGATTTAATTTCTCTTGAAATAAGAAGAATGAGTAGAATGCAGCCAGGCATATATTCATCTTTATACCAATTCAGCAATAAAATGTATTTTTTAATATTTTTATGCATGCAGGGGCCCATAAAGACAAAAGTGCCCATGGCCCACAAAAGGCATAATAAGGCCATGGGTGGAGCTCCTTCAAGTTCCCATGAGGACCTGAGCCCACCCAGCCGGCCTCACCCCTGGCCCCTGATCCCTCAGTAAGACCTGTCTTTTCCCTATTTGGGTTTTAGGGGCCAAGAGTAATTTGCTCTTCTCTGGCCCCCCTAGTATTTGCTGTGATTGGGGGAAATGGGCAGACAGCTGGGGACAAGAGCTCACTTTTGTGGTTGACTGGAAGACCGGACTCATCTTGTGGCCACACGGGCTTGTGACCTTCCCCTGGAGTGTGATTGCTCCTAACGCAGGCCTCCCCTGCAGCCCAGGGAAGCTCAGTGTGTGCCCAGCACAGAAGGCTCCTGGAACTGCAGCTCTGACCCCAGAGCAGGGAGGCCGAGGGGCTGAAGTGCGCATGCTCAGACCCTTCCCCAGCCTCAAGAAGGGAGCACAGGGGGACCCACTGCTGACACGAGGAGACTGTCCTTCCCCTGACACCTTCTCAGGGACACTGGGGAGGGAGGGTGGCTCCTCTTTCATCCCACCTGGCCAGCTTTCCATCAAGAGTCCCCCCTCTCCCTCTGTGTGTGTACCCAGGTGTCCCAGAGGGATGGTCAAGGTCGGTGATTGTACACCCTGGAGTGACATCGAATGTGTCCACAAAGAATCAGGTACAAAGCACAGTGGGGAAGTCCCAGCTGTGGAGGAGACGGTGACCTCCAGCCCAGGGACTCCTGCCTCTCCCTGTTCTCTCTCAGGCATCATCATAGGAGTCACAGTTGCAGCCGTAGTCTTGATTGTGGCTGTGTTTGTTTGCAAGTCTTTACTGTGGAAGAAAGTCCTTCCTTACCTGAAAGGCATCTGCTCAGGTAGGTGCTGGCTGAGGGCGGGGGCACAGGGCACTCTCTGCCCTGCCCCCTCCCACCCTATTCCCACAGACAGAAACGCCTGCCCCTGCCCCAAGTCTAAGTGCCTCCAGCCTGGCTCTATCCTCCTCCTCGTGGTCACCCCCATCCCCACATCCCGTGCACCCCCCAGGACCCTGGTCTCTTCAGTCCCTCTCCCAGGTCTGGGGGTCCCCATATCTCCCAGCCAAGTCCAGGAGGGCAGGGCCAGTTCCTCCCATCTTCAGGCCCAGCCAGGCAGGGGGCAGTCGGCTCCTCAACTGGGTGACAAGGGTGAGGATGAGAAGTGGTCGTGGGATTTTTTCAGCCTTGGTCAGAGCAGAACCAGAGATTTTCCAAGTGTTTGTTTTTACTCTAGTTCCCCTTCTCATCCCCCTTCCTCAGGGTGTCTCTGAGTTGTAAGGCCCCATTCTGTCCCCAGCCCCAGGGCTCCTTGTCCAGTGTCCCAGCCCCCAGCCCAGCCCTGCGCCCCACTGTCCTCTGGGAGGGGGGTGCTTCATGGGCCCCTCCCTTCCTGCTAAGGAGACTGCTTCTTTTTTAGGTGGTGGTGGGGACCCTGAGCGTGTGGACAGAGTGAGTTGATTTCTCCAGGAGCTGGGGGCTCAGGGGTTCAGGAACTGCTTCCTGGGACAGCAGAACCTGGGTGGGTGGGTCCCCATTGTCCTCATGGCTGCCCTGACTCTCTGAAGTGGCCTGGGTGCTCTGGGCTGACTGTGGGGGACACATGGCCATTTTGAGCACCACATAGGCTGGTGAGCCCTGCTGCAGCCCAGGTGACATCCTCACCCCACAGCCTGCACCCTAGGGATGGGGTGTCTGCCTGAGCACAGCACTGGGGGCCTGGCCCCAGCAGCGGGTCCTGGATGTGCTGAGTCTGGGCTGCCTGCGGTGACCTCACTGAGAGGGGGTGGGGATGTCAGGTGCAGCTGCATACTGAGGACCCTGCAGCGAGCCCTAGGTGTGGACTCCTGAGTCGGCTTTTTGCCTTCCCAATGTCTTTTTCCAGAGCTCACAACGACCTGGGGCTGAGGACAATGTCCTCAATGAGATCGTGAGTATCTTGCAGCCCACCCAGGTCCCTGAGCAGGAAATGGAAGTCCAGGAGCCAGCAGAGCCAACAGGTGTCAACATGTTGTCCCCCGGGGAGTCAGAGCATCTGCTGGTGAGTGGGGGACAGATCATTTTGTTTCCTGGCATGCTGCTCACCTGGGATTTCGTAGACAGTGGGAGAGGGCAGTGCCTTAGCTCTCCTGGCCCAGGGGAAATGGAACCTGAAGGAGCCAGGGGACTGCAGGGGATGGAGCAGCTGCACTGAGGTGGTGACCGTGCCAGTCTGCAGGACATCTGCTTCTTACTCCCTGTCCTGTCCTTGCTGTGTCCCCCGAGCCTGGAGCTCCACAGGCATAGAGTGGGGGTCACAGGGTTCATTGATGAGTGAATAAGGCTGCACAGTCTCCATCGTATGCTCCTAACAGAAGTCAGTGAGCCCTTGCTTGTAACAGCAGGAGTTTTAAATTTACTCTGAAATTGTTATTACATTGAACATATTTCAAAGTTCGTAGGGCAGCTTCCAAAAAGTAGGATTCCAAGTCGATGCACAAAGGGCTTTTGTATTGGACACACGCACACAATCAGTTCATATCAATCCATCAGTTTTGATGTGATATTGAGTAGGCAGGAAATCTGTATATACATTTATTGTTCATTGCTCGTAAGCACTGAAAGTCCTTCCCTCGAACATAAGATGAGACTATCCAGTTTCCTGCAGTGTTTTATTTTTAATGATTTGATTTTTAACATACAGCAATATAATCTAAACAGAATTGAATTTTCGATTCAATATAAGCTGAGAAACTCCCTGAATTATTCTGAGTCTCTGTTTCCTTCTTCCAAGCCCATTTAGCAACCAATTCTTCCTTTTTCCCTTGCCTTTGCCCTTTTGCCACCTCCTTTGCTACATGTCAAATGTTTACTTTTTTCTCTCTTCCTCTTCACTCTTTTTTAAAAAAACAAACAAACAAAAAAAAACTAGATCTTATCCTTGAAAATGTCAAATGTTTATATGGGCAGAGATCTCTTCCACCTAGACTGTTTCTGTTTCTTCCTTGCATCTGTACCACTTTCTTTTTAAATAAAGAGAAGAGATTTTAAAAGGAAACAAATGAACAATGCCAATACTTCCTCCATGCTTATTAATGACTTTGAAGATTTTTTTTTTTGAGACAGGATCTTGCTCTATCACCTGGGCTGGAGTGCAGTGGCACCATCTTGGCTCATTGCAACCCCTGCCTCCTGGGCTCATGTCATCCTCTCACCTCAGCTTCCTGAGTAGCTGGAACTATAGGCATGTGCCACCGTGCCCAGCTAAGTTTTGTATTTTTTGTAGAGACGAGGTTTGGTCATGTTGCCTAGGCTGGTCTCGAACTCCTGAACTCAGGCAATCCACCCTCCTTGGCCTCCCAAAATGCTGGGATTACAAGCATGAGCCACCATGCCTGGCCTGATCATTTTTTGAAAGCAGGTCACCCATAGCCACACATCCACCAGAGTATGAAAAAACTTGATCATACCAAGAGCCTTCTTTACTCTTTCCCAGCCTTTTGGCCCTTCTTATTTCAGGTAACTACAGTGGATAATTTCTTGTGATTCTTTGCTAAACTCTTTATGCATATACCATCTAGGTACATAAATGCATATGTATTTATGTGGTATTGACATGAAAAGGATTATATCATGTACAACACCAAACAAAACTGTCTAATATGTTTTAATATCTTAGACAGCAAATATGTTTTCAAAATTATTTTTACACATCTTATAATTTAGAATTAGATAAAATTTAGAATTATAAGATTTTCTCTAGTACCCCTCCCGCCCACATAGTCACTAGACTTTACAAATATTAATTTAAATTAATACATGGTTCTAGGAATGATTGACATCCTTTCAACATTCAATTTTATTATCAAAGAAGATAATATTTCAAGTCAAGTGTTCTATTATGACTCAATCGAGATTTGGGAGTTTATTTCAGATAAATTTTTCCTATTCCTCATCAAAGCTGTTTCTTTGCATTTTGGGTCTTCTTGTAAGTCCATTTTCTAATTTATTATGTCTGCTGCTACTTTTCTTTTCTTTCTTTCTGAGATGGGTCTCACTCTTGTCACCCAGGCTGGAGTGCAGTGGTACAATCATGGCTCACTGCAGCCTTGACCTTCTAAGGCCAAGTAAGCTCGGACTTACCGGCTTCTGAGTAGCTCGGACGACAGTTTTGTGCCACTACACCCAGCTTATTTTATTTTATTTTATTTTATTTTTAGAAACAGGATCTCGCTATGTCGCCTAGGCTGGTCTCAAACTCCTGGGCTCAAGCAGTCTTCACACCTCAGCCTCCCAGAGTGCTGGGATTACAGGTGTGAGCCACCATGCCTGGCCTCTGCTATGTGGTTTAACATTCATCAGGGCTAGGTGCAGTGGCTCACGCCTGTAATCCCAGCACTTTGGGAGGCCGAGGCGGATGGATCATCTGAGGTAAGGAGTTTGAGACTAGCCTGGCCAACATGGTGAAACCCTGTCTCTACTAAAAATATAAAAATACGATAAAATAATTAGCTGGGCATGGTGGTGCACACCTGTAATCCCAGCTACTTGGGAGGCTGAGGCAGGAGAATCTCTTGAACCCAGAGGTGGAGGTTGCAGTGAGCCAAGATCGCACTATTGCACTCCAGCCTGGGAGACGGAGTGAGACTCTGTCTCGAAAAAAAAAAAAATCATCAAGACATATTCACTTTTGAGTATTACAAATTAAACCTTGGGGTTTTAAAAATATACACTCCTAATCTAAAATATTGACTGCTGTATCGGCCTCCTTCCGAGAGTCTTGCCCCTTTGTCTCCTGTCTTGTTGCCAGACCTTTCAGAACAATGTTCTGGAAGTGACGTGCTGCAGGTCTCAGAGCTGGCTGGTGGTCGGGGTCAGTACTGGACTGTAGGACTCCTGGCTCTGACCAGGACATTCCCCACTATGTGTTACAGGAACCGGCAGAAGCTGAAAGGTCTCAGAGGAGGAGGCTGCTGGTTCCAGCAAATGAAGGTGATCCCACTGAGAGTAAGTGTTTTGCTCCTGGAGATGCAGCAGGAATGGAGGGAATAGGGACAGGGTCCTAACTGCTGTCCCCAGAGGTCAGAGGGCTCTTCCAGAGTATTCCATGCTGGAAGCCGTGGGTCCTGTGCTATAGACCATCTGGACCCTAAACTGTCTTCTCCCATCTCTTCTCCCCACTCTACCTCATCCTCTCTGCACCCTATCATTGACCCTAATGACTCTGTCCGTCCCCTCATCCTCTCTCCTCCTTTGTTCAGGGCCTGATGTAGCCCCCGCCTGCCCCTGAGGACCTCCTGAGGGGCTGGCCTGTCCTGCACAGCACCACTAACCCCAGTGGGCTAAGGAGCTCTTGACCTGTGCCTCAGCCCAATTTGCAGAGCTGTTGTGTAAACTACATACGAATGCCAAAGACTTAATGCAAAAAAGAGTGGAAAATATTTCACTCATAATTTTTGTATATTGATTGTATATTAAATTATATTTTAAATATATTCAGTACCATACATTAAAATGAATGTCACTTGTTTCTGATGTTCTTTAAAATAAGGCTGTTGGAAAACATAGCCTCGTGTTCCTGACCCTGTCTATCTCTGAGGACGGCGAGGTGCATCATGTTGCACACACGTCTCATTTAATCCCTCATCGTCCCGAGATCTGGGCAGCATTGCTCGGTCTTTGGGTTCACTTCTTGCTCAGAGTCTGTTTGCCTCCACCTAGCTCTGCCCCAGCCCCAGGAAGTGAGGCCGAGCTGGGTGAAAACAGAGGTCCCCTGTCCCAGGCCCTGTGCTTTCCACAGATGCAGAAGTGGCCGCCCTGGGACCTGCTCCCATGACAAGCGCAGCCCAGGCAGCCTCCTCCCTCCTCTAAGCTCCCGCTGCAGCCACTGTCTCTCCCTCCCTCGGACTCTCACGCACTTTACTTTCTGCCTCTGTAACGTCCATCCATACTCCCCTGGTGGGTTCTCAGCCCTGTATGAGGGCTGATTCTCTGACGACTTTGACTCCCCGCAGTGCCTTGCGTGTGGGGGAGGCCAGGCAGTGTGGGCGCGCTCTCTGTGGATGGGAAGCGGGTGGGCACTGGAGCGGCAGGTTTGCCCGCACACGGGGCTCTCCAGGTTCCCCGCCTTGGGTTCTGGGCCTGATGTGGAATCCTCTGCCCTTTCTGAGTCCCAACTCACCTGGCTGTCTCTGTGGCTTTCTCCACCAGCTCTGAGACAGTGCTTCGATGACTTTGCAGACTTGGTGCCCTTTGACTCCTGGGAGCCGCTCATGAGGAAGTTGGGCCTCATGGACAATGAGATAAAGGTGGCTAAAGCTGAGGCAGCGGGCCACAGGGACACCTTGTACACGATGCTGATAAAGTGGGTCAACAAAACCGGGCGAGATGCCTCTGTCCACACCCTGCTGGATGCCTTGGAGACGCTGGGAGAGAGACTTGCCAAGCAGAAGATTGAGGACCACTTGTTGAGCTCTGGAAAGTTCATGTATCTAGAAGGTAATGCAGACTCTGCCATGTCCTAAGTGTGATTCTCTTCAGGAAGTCAGACCTTCCCTGGTTTACCTTTTTTCTGGAAAAAGCCCAACTGGACTCCAGTCAGTAGGAAAGTGCCACAATTGTCACATGACCGGTACTGGAAGAAACTCTCCCATCCAACATCACCCAGTGGATGGAACATCCTGTAACTTTTCACTGCACTTGGCATTATTTTTATAAGCTGAATGTGATAATAAGGACACTATGGAAATGTCTGGATCATTCCGTTTGTGCGTACTTTGAGATTTGGTTTGGGATGTCATTGTTTTCACAGCACTTTTTTATCCTAATGTAAATGCTTTATTTATTTATTTGGGCTACATTGTAAGATCCATCTACACAGTCGTTGTCCGACTTCACTTGATACTATATGATATGAACCTTTTTTGGGTGGGGGGTGCGGGGCAGTTCACTCTGTCTCCCAGGCTGGAGTGCAATGGTGCAATCTTGGCTCACTATAGCCTTGACCTCTCAGGCTCAAGCGATTCTCCCACCTCAGCCATCCAAATAGCTGGGACCACAGGTGTGCACCACCACGCCCGGCTAATTTTTTGTATTTTGTCTAGATATAGGGGCTCTCTATGTTGCTCAGGGTGGTCTCGAATTCCTGGACTCAAGCAGTCTGCCCACCTCAGACTCCCAAAGCGGTGGAATTAGAGGCGTGAGCCCCCATGCTTGGCCTTACCTTTCTACTTTTATAATTCTGTATGTTATTATTTTATGAACATGAAGAAACTTTAGTAAATGTACTTGTTTACATAGTTATGTGAATAGATTAGATAAACATAAAAGGAGGAGACATACAATGGGGGAAGAAGAAGAAGTCCCCTGTAAGATGTCACTGTCTGGGTTCCAGCCCTCCCTCAGATGTACTTTGGCTTCAATGATTGGCAACTTCTACAGGGGCCAGTCTTTTGAACTGGACAACCTTACAAGTATATGAGTATTATTTATAGGTAGTTGTTTACATATGAGTCGGGACCAAAGAGAACTGGATCCACGTGAAGTCCTGTGTGTGGCTGGTCCCTACCTGGGCAGTCTCATTTGCACCCATAGCCCCCATCTATGGACAGGCTGGGACAGAGGCAGATGGGTTAGATCACACATAACAATAGGGTCTATGTCATATCCCAAGTGAACTTGAGCCCTGTTTGGGCTCAGGAGATAGAAGACAAAATCTGTCTCCCACGTCTGCCATGGCATCAAGGGGGAAGAGTAGATGGTGCTTGAGAATGGTGTGAAATGGTTGCCATCTCAGGAGTAGATGGCCCGGCTCACTTCTGGTTATCTGTCACCCTGAGCCCATGAGCTGCCTTTTAGGGTACAGATTGCCTACTTGAGGACCTTGGCCGCTCTGTAAGCATCTGACTCATCTCAGAAATGTCAATTCTTAAACACTGTGGCAACAGGACCTAGAATGGCTGACGCATTAAGGTTTTCTTCTTGTGTCCTGTTCTATTATTGTTTTAAGACCTCAGTAACCATTTCAGCCTCTTTCCAGCAAACCCTTCTCCATAGTATTTCAGTCATGGAAGGATCATTTATGCAGGTAGTCATTCCAGGAGTTTTTGGTCTTTTCTGTCTCAAGGCATTGTGTGTTTTGTTCCGGGACTGGTTTGGGTGGGACAAAGTTAGAATTGCCTGAAGATCACACATTCAGACTGTTGTGTCTGTGGAGTTTTAGGAGTGGGGGGTGACCTTTCTGGTCTTTGCACTTCCATCCTCTCCCACTTCCATCTGGCATCCCACGCGTTGTCCCCTGCACTTCTGGAAGGCACAGGGTGCTGCTGCCTCCTGGTCTTTGCCTTTGCTGGGCCTTCTGTGCAGGACGCTCAGCCTCAGGGCTCAGAAGGTGCCAGTCCGGTCCCAGGTCCCTTGTCCCTTCCACAGAGGCCTTCCTAGAAGATGCATCTAGAGTGTCAGCCTTATCAGTGTTTAAGATTTTTCTTTTATTTTTAATTTTTTTGAGACAGAATCTCACTCTCTCGCCCAGGCTGGAGTGCAACGGTACGATCTTGGCTCAGTGCAACCTCCGCCTCCTGGGTTCAAGCGATTCTCGTGCCTCAGCCTCCGGAGTAGCTGGGATTGCAGGCACCCGCCACCACGCCTGGCTAATTTTTGTATTTTTAGTAGAGACGGGGTTTCACCATGTTGGTCAGGCTGGTCTCGAACTCCTGACCTCAGGTGATCCACCTTGGCCTCCGAAAGTGCTGGGATTACAGGCGTGAGCCACCAGCCAGGCCAAGCTATTCTTTTAAAGTAAGCTTCCTGACGACATGAAATAATTGGGGGTTTTGTTGTTTAGTTACATTAGGCTTTGCTATATCCCCAGGCCAAATAGCATGTGACACAGGACAGCCATAGTATAGTGTGTCACTCGTGGTTGGTGTCCTTTCATGCTTCTGCCCTGTCAAAGGTCCCTATTTGAAATGTGTTATAATACAAACAAGGAAGCACATTGTGTACAAAATACTTATGTATTTATGAATCCATGACCAAATTAAATATGAAACCTTATATAAAAAGAGGTGTGGTTTTTGTCTCCCGCCCCCCAACCTCCCCTCCTCCTGTGAATCAGCTCTGAGTGACAGGAAACCAGGGCTGTGCTCCTGCTGGGACTCCTTCCTTCCTCCCTCCCCTCTGTTTTCAGGCTTGGCCTCCTGGGGGTGTTTCCTGAATCCGACTCCCCAGAGTTTAAAGAGCTAGGTTCCTGGGGACTGGGATTCATACCTCCTTCCCCTCTCTCTCCTGCCTGCTCCTCCCTCTGGGGACAGGGACACCAATGTTGGCCTGGCTCACCCACAGCCTCCCAGGAGAGTTCTCTGGGCTGCCGGGTTGCATCTGGTTCCGACAGCTCTCGGGGAATGGGCGGTGGGTCCCTGAAGTTGGGGGGCCGGCCCTGTTTCTCAGGGAATCCCGTGGTCACTCTCCTATGGCTTCCTACAGCCCTGGGTCGACCTTCACTTTCTCTGCCCCGGCCTTCCCTGCATCCCCACCAGGGTACCCAGGTTGCTCAGCGCTTCAGGCACCTAGGAGACCTATTTCCCGTTCCCCTTGCCCTGGAGGACCCGCTCTCCCTTTCGTCCACAGCTTCCGGGAGGCCCAGGTGTGCCCCCACGCTGTCCATCTTCCCTAGAAGTGGAGGTGCTCCGGGTTCCCCCTTCGTCCCCCCAGCCCTGCCCATGGGCTTCTGGGCCTCACTTGGAGCCCTGGGCTGCGCTGAGCTGCAGGGAGGCCGAGCAGCCTGTAGAGGGCAGCATACGCGTGGCTTTCCAGCCAGCCGCCCTGGAGGCCGTGGAGGGGAGGCAGCCACAGTCCTGGAGGGGCCTGGGCCTGGACAACATGGCCGCCCCCAGGGTTAGAGCCGCTTGTCCTCCAGCCGCCTGGTCTCTCTTGATGAGGATTTAACCTCTGGTCATTAGGTCCTGCCTGCTACCTTTGTTTCAGGTTAGCTCAATCCCAGGCCTAACCAGCGTTTTCCTGGAGCCCACCCCAGGGCCAGGCCCTCTCAGCTAGAACATCTCTCTCAGGTAAGGCGACTCCTGAGCTCTGAGCCCACAGCCCCACTGCCTCCTGGCTCTGCCCCTCCTCCGTGGGACTCCATCTTTTACACCTAAAAAGAGTGTGGGTGGTGAAATCTGAGTCGGGGTTAGAAAACGGAAAGGGGCAATTGTGGCCCAGCTGCTGCCCCATGGGGGCTGGGAGCTAGTTTCAATCCCCCACATTCCTCCAGCCCCGCCCTCCTCCTCTCTAGACCAACTCTGCTTTTCCTCCTGCTCCATTCTCCCTCTTCTCCTTCCCCTTATCCCACCCCAGCAGTAATAAGGCTGTGTCCTGTGGCCTTTCACTACAGGTCAGTGCCCCTTTCCCTGACTTTTGGCCCCTATTGCAGCCCCGCAAAAACACCCACCATAAGCACTCTCTGAGGGTAAGGAAGGGAGCCTGCAGTCTCCAGATGGGCAAAAGCAAGAGTCTGGTGCCATTTAAGCCCCGAGACCAAACCCCTCTTTGCCGCCAGCCCGGGCCCCTCAATCACCAGCCCTCTAGAGGCCAGGCCCCTGTGTTGCCCTCGGAGCCAGCTGGCAGGGTCAGGGCCTCCGCAGTCAGAGAAGTGCCGAGTCCTTTCCTGAAAGGCATTGGAGTCGATTCTGCAACCTAAATCTTCACCTCCTCATCATGGGGGCCTCTGTTTATAGAAATGTGAGCTAGGCAGGGGCTTTTTCTGATTTTCATTCTTTGGAGGGATAGAGGACAGAGTGTTTGTTGATTTTTCGTTTCGGTTTCAGTTTGGTTGTCATTGGTTTTTGTTTTTTGCTAATTTTGCCCCACCCTATAAAAAGCAGTGCCACCCAGAGGCAGGGGAGGGCCCTGAGGAGCACGGGGTCGCCGTGCACTCATTCCTACTTCCTTCTCCACCTGTCCCAGCTGCTTCCTTTGGTTACCATCTCCAAATCTGAGGGTAAAGGAGGGGGTGAGGGAGAAGTTTCTTGTTGCACCAAGAGGCACTGCTTCCAGGCCTGGAGCTCTGAATGACCTGTGTCCCCATTCTCAGGTCTGTGCTAGCACAGCCCCCTGGGACGGAGGGACACTGGCAGGATACAGGCCTTTCCACGTCTGGCCTTTTGCAGCTGCACCCCAGGATGTAGAAGCCTTGAGTTGGGCTCTGAAGGCTCAATTTCTACCCTGACTTCTCCAGTGAGGGTGTGAGTAGGCTTCGTGTGGAAATGCCCACAAAACAAATGCAACACTCAAGTCCGTCGGTGGAAAGATATGGCCAACAGGGGCAGGACCCTCGAGGATCACTTCTGCTTGCTGGGAGTGGGGCTGCCTCCCTGGCCAGAGCAGCAACCAAGACACACAGAGAAGCCCTGGAGGCTGGGAGGCTTTCCCTTTGACTCTAGGGCTCTCAAACCCAGAGATAAAATGCCAGGGCTCTTCGCTCCTCCAAGCAGTTGTCTCCCGTCCTGCTTTGGGTCTGGGGACCTCTGCAGGTGGTTCCCGTTCTGCTCCACAGGGCTCAGCTCCTCTCTGGCTGAGCCACGGTGGCTGGTAAGAAGAGCTCCACCCTCTGGGTCCTGGTTACGTGGGCCCCCTGGTCCCTGTAAGGTGGATGGGGTGATGCGGAAGAGCAGAGGGGTGAAGGCGGATGGGGACAACAGCAGCAGGGTCAGAAGAGGGTGGCAGCATCTCAGACCACAGCCGAGGAGGAAGATGGGGATGAGGAGGAGGCTGCCGAGGAAGACGGGGAGGATGGACTGTTCCAGAAGAGCCAACGCCGTTTGGGCTGCCGCTTGAGGTGGAGGTAGTCCTCCTTCTCACGCTCCTTCCGTGCCCGCTGGTAATGATCTTCCTCCTTCAGGTACCACACAGGTGGCCACCGATGCTTCTCGAAATACTCCTGGTTTTCTGGAGCAGAGAGCAGGCAGCTTGGTTAGAAAGGAGGCAGAGGGACAAGAGGAACGTGGGACACCAGCCCTACCCCACCACAAGGCCTGCAGCAGGCCTCCAGCCCAGCCCCCAGCACATCCCCATGACCCACGGCACATGAGCCTCCGAGGCAAGCAAAGTTCCCAAAGAGCAGGGCTGAAAGTCAGCACTGGGGAAGGCCTTTCCAGCTGGGTTCCTTTCCAAAGACGGGCGATCTAGACAAGGGCTTCCTGTGCGTTGGGAATGAAACAGAGGCGAAGGATAAGGGAGAAGGGGTAAGCGAATGTCAGCCAGGAGATACTCAGCATGGTTAGGGGATGAGAGTGGAAGTTTCTGGCCAGAGCTAAGGTTCCGAGGGGGAATACGGAGTCAGGACACAGCAGGACACAGCAGCAGACCAGAGGAACGGCTGGCCTTATTCTGCAGGGTATGGGGGGCCATGGAAGACTACTGTTTCAGTGGAAGGTCTGGAAGCAGGGAGTGATGCTATTGGACCTGTGCTTTAGAAAGAAAATGCTAGCCTGGGTGCAGTGGCTCATGCCTATAATCCTAGCACTTTGGGAGGCCGAGGCAGGCAAATTGCCTGAGGTCAGGAGTTTGAGACCAGCCTGGGCAACGTGGTGAAACCCCGTCTCTACTAAAATACAAAAAATTAGCCAGGCATGGTGGTGGGTACCTGTAATCCCAGCTACCCGGGAGGCTGAGGCATGAGAATCACTTGAACCCAGGAGGTGGAGGTTGCAGTGAGCCGAGATTGTGCCACTGTACTCCAGCCTGGGCAACAGAGCAAGACTGTCTCAAAAAAATAAATAAATAAATAATTTTTTTTTAAAAGTGTTGTAGTAGTGAAAAGGAGAGATCGGGGTGGAGACTTGGCAGCATGAGGCAAAAACACGGCAGCAGGGAGGAGGGTCACGGCAGACTGGAGGGAGCCCAGAGAGGACCCCATGGAAAGAGTGGCAGACCCTTCAGGGAGGCCAGGGACACCTCTCCCTGGAGCCTGTGCAGTTTCTGTTGAGTTCTAGGGCCTAAGAAATTAATCAAGAAGAGACAGGAGGCCTCAGAGGATGCCCAGACCTGGGTGGTCCAAGCTGTGGCCTGTACCCATTCCTGGGTTGTACCATCAATTTAGTGGGCCATGAGCAGCATTAGAAAGATGTATATATTTTCCTATATGTGTCCTGGGTCACAAGATGAAATGTATTTCTTACGGTATTCTGTCCAGAAAAGTCTGAAATCTACCAACTTTAGTCCAGTATCCTCTTCATACCTCTGAGAATGAGAAGCCCAGAGAGGCAGGGTGAGTTGCCCTCCAGGCCAGCACTTTTCCTGGGGCCCCTTGGCTTGGCTGGAGGCTCCTTTGCAGGCTGCTCCCAGCCCCAAGGTCAAGGATTACTGGCAGCCTCGGGGTCCCTGGGATTACATGGGAGCTGTGCACCCCTAAGGGGAGGGCAGCAGGTACTGCCAGGACTGGCCCCGATGCTCACCTGGGGACATGGCCTTCATGTCTCGGGGGAACTTGCGGCACACGTTGTTGTAGTTGGTGCAGATGTGGTGGAGACACCAGTCGGCCAGCTGGTACGCACAGTGGAACTGGGGACAGAAGGGAAGAACGTCTGTACTGAAATCCCCAGGGGAGAGGGTCTGCATAGACACCTCCAGCTGCCTTCAGAGCTGAAGCTCTGGTGCAGGGCACGCAGAGGCCCTGCAGTTCTAGAGAGCCTGCGCCAGAGGCAAGGCCACACAAAACTGAGGATGATGATGCTGCCTCAGGCTCCTTGGCACCACCGCCAGCACCACCATCATCTCACCTCTGTTCTGCCCACTCCTGGCATCCTCGCTGCAGACACCAGAGCCCTATGTAGTGGCTTCATACTGCATCTGCCCTCCTCAGATCTCAACCTACCTGACTTCTCTCTCCTCCACATCTGGGATCAAGGCAGCCTGCACGGAGGCACTGACAATGAGCTAAGGGAGCTGCCTTCCCAGGGGTGTCTGCAAGCCCTGCCTGAGCCGTGCTTCCACTCCACACACTAATCTTTGGTGGCTGAATTTCTGGCACTGTGAAGGCCACTGTGGGAGATTTGGCTTGTTTGTTTGGGATTAAGGGAGTAGGCGGTTAATTTCAGATGGAAAGTCCTCAGTGCCCCTTAAATGACCTCAGGCAGGCAGCAACCATGTGTAAGCCTGAGCCTGGGGTTCCCTCCCCAGCCCTACTGCTGCCTAAAGCCTCATCCCTTCCCCACTTGGTCAGCTCCCCTCCGGGTACACCAGGGAGTTCCCCAGCTGCTTCCTGGCATGGAGGAGGAGATGGGCTACGCGCAGTCAAAGAGCCCAGTCCGATGACAGGTTCTCCCGCATAGACCATCTTCCACCCCTTCCCATTCGCAGCCAATGGGCAGGCAGAGTGTAGAACTGAGACTGTTGTAGATTCCCTCCCCTGCCATGATACCTGAGCCAGTTCCAGGAACACAAGGACGTCCCCATCGATGTCCACCATCATCTGGGTCGCTTCCATCAGCCCGGTCACTGTGTACTGCTCTGTAACACACACGGCCACCAATCAGCTGAAGAAGCACATGACCTGTGCTCACCCTGCCCCACCACATCCCCCAGCTCACTTCAGGGTGAGGAAAACCAGGGCCCGGGCAGGTCCGGACAGGCCAGGAAAGGCCCCAGGCTATGACGTCTGCTGCCACCAGGGGGACCCCAGGGATGACAGCAAGAGCTCAACGGGGTAGGGTAGGAAGAGAAGGAGGACATTGGAATTACCTAAGAGGATTTTTCAAACTACGTATGTCCCGTGACATAATCTGATACAGGTAGGGTCAAAGTTCCCAACAGAACCAGCCTCTGATACAAAAGGGAGAGTGTGTGAAACCTCATGTCTGCTGATCACAGAAAAAGGCTGAGAACTGTGAGTTAGAACTAGGAGTTAAGTCTAGTTGTTTGTTTTAATTTAAATTTTGTAAAAAATTGTGTACTAACCTTGTATTTTAAGTTAAAACACTTATATTGAAGAAGTAAACACCCTTGGTTCTGAATTTTAATTAGAAGTATCAGTATAAACTCATGAGGTATCTTATCTTTAAAAAGATCAATATATTTCCCAGCTCTGCCCCCAGAAAAGACCTAGAAACAACAGTCATCCCAGTACAATGAGCATTCCTAGTGCACACAAATACCAGTTCCACTTCCAACACAAGAAACTAGGACTTCCTGGAGAAATGGCTGATTCCAGGTCTGGGGCACAGAACCTTCAAGAGGAACCTAGAACATCTCATCATTCCAGATAGAGAGGAAGCTCGTAAGACTCTGGAGTCAAGCCAAAGAGTGCAGGATTTGAGCTTCAGCAAGGATAACTGCAATTAACTGAAACCAATCAAGAATGTTCAAATCTAAGGGGCCATAATAATACTTCAAAAACAAACAACTGGCCGGGCACGGTGGCTCACGCCTATACTCCCAGCACTTTGGGAGGCCAAGGCGGGTGGATCACTTGAGGCCAGGAGTTCAAGACCAGCCTGGCCAACATGGTGAAACCCTGTCTCTACTAAAAATACAAAAATTAGCCGGGTGTGTTGGTACGTGCCTGTAATCCCAGCTACTCGGGCGACTGAGGCATGAGAATCTCCTGAACCTGGGAGGTGAAAGTTTCAGTGAGCCGAGATCACATCACTATACTCCAGCCCAGGTGACAGTAAGACTCCATCTCCAAAAATAAAAAATAAAAGTAAAAAATAATGCAAAAAACCATGCTGTAGTGTTTAATGACACACACTTGGATGATAAAACTATAAAGGAAAGTAAGGCAGTATGCCCATAAAAAGTGCCATAAAAAAAGGAATACTAGGCAAAGGGCTTCCTCTTAGGGAGGAGAGAGGGGTCTGTGAGAGAGGAGGGAGAGGTGGAGGACTTCTGGTGGCCAGCAAGGTTCTAGTTCCTGACATAGGTCATGAGTAGAAAGGCATTTTCTTTATAATAATTCATTAAACTAGGCCAGGCTTGGTGGCCCACGCCTGTAATCACAGCACTTTGGGAAGCCGAGATGGGAGGATCACTTGAGGCTGGAGTTTAAGACCAGTCCAGGCAACACAGTGAGACCTCATCTCTGCAAAAAATTTAAAAATTAGGCCGGGTGTGGTGGCTCACGCCTGTAATCCCAGCACTTTGGGAGGCCAAGGTGGGTGGATCACTTGAGGTCAGGAGTTCAAGACCAGCCTGGCCAACATGGCAAAACCCCATCTCAAATTACAAAAATTAGCTGGGTGTGGTGGTGTATGCCTGTAGTCCCAGCTACTCAGGAGGCTCAGGCAGGAGAATCGCTTGAACCCAGGAGGCAGAGGGTGCAGTGAGCCAGGATTGCACCACTGCACTCCAGCCTGAGAGACCAAGTGAGACTCTATGTCAATAAATAAATAAATAAATAAAAATAAATTTAAAAATTAGCTGGGTGTGATGAGGCAGGCCCATAGTCCAAGGTACTTGGGAAGCTGAGTTGGGAGGATCGCTTGAGCCCAGGAATTTGAGGCTGCAGTGAACTATGATCAGGCCATTGCACTCCAGTCTGCGTGACAGAGCAAGATCCTGTCTCTAAAAAAACATAATAACAATAGTAATTCAGTAACCTGAACATATGTTTAATATGCTTTTATGTATTTGTGTTCTACTGAGCAATAAAAGTTTTCAACTTGAATTAATGGCCTCATAGGAAGCATATGTCACAAAACTTAAACCATCGCCAATTATATAAAACTTGGCATCTTCCCCTGATCCTTAACAAGGCAGATATAAACATTTTTGTGGATGTTCCCTAGTGTGTATCGATAATTTCATGAAAAGTTACTTAACATTATTTTCAATAAGCCTTTCCATGCAGCAGTCTAGTTTAACATTTTTAATGACTACCATGTGAAAACTGCCTGTGTGTGCTTCACCAACGGTTTTTCTGTGACTTGCTTTCAATTGCCTGCCATGACGAAATGAACTTCTAGAAATACCTTTATGCATTTTTCCCCTTTGGGTCATTTCTCTGGAGATAGTCTTTTAAAAGTGGAATTATTCCATCTAGGAATTTGAAGTTTTATGTGCTCTGGGAAGATCACACCATTTTTTTATGGACAGCAAAACAAGATATACTGTTGTAGCTGGGATCTTTAGATGCCTCTCTTGCTACCTGCCCCAAAGTTCCCTTTATCCCCTTCTGGGGACCCTGGACTCCCACTGCAGCCTCCGCTCTTAATATTCTGGTTCTGATCAATGATTTCTGCCTTCTTTCTGTAACCCAGCCCCACCTTATCATTCATTTTTCCTCACGGATTGCTGTTTTCCCTCATATCTGAGCCCCGATCTTGATCATCTGCCTGGACCCCAGCAGCTCTGACACTGGGTTCTTCCCTGAATCTCAACTCAGTATGTGAGGATGTGCTCTCTGTCCCCGACCTATGCAAGAATATTAACCTCGGCATCAACACCAGCGCTGGTACCCCTGCCGCCACCACTAGCAACTCAAGTGCCAACTCCAACATGAACGAGAGCCGTCTGCCTGCCTGGGTCTCTGGCCCCAGGCTCCCTTCACCCCACGAGCACCACTTCTCTTCCCTGGCCCCTTGGACCCAGACTGCCTGCCGCTGGCTCTCCCCCATGACTCAGTTCTTGTTCCAACTCAGAGAGCCCCTGGGATTTGTCCACACTAAAAGCTGAGCTCCGGCTCGTACAATCCGTGCAGGGACTAAGGAGTGGCAGGGATGTTTGTGTGCTGTTTCTGGAAAGAGGATGAGAAGGTGATGTCAAAGGTAGGGGAAGAAGAAAAAAGGCAAAAGAAGAAAAATAAAAGGAAAGGAAGAAGGAGGAGAACCACAGGGTAGAAATGTGGGAATTGTGTTCTATTATTTTTTGACTTCTTAAGCTTGTCCAAGTGAAGCCAAGCAAAGAACATAAAGCACTGTCATGTTCCATTTTTTGTTTGTTTGTTTTTGAGACACAGTTTCACTCTGTCACCCAGGCTGGAGTGCAGTGGTGCAAACTCAGCTCACTGCAAACTCCACCTCCCGGGTTCAAGCAATTCTCTTGCCTCAGCCTCCCGAGTAGCTGGGATTACAGGCGCCTGCCACCAAACACAGCTAATTTTTATATTTTTAGTAGAGACGGGTTTCATGGCAGTTTGCCATGACGGGTAAGACCATGTTGGCTAGGCTGGTCTTAAACTCCTGGCCTCAAGTGATCCTCCCGCCTTGGCCTCCCAAAGTGCTGGGATTATAGGTGTGAGCCTCTGTGCCCAGCCTCATGTTCCATTTTGTTGGGTTTAAATCGCCTTTGGAGAGAGCCTCTCAGGTGACCCCATCAAACATGCCCCGCACCACCCTTCTTCACTCTGTGTCCTCATCCAGAACTCTGTGCCCGTCAACAGATTCCATTTCATGTACGCTTAGTCCCTTGGACATCAGCTTGTCCCCCAGGAGAGACGTGAGAGGAGAACATTGCACCTTGGGGTTTCCCTGGCCTCTGCCGCGGGGAGGTCCCCGAGTGCACTGCTTAGTTACCTGTGAGGGCAACCAGGTGTGGCAGGCAGAGGCGGTTGGCTAGAATGATGAGCTTCATGTCATCCAGGTCGGGGCTGGAGGTGAACATGCCGGTGTAGAGGTATTCCAGCACGGCCCGCATGCAGCTCTTGCTTGTGTAGGGAAACACCACCTGGGGAGGGAAGGAGTGAGCGGACAGCAATGAGATCCTGCTTAGGAGAAGATGAACTGAACCCTGAGAAATTGAAGAGCTCTGGCCCTCACACCCAGGCTCCCCCAGACGGGCAGCCTTCCCTGTGCTGCATGTGTATCTGCTGAGAAGACCCTGAGAACACCTGACCCCTAGAGCGACAACCTGTGCTGAGCCCCAGTTTGCTGACAGCACCAGAGTACAGGCCTCTACTATCATTTATGTGTTTATTTTTAGAAACAGCGTCTTGTTATGCCATCCAGGATGGTCTTGAACTCCTGGTCTTAAGCATTCCTCCTGCCTCAGCCTCCTCAGTAGCTGGGACTATAGGCACAAGCCATGGCGTCCAGCTTCTAAACTCTTCCAAAGGGACCCAGATACTACTCACTGGCACCCTTTGGAAGCCGCTCTTGCTCGCGGGATGCTTGAAGGAGGCCTTCTGGTCACCTCAATCTACACCTCAGTCCCTCCCATCCCTGCACAGAACAGAAGTGGGATACAGAATAAGTAAGGCCCACAGCAGCTGATTTCTTTCTGTCTGCTCAGAGCTGCTGCTTTGGGCCTCCAGGATCTCTTGAGAGCAGCGCTGCAACACAAACTGCCTTCTCATCAGGCTCTCCAGGCTGTGCTGGGAACTGGCTAGAAGTTTAAAGCTGGCGTCTACAGTACCGAGAAGTGCCCGGGGCTGGCAGGCCCCTGGGGCTTGTGAGAGCTCCTAGTCTCACATTTTGTATATCCAAATCCTACTCCCACTTCAGAGACCAACTCCCAACGCTTCCACTTAGCCTTCCTTAAGTACTTCCTTCCCAGAAATCTTAGAAAATGCACATTCCACATCACGGGATGCGATGCAGCCCAGCCTCGTGCTTGGTTCTGTTTTTCATTCAAGCATTTGGTGAGCATTTCCCAAGAGACTGGCGCTGAGAGGGTTTTTGGCAGAAGGAAAAAGACCCAGTCCCTGCGCTCAGAAGCAGTTACAGAACAGTAGGGGAAACGGTGTGGACGTTCAGAACTCCACGCGCCTGCACAAAGTCGAACCTCGTTAACTACAAGGTTCGACGACACTCAGTGATGGGCAATTGAGGTCCAGGAGTTCAGAGCACACCAAGGGCTACTGCCCAGGCTACTCTGCTTGGAATGGAAAAGAGACCAAACCTAAGAGAATATTTCTAAGGACACATTGATAGGCTTCTTCCAACCCTAAGTTTCCAATCTAGGTGAGTGAGAAAGTGGTGGCATCGTGAGAGCTAGAGGGTCACTGATTAGAGAGGCAGGTGGTTCTATTAAGTATGCTTTTCCTTCCCTTCCTCCCTCCCTCCCTCCCTTCCTTCTTTTCTCTCTCTCTCTCTTTTTTTCTTTTTTTCTGTAGAGATGGTGTCTGTGTTTCCCAGGCAGGTCTCAAACTCCTGGGCTCAGGCAATCCTCCCACCTCAGCCCCTCAAAGTGCTGGGATTACAGGTGTAAGCCACCCCCTACACCTATTTTCTGTATTTTGTTGCTTTGACAACTAAAGCCTTGCTGGCCCTATAGGGACTGCCTCCCTCAGGGCTGGCCAAGTCCTAGGGATAGTGAAGGAGTTGCCTGCAAGTGTGCCTTTCATATGCAAACCAACCAATCCAGAGCCCACAGCCCACTACCTCCCCTATGGGCCCTCACACTCCAGGCCACTGTTCCCCTGCCCTAATCCCCCTAGAGCCAGGTGACAGACAACTAGAGACAGCATCCAGGCCCCAGAGCCGGCTAACATTATTCAAACAGCTAATCCTAAACCTGCTCAACCTGCCTCGCCCATTCCCTCCCACAGAAACCCTCTGCCTCCTGATTGACCCCAGAGCTTCCCCATGTGACCCCAGCCATGGTGCTGTGGCATGCCCCCTTTTCTTGGGATCTGTAACAAGTTGTCTTATCAATGACAGCCATCTTGCAATCTGTGGGCCTCTCTACACCTCAATAATAATAAAACCTATCTTTTAAAACAGTGATGCATTCAGTTGTTTCAAGTGTGTCAGGGAGGCAGTAAGGTACAAAGTAAAGAGCCAAGGAATGGAAGTCCTGAGTTCAAGTCCTAACTCTACTTCCAACTTCATACAAGTCACTTAACTTCTCAGGGGCTCCCTTTCCTAGATATACGGCAGGAGTGGCACATGTGTACGTTGCGTGTGAATTTAATGAGATAATGAACAGAAAGTGCTTTCTAAACTCTCAAGTTGAGGTGTCAGTGTAATTCCCTTTCCTGGTGTATTGTATAATCCTTAGCTCCAAGAACCACCTCATAAACCTCTCTTGGGCCCATCACCCTGTGGTTAGCACACAGTCAGTGAAGAAAGTACCCTGAGTGGCAGTGCCTCAGATGTAAAGGGTGCAAATGTCTCACTCCCTCCTTCCCCCCTTTGTGTCCTCAGCCTTACCTCCCGGGTGGAGCTCTCCACAAATGGCCCCCCAAACATGGCAGCCATCCAGTCACAGCTGGAAATCAACAGGGGCTTGTGGGCGCTGATGGTGCCATCATCCAGGATGAAGGTCACATCTGTCCAGAAGAAGCATCACAGGAGGACTGGTGAAAGAAGCTGGGAGAACAAGCCCCAAGGGGAGCCACGGAGCCTCCTCCTGAACCCAGAAGATTCGGGGCACGGAACAAACCCGCTCCCAGCTGGGGAAAACCAGGCTTCAAGAGCATGGCAGCCGCAGCTCCAGGACACCAGGAGCTGAGACAGACAGGCAATGCTAATAGCACCAATGCAGAACCCCCTTGCTTTCCAAGCCTGTTCCATACCTGAGAAGGTGCCTTTTGCCAAGCACTCCTTAACCCGGTTGGTCCGGCGGACGTGGAAGGCCTTGGTGATCTCCTGGTTCATGAAGGCCTCATTGTTGAGAATGTTGGCCACCATCATGCGCAGATCAAAGACCTCGAGCAGCTCAGCAATGTGGGCAATGTGCATGAGGTCACGCTCGTTCTCATCTAGCTCCCCCGTGTACAGGTACTTGAGGACAGCCCGGAAGGGCCCCGGCTGGATGGAACTGTCCATCTTCACCACCACCATCAGCCGGGATTTGTAGGTGAGAGGATCTTCTGCCATCTCTTCCTGGATGCTCACAAAAGCTCGGCTCCAGGAAGACAGCACACGACCCCTGCCCGGTAGGTACCCTGTTCCGTTGCCCCGTAAGATCCCGTCGCTGGTGGAAGCACGGAGGCCAGCAGGACCGGAGCCCCCAGCCTCATCCACGCTCTCGCACACGTCAAAGCTGGCTGCTCGGAGCAGGAAGTCTCGCCCATGGTGGTGGTGGTGATGGTGGTGGTGTTGATCAGAGTGGCCCTGGTGGTCCTCTGGGTGGGTGCCCCCTGGCTCCGAGGGGCCCCCCAGCTCCCCCTCACTCAGGTCCATGAGGAACAGGTCATAGAACTTGGAGGAAGAGGTGGAGAGGTAGATCTTGTGGGCAAAGATGCGCACCCGCTCCTGCAGCACCAGGATGACGTCCGCGCAGAGCGGGTCCTCCAGGAGGTGGGCGGGGCACTCCTCGCTGCTGGAGGGAGGGTCGGGCACCACGATGATCGGGGGCGGTGGCTTGGGGGGTAGGAAGGGTGCCTGCAGCAGAGGCCGCTGCACATTGCGGAGGTGGGACTTCCAGAACTGCAGGTGGCGGCGGGAGATGAGTGCAGCTCGGATGGCGTTGTCAAAGACGTCCTTGATGCCGAACTGGGCCACCACGCTGGTCTCATAGTAGGGGATGCCCAGCTCCTTGGCCACCTCCCGACCCTTCTCTGGGGGCAGGATTTCATTAGGTTTGATGGGCCTGGTAGGTTCAAGAAGGAAACCAAGCTTGTGTTGGTGGTGGAGGGAGGCTGCCTGTTCTTCCACAGGCTGGAGGGACTCTGCTCAGGATCTGGGTGCCAATCCCCACCCACTCCTGCCCTGCTCTGTCTGGCCAAATCCCATCAAGCTCCTTCAAGGTCCACTCCAAGCCCTTTTTCTTCCAGAAAGCTTTCCCTACTATGCCAGGCCCCAGTGACCTCCCCAGTACAAAGCCGTGACAGCACTGCCTCTCTGGCAATTAGCAGGCAATGCTTCACATGGGTATTTAACATGCTCACATATTTAGTTTATCCCTCAGCAAAATTATAGGACTTTTTCATGCAAATATCACCTCTTCCTCTCTATTTTTCTTCATGATGCTTTACATAGCACTGCCCACACCAGAGGTGTGCAACAGGTATATGAATGAATGAATGAATGAGCATGCTTGTTGACTCCCAATGCAAGCTTGCTCCAAATGGAGGGAGAGATATGAGGCTCAGTGGAATTCCCCCAGGGCTGAGCAGGGAGCCATGGTGAGGCACCCATCCATGTCTGTCTCCTTGGTACCAGCACCTCCTACCTAGCCAAGGGTCGCCTAGCCCTGTTGACAGCCTCCAGGTCAGCGTAGCGCAGGTCCAACTGGCAGCCCACCAAGATGACAGGTGCTCGGGGGCAGAAGTGCTTGATTTCTGGGTACCACATGGTCTTGACATGGTGGAGGGAATTGGGGTTGGCAATGGAGAAGCACAGAACCACCACATCAGATCTGCGGGTGGGAAAGTAAGGTTACGGGCAGAGAAACAAGTGGTAGCTTACCTGGTCCTGGAACATCTGCCCCACCCCAGCCCTGTACAGTCCCACACCTGGCTTAGGTATCTGCTCACGTGCTCTTGACACAAAACATATAATCACAATACCTCCAATTTATGTGCCACTTTAGAGCTCAAGACTTGTTTTGGCCTCACAGCTATTTTGTGAGTTAGAAATGGCTGTTTTCACCACTTCACAGCTGAGAAACATCATCTCAGAGCTACTAGGCACAGAGCTGGAACTCAATCCAGGCTTCCTGATCCCGGACCCAGGCTCCCTTCACTGCACCAGGCTGCCCCAGCCCCCATGAGGCTCTGCCAGAGCTGTTTTCTCCACTTCTTCTTGCCAGCTGAAATTTCACAGAGGTGCTTTGTTCCTGGGAAAAGCAGGGAAAAACCCACCCTGTTGGTTCTCTGCAGGCGGCTAGAGGCCTTCCCTACCTCCCATAAGCAAAGCGACGGTCTTTGTGGTGGTCTCCAAAGGTGTCCCAGAGGCGCAGAGAGACGCTGACATCATCTACCACGTCTCGGGAGCGTTCCAGCACCTGGGGACGGGGAGGAAGAGTGGGACTCGAAGGCAGCAGTTTTGGGGACCTCTGCGTGCCACCTCAGGATAAGCGCCGGCTGACACCTGGGGGCCCCAGACATCACTGGGCATGGAGGGACAAGGCTGGCATCGCCCACTGTGCACCCTGCACAACTTTCATCCACGTAAAATCTCTGTAGAATCTATAACAAGGGTGGCCTCCAAGCTGACCAGGAGTGGAAGAGACCCTAAGCAGGTGGAAGAGACACTAAGAGGGTAGCAGAGACCCTAAGGGGGTGGAAGAGACCCTAAGGGACTGCTATGGGTGTGGAAGGGGCCTCTTTGGGAGCTGACCCTTGTTCCTGGCTTTCCTTGCAAACTGCATGTTTGTGAGCCTCTGGTCTTTTGCTATCAGCTGCCAGCTTCTTTGCTCCTCTCAGCTTGTATCTCTTCCAAGCCCCAGCCCTCCAGTGCTCCCCATTACTTAAGGCTGTGACTACATACAATGCGGTACCCCAGACAAAGATGGAGTCCCAGGCACCAGCTCAGTCCCTGAAAACACAACCAGCCAGAGACACTTCCCTGGGGCAGACTTGGCTTAAACCTCTCTCCAGGGGCTCCTTCCTCTTCAGCTGCCCCCAACCCATCCTGTCCCACCCCTAGAGGGCTCCCGTGAGCTCTGGAGACACCAAGCTATGCCTCAGGAAGCCCCCAAGCCCAGACTCATGGCGTGGACCCCCAGCCAGGTAGTCCTGCAGCCTTACCTCCTGGCACACACGATATTGGTCGATGGCCCATACTGTGGGCACATGCGTGGCCAGCAGCTGGTACTGGGTGAGGGTGGCATTGCAAGCGCGGGCACAGATGAGCCTGGTCTTACCCACGGCGTTGTCCCCCACCACAACGCACTTGATGGTCTCTACGTTTGGCCTTTCATAATCCATGTCAGAATCCATTAAACGGGACCTGAGGGAGAGGAGGGAGGCGGTCAGGACGGCATGGCATGCCAGCTCGCCGTGGGCCAGGGCCAGCACCCGCAGCTCTCCTCAGCCAGGCTGCCCCCTCTGCAAGCCCCGGAGCTGACAGGAGGAGGAAGGAGTGGGCAACGTTCTGGGCAAGAGCTCTGCGAGGGTCCAAGGGGCCAGGAGCCCATTCAGGCTGAGAGGAGCAGTGTCACCAGATGGGCCACCTGTCCCCTTCCTGCTCCCACGATCCTCCAGCTGTGCGTCTGGATGAAGGAGACCTACGCGAGATCACCAGTGGAGCTTGCCGAGGCCCTGCCCTGTCCCCTCTCCAGAGAGGGCAGCTCACTCATCTGCTCTCCTCCTCCTTCCCCGGCAGAGCAGTGGCAGCAGAACAACAAACAGCTGAGAGAAGCAGAGTCGGCCACGTCCCCACCCCTTCCCAGCATGCCTGAGGGCAGGGCACTTTAAAATTTAATGGACTTGTCAGAACTGGGCAGCAGCTCTCCTGGCCTCCACTCTTTCCCTTGCCCTCTCTGGTGGTGGTGGATTTCCAAGCCCTAGCCTGCCTAAGTGCATGCTTCAACCCCAGACCCCAGTCCCCTTTATGGAGATGCAAGAGTTTTTCCTCCCAGCCTCTCTAGGATGGGGAGGTTCCTGGATGCACCTGACCAGCCCAGGGGCCTCCCTTTCTCTATTCGGGGTCTGTCCTGTTGCCCATGTGTCATGCTCAGCTACAGGTCCAGCTTTCAGATGCGGGTGAGGGGAACCACAGGCCTATGATGATACAGTCAGTGGCCAATGGGCCTCTACTTCCCCTACGGGGGGCTGTCCTCCCAGCACCCTGCCCCCAGCGTCAGAGAGTGAGATCCACCTCCACCCTCTTCTGCCCTTCCCATTCCTAGGGAGGATGATCCTCAGGCTGAAGATCCCAGGCAGCTGGCACTCCTAGGTGATGTTCACTAAACTGGCTACATGGGCGATGGGATTGCCAGAAAGCAAAAGATCAGAAATTTGAGCCTGAATTTCTGGGCAAATGCTTGCCTCAGTTGCCTTCGATGTTGAGCAGAGAGGAAGTGGCTTGTCCACCCCCAGAGAGGGATGGCTTGAATGAACAAACAGAAGGCACTTCTGTAGTCAGATGTCATGTTCGTGTTTAAAAATCTGTCGCCAGGAGGCCCTGGCCTCGGCATCCACCCTCCTGGGATTAGGGAGCAGGGGCAGGGCCAGCGTGATTAGGACGCTTGGTTTCGCCAGCGTCATCTGCCCGCCCCACTCACATTCCTGTGTGTATGAAAGTCGTCTGGGGGGGCTTTAGCAGCCCGGAGTCATCCCTCCTAGGCTAAGGAAGGCTGAGCTCTGAGTGCTGGAGGCTGCCCAGGCACCCTGGCTGCTGAGCCATCCAGCCCAGAGCCAGGCCACCAGCAACAACAGGGAGGCTCCATTCCTGCTGGGCTGTAACTGGATGCCAGCATGCAGGGATGCAGACCGAAATATCCAAGTAACGATAGCAACTGGGATCCGTGCGAGTGGATGCATCTCAGCAACCTAAGCAAAAAGTGCAGCAAGGACTTCTCAATGAGACAACCTCCTCCGCCTTTTTGGAATGTTACAGGATCTGGACCCTTCAACGAGGTCTCCATGCAGTGCCCTCATGGTCTCCAGGGCAACTGTACCACCCCTTCTCTCTCCTAACCCTCCCTCAGCAGACAACCGTTTTTTGTTTTTGTATTTTTTTGAGACGGAGTTTTGCGCTTGACACCCAGGCTGGAGTGCAGTGGCATGATCTCGGCTCACTGCAGCCTCTGCCTCCTGGGTTCAAGTGATTCTCCTGCCTCAGCCTCCCAGGTAGCTGGGATTACAGGTGTGTGCCACTATGCCGGCTAATTTTGTATTTTTAGTAGATACGGGGTTTCGCCATGTTGGTCAGGCTGGTCTTAAACTCCTGACCTCAAGTGATCTGCCCGCCTTGGCCTCCCAAAGTGCTGGGATTACAGGCGTGAGCCACCACACCTGGCCCAGAGAACTGTTAAGAACTGTTATTCTAACCACAGGCTTCCTCCTCCCAATTCTCTCTCCTGAACTGAGGACCGGGAACCCCACTTTGACAGTTCCTGATCTCAAGTTGAGGAATGTGCTGGCGCCAGGAGGCAGCATCTGGGCTGTGGTTTCTGTTTTGTCGAGTGAATACCAAAACAGATATAATCCCAAATACAAAATATGTGCAGCTGGAGGATAAAGATTAAAACCCAAGAGCCAAAAGAACTTCTTTCTCAAGTTCCGATTCTCCCAGCATGTAGGTCTGTAGACAGAAGCGGGGGAATGAGGAGGCCTAATGGAGGGATGCCAGTTCTCAAATTCAGGAGCACCTTGACAGTGAGAATAATGCCAGAACACCAGCAGAGCAGTGCTGGGCCAAGTTCAGCTACTTTGTGATGAAAACACTGCTGCCCACCTGTGCTATGTCACCTCTAGAGTTAAGCAGTGGTCAGCCAATCAACAAGTGGAAATTGACAAATACTGTGCCATGAGTTTAGACATCAGACCTTCTGGGTTGCGCAACCCCTTCCATCCATTCCCCAGCCCCTTCAGCAGTCCCCTTGTCCTTCAGCTGCCTCTCTGTTTGTATCATCTCACCCTTTCTACCCTGTCCCAACTGCCTGACTGGCAAACTTCACTGTCCTATCTAGGAAGAGGCAAGTCACTTATATTTTCTGGGCATCAGTCTCCCCCTCTGGGAAATGGGTATGAAGACATTGGAAGAGTCTCCTGAACCGTGGTTAATTTGTGCCAAGAGAGGCTGGGCTGAAAGGAGGTATTTGTCTTCTTATGTAATGTGGTATTATATAATGCTAGATTGCATATCTATATGTGTAATTATATCTGTCTTTAAGATACAGACTGGCCCAATTCAAGTGTTAGAACTCTTAGTCTAATCAGGCCTGTCTTAAAGGAGGATCCTGTCCTGGAGAGAGTGTGCCAAGAGTAATATAATTTTTGCCCTAGGATGTTGCTGATGTTGTATCATTGCTGATGTATGGTGATACAGCCCACTCATTGCTGATATATGGTGATACAGCCCATTCAGTGAGCCTCTCAGCTTCCCCTCTCCCTCCGGCTCTCTCTTCTTCCCTGACTCCAGACTCTCCCTCACAATTGCCTCATCCCCACTCAATCAACCTCCATAAACTATGACCTCCTCACCACCCAGCCCTGGGCATCACAACCCCCAACTCACTCCTCTTCCATGACAATCGCAAAGTCACTGGCATGTGTTCCTTCCATCCCTGTCCCATGATCCCTGTGCCCCTCCAAAAACAGCCTCCTGCCCACCGCTCTCCCAGCTCTTTGTACTTGGTGCAAGCCAAAACCCAAGGTGTGCTGAAATTAGCTACAAACCTCGTGCTCTCCCAGTCCCACCCCCACACCCCTACACACACTCTTTGCAGAGCTCAGAAAGGGCCCCTTTCCCTCCCACAGCTGATAGGAGGCTTGTTCATCTGTGGCTGCCCTAGTCTGGTTGTCAAGGAAACAACAGAATCTCCCTGGGAGCCTGGCTTGTCTCCTAGCAACCAGTATCCCACATCATCTTACAAAATGGGAATGGGAGGAAAATCCTGAAAATGAAGGTAAAATCAAGGGAGATGGATTGAATGGAGAATTGGAAGGAGAAGAACAAAGAGAGAGTGGACTCCTAATTCGGGGAGGCTCCCACGGGGGTCGCTGGCATTGCAAGAAGCCCCGTGCAGATCCAACAGAAAGCAAGGCCCAAAGGGACCCTGAATGGTCAGATTAAAGAAATGCAAGCCTAAACACAGATAAGCCCCCTCAAACCTAAAATGTGGACACATCACCAAACACCGCCAAAGATCTCCCCAGTAGTTTCACAGAACTCAGTTACATAGACTGCAATGGAGTTGAGTTCAAAGAACCAGCTCCGGAACCGCCAGCAAAACACCCCAATTCCACTGTTGTTTTGTGTTTGTTTTCTTAACAGAATCACTCCCACCACTCTGGACCGTTTTTCCTTTTTTCTGACACGCTACTCTGCACACACACAAAATAGAAATTTAAAAATTTTTAAACATCGAGAAGGGGGAGGGGCACGACAGGCCGAAGCAATCAAGTCATCTTCCTTTCCCTAGAAACACCGGAAAGGATTAGGCTCCAGCCCCGCTGTACCCAGCAGCCGAAGCCAGAGCCCAGGGACTAGCGGGGCCCGGGGAACGTAGCGAGGGGCGCGGCAGGGCAGGGAGGGCGGAGCGGCGCGTCTGCAAGGGCTGCTGGCCACCCCGCCATAACCGCAAGCAGCCATCTACTTACACCACTACATGTGACGGGGTGGCTTCTAGCGTGAGGAACACATCTCTTCCTGCTGAGCACGCTCATTTTAGTGAAATGTCAGGGGTCCCTCCGCGCCTGCAAGTTGGGACGACGCCGGCGCCGCCGCGCTGCTGCTGGGCTCCAGCCTCCCGGCCAGCTCGCGGCCACTCAGAAACTCCGGCAGGGCAGCCCAGGCCGGACGTGGGCCCAGGAGCGGACGCGCGCGCTGCACTGCAGCCGCTGCCCCTTCCGGATCAGCATCGCCCCGCGCGCCAGGCGCCCAATGTCACGGCGGCGCGCGGAGCCGGGCTGCGGAGGCAGCGGGCGGCGCGCAGGGGCGCCGGGAGAGGGGCGAGGCCGCCGCCGCTACGCGCCCGGGCCCGCGGCGAAGGCGCTGCCGCGAAGACGCCTGGCGCTGCAGTCCCAGGTACCGCTCGCGACCTCCTTTTTTCATTCACAAAAAAAGGATAGGGAAAAAAAAAAGAAAAGAAAAAAACGGGAGGGTAAAAAAAGGAGGAGAAAAAAATCGCACCCAAGACGACAGCCGTGACGGGCCCCGCCCACTGCCGCGCGCAGTTGGTGGAAAGCGTTCGGGGGGCGGGGAGGGGGCGGGCGGGGGAAGAAGGGGATTGGACGCCCCGCAGATCCCGCCTCGCAGCACCGCTCCCGCCCACCGCCCGCGCTCTTCCGCCCCTCCCGCAGCGACGCCGCGGGGAGGGTCTCGGCTCGCGGGTCTGGGTGGCGCCGGTCCCTCCACCTGGCGAGGCGCAAAGGCTCTCCGGACGCCCACGGGGTTTTCCCCTTTCCTTCGGGAGGCGGGGGAGAACCTCTGAGAGGCATCCTAGTGCACCCTGGAAGGGATGCTAGTTGGAGGAGAACGTGTGGTTGTAAGCCCAGGCCCCCACCACTTGCCCACGGGGAGGCGACGGCAGGGGCAGTCGGGGGGGCGGGGGGCGGGGGCCGGGTAGGGACGAATAACCGGCGTTTCCATACAAGCCCTCTGCTGCTTTGGGAATTTTCGTGGCACTTGAGAGCCTTCCTCCCTCCATGGCCCTTAATGAGTTGTGGGGTGGGTACCTGTACCACGTTACCTGTCTCCCACCTAGGCCTTCTTCAGCGGGTCCCCACCTCCATCCCATCCCCCTCCTGTTGCCTCCTGGAGTTCAGTAATAGCTGCTAATCTCTGAAAGAAACACCATGAAGTGAGTAGCCTCGAAAATCGTCCCTAAGCCTTCTTTGGGTTTTCTGCCTCAATTTACCCCTCTGTAAAATAGAGAGATTCTAAGGTATAACATCTATAACCTGAGGGGTCCCTAGAAGACACTTTCCATATTCAAGGCTGGTTTTATCAGGATAATCTTTTTTTTTTTTTTTTTTTTTTGAGTCTCCCTCTGTTGCCCAGGCTGGAGTGCAGTGGTGCAATCTTGGTTCACTGCAACCTCCGCCTCTTGGGTTCAAGCAGTTCTGCCTCAGCCTCCCGAGTAGCTGGGACTACAAGTGCACGCCACTATTCCCAGCTAATTTATGTATTTTTGGTAGAGACGGGGTTTCACCACCTTGGCCAGGCTGGTCTCGAACTCCTGACCTCGGGTGATCTGCCTGCCTTGGCCTCCCAAAGTACTAGGATTACAGGCGTGAGCCACCATGCCCAGCCAGGATGATCTTGACTGCTAGTGTTAAGTAGTCAGCTCAGTCTGGTTTGATTCATCTCCTCAGTTACCTCTGGACAATTTTTAAAGCCCAGACCAGCCTGCCACCCACCTGAACCGCCTCCACCACTCCTCCATCTTGTGCTCTGAAAATGCAAATCCACTCTAATATTAGTTTATGCAAAATATGATTAGGAAGAGAAATTTACTGCCAAAAGAAAGCCGGGTTAAAAATGAATTTTGTGTTGTCTGAAGCATGCTTCTCATCTGTGAATGCATATACTTGGAAGCTGTCCCTCAAGGTGTTTGTGATCAACGTGCCTACCTACCTGGTCAATGTACAGGAAGTGCTCGGTTGTTGGAGGATGCTTCTCCCACCCCTTTCTCAATCTACTCAGAGCTAGCCAAGAGGTTAACAATGACTGACAGTGCTACTTACTTCTCATTTCTGGTTAGAACTCACCCTCCATAAACCAGAAAGTACTTATTTGAATACATATTTAGGAGAGAAAGTAAACCATGCTCACACATGTTCTTCCTCCACATGTTTGGCATTGAAGAGACTTACCCCATCTTCTGTGTGCCAAAGAGCCCCTGCGCCAGAGAAAATCATAACTTGAGATCTCTGCATGATTCCCACGGCAGGCCAGGGTCTCTCCCACGGACACCCTGTTCCCTCCACCCACCTCCAGAGACCAGCTGAATGCCAGATGCCAGTTGACATCACCTTTCACCTGTCCTGGCAGGACCATAGCCCCTGTGGAGCAAGGAGTAGGAAGACAGAACTCCCGTCCACCCAAAGTCATGAAGCAGGAGAGGGTGGCTGCTCGGACTGTAAGCTAGAGCCAATGCCCTTTCTGCCTTGGGAGAAAAAGCCAGCTCAGCCTGGAAGCCTCAACCAGGCTGGACTGTGTGAATTCCAAGGTGTAGTGTTGATTGGGGTGGAAGGGTCTTGGACAAAAATGTGGGTGTCAAATGAAATTGCACCCCCACAGCCCCCGCCCCGCCCCGCTCACACTCAGTGAACTGTTTCAGGCAGAGGCAGGAGCTTTGCTGGGGAGGTTCCCTCAATTCCCAGCCCTGCTTTTTGCATGCAGTTCCCTCTTTCAGCCTTTCTCCAAATCAAAGTCCTTCCCCATCATTTCACCTCTAGGGCTGTCATGGTTGGCGCCCCAATCAGTTCCCTCTTATCATCAGAGTTCCTCCAAGTCCCCACCTTCTCCTACCAGTGCCCCCCAGCCCATCCTCTGCAGCCCCTTGTCACTGTCAAGCCGCCCCATCCATGTCCCACCCTAGGCCGTCTGGGGACCTCTGCAGACCTCCTCCTCAGGCCAGCCTGCGAGGAGCTCCAGCGGTTCACTACTCACAGCTCAGATGGCAGCATTCCCCACGCTGTATGAGGGGCAGACCACTAGCAAGCTGCAGCCGCCGGCCTGTGCCCCAGTTGTGGCTAAAACCAGGCCTCTTCCCAGCCAGCCCTGGCCAGGACTGCCCCGGGACCCCCACTCTGCTATTCAAGACAGCCTCCAGCCCCTGGTACCCCAGCTGAGGATCTGGCACGTCCCTTCATCTTTGCCCATCTCTCCAATGCCAGATCCTGGAAAACAGGGCCACTCCCAGAGGCCAGGCTTCCCCACCAGCAAGCAAGGTGCTGTTGGGCCTTCTCATGCCCATCCCTGTCCCCAGCTGTTAGCACCCGGCAGGCAGCAGCGTCTCACAGCACAGGAAGCCTCCCACTCCCTTCACTGCGCCCTCCCACCCCAGGCCCTGAGGAGTCCATTTTCCTCTATTCAGGTGACTTCTCAAGGCAGGCCTGGGTGGGAGACAAAAGCTCCTGGCCTCTTTCTTTCTCTGCCTCCTCCATTCCGTTACATACACAGACACACAGACACACACACACACACACACACACACACACACACACACACACACACACACACACACACACACACACACACACCAGCCCTCTCTGCCCATTTGCTGCAGCTTGGAAACACTGGTGTGATTCCGAGGAGCAGTTCAGCCTGAGCACTGACTCCCCCCATTGCTGGCTTCCCAAATCTGCTTCTGCTGGTGGGTCTGGCAATGTCCTGCCATGTGCCTGGCTGCGTGGCTGTAGCCCAAGGGCTTCCTGGCAGCATGGAGGCAGGTTCCATTCTACAATCTCCTGCCCCTGCCCAACCCCAGCATCTCTTCCCTCACCAAATCCCTCTTGTGACCCACCTCCCCAGTGACATAAACCCCTGGAACCTGTCCCCAGAAGGCACCCCCTCTATGCCTCCCCACACCACCCTCCTCCAGGCCATCACGCGGCTGCTGTTTTCCTGAAGCCGGGCAGATGCCTGCCTGTGAACAGGAGGCTTTTCTGGGGAAAGAGAAACCTCCATCCTGGCTCTTAGCAAAGCGCAGCAGGCTCCCCGGCCAGTCCCACCAGCGTTGCTCTCCCTGTGGCTGTGAAGGCCCCTTCCCAGTGCCAGCCCAACGCAGACCGCCTGGCTCAGTCCATCCTCCAACCTGCACCTTCCCTTTGCTTCACAGGCAGCTTTACCCTTCAACACTTTGCAGGCTACTAACCGCGCTTTCATGGCACCCCTCTCCTGGAACACTACAGCCTCTGCGGAGCCCACCCCATGGGCCTTGTGACATGAGCTCCGCCCCCCATCCCCTGCCATGTGCAGGCTGGGGCACGTGGTGTTCCTACCCTGCAGCTGGGGCAAAGTTCAGAACCAGCCATGAGCAAAAGCAGAGGCATTTCAAGATGCAGAGCCCCAGCAGGGTGAAGGAGCTGAATCTGGAAAGCCTAGAGTCTCTCAGCCTCCCTGTCCAGGCCTTAAGGGACACCATCAGGTCCCCACAAGGATACAGGAAGCTTCTGGGACTTTGCACAAGCAGTTCTTCAGTCCGAACACTCTATTTCTACTCCTTTCACCAGATAAATGTGTACTCATCTTTCAAGTCTCAGCCTAGATATCACTTCCTCCAGCAAGCCTTCCATGAATACTTTCTTACACTTGACAAAGTGTAACTTTCCTGTTCTTCCCCTGTGCTCCCCTAATAATACCAATCACACCAATCTATCATTGGGTTCTTCTCTGTCCTTGATTGTACTGAGAACTCCCTGGGACCGGCAGGGGAGCTTTCGTAAGAGCCAGGATGCAGATTTCTCTTTCCTCAGACAAGGTTCCTGCTCACAGGCCAGGAAGCAACACTATAATGCTTGTTCAGGCCGGGTGTGGTGGCTTATGCCTGTAATCTCAACACTTTGGGAGGCCGAGCTGAGAGAATAGCTTGAGGTTAGGAGTTGGAGACCAGCCTGGGCAATATAATAAGACCCTGTCTCTATTAAAAAAAATTTTTAAAAAAGATAATGCCTATTCGAAAAGGTATTTTGAACCTGGCGCGGTGGCTCATGCCTGTAATCCCAGCACTTTGGGAGGCCAAGGCAGGTGGATCACCTGAGGTCAGGAGTTTGAGACCAGCCTGGCCAACAAGGTGAGTCCCCTTCTCTACTAAAAATACAAAAATTAGCTGGGCGTGGTGGCATGTGCCTGTAATCCCAGCTACTCGGGAGGCTGAGGCAGGAGACTCGCTTAAACCTGGGAGGCAGAGGTTGCAGTGAGCCGAGATCACGCCATTGCACTCCAGTGCAGTGGGTGAAGAGTGAGACTCTGTCTCAAAAAGAAAGGTATTTTTTTTTATGTTGGTCTAGTGCTTGCAGTCTAGTGCTTCAACAAACAATTTGGGAGTTGCTTAATAAATGCTCGATGGATGAATCAATGTTTGGGAAGGGAGAGCACAGTACACAGTAGCTACTCACATGCTGTCTGAAGAGGTCTTCTGGGGGCCATCGGGGCCTTTTCTCCAGGCTTGCATCGCTCTGTGTTCCCTCCAGGCTCCTGGTTGTGAGGAACAGGAGTGGATGGGGCGGGGCAGGGGAGACAGAGGGGAGAAAGGGAATGAGCACACCGCGAATTACTCCAAGGTCGCTCAGCCCAGATAGAGGGCCCTACTCAGGACAAGAGAGCGGCCCCTGATGTCCGGGTCCAGCGCGGGGTGAGACCCCAGCCTGGGGGCCAAGACCAAGGCCACCCAGGGAGTCAAGGGACTAGATGAGAGGCCGAAACTGGGGTCCTGGTGCATCATGTGCCTCAGGCATTTGTGGATACTGAGCTGGTTTGGCGATTTGGAAAAGAGCGGTCAGTCATGCATCGGAGGCCTGGATTCTGCCTGCACAAAGCTGCTTGACACTGGACAATATCCTTCCCTCTCTGGGCCTCACTTTCTCATGGACAAGGGCCAGGTCAGGTGACCTCCAAGACTCATTCTGGCCCTGATATCCTCTGTGCGTGCCCAGCATGGAAGGTCTATATTTTCTTGGTCATTCTTTTCATTGAAACATCTCCTGACCCAAATTGAGACTCAGAAAAAGACCAGCTGATGGCCAGCATGGCTGAGAATGGAAGGAGGAGGTATTTTTTGGAGAGAGAGTGAGGATTAAACACATGGTAAGAGACAGAAAGAGAATCTAATTCTGCAACGTCCCCACCTTCAGTTTCTTTAAATGGTCAGTCACAGTCTTGGGACCAGTTTAGCCAAAGAAAAGTCTAGAATTTCAGGAGAGATTGGAAGTGATCAGGGAAGAGGTTAGAGATGCCAGGCAGACAGCTCTGGAGGTTATTGGCACTGTGTGGTTCAGGGAGGATGGAAGGGCACTTCTGTGACAACCCTTCAGGGGCAGGGAAGCCAGAGAAGCCAAGAGAAGAGGAAGCTCCCAGGAGTGAAAAGAAACCAACGCAGAGGAGCAACCAATGAACTCGGTGCCAACCTTGGAAGTGGCTGTGTGACTTTGAGCAAGAACCTTAATCTCTCTGGTCTCCCTTTGGGGAGATCACATTGTCCCTTACCTGAAGACAGGGGTGGCTACATGGCCTTCTTCCTGTCCCTTCCAGCACTGACACCCTTCTAACTCCTTCTCCACTTGTGCCTGCTCCCCCTCACAGACATAAGCCCCATGCCCTGGGTAAAGGGGGAGCCACCTCCCATTTGTGCCTCTGCCATCTGGGCCGTGTGTGGAGGGCAGACAGCACGGAGAGTAAGGGCCTAATCCCCCAAGATCAAAAAATCCCATGTAGAACCGGATGCAGTGGTGCACGCCTGTAGTCCCAGCTACTCTGGAGGCTGAGGCGGGAGGATCTCTTGAGCCCAGGAGTTCGAGGCTGCAGTGCACTATGATCGTACCACCGTACTGCAGCTTGGGTGACAGAGCAAGAACACATTCTCCCCTCAAAAAAAAAGAAAGAAAAAAAGAAAAATCCCATAAATCCCATGCGCACCTTGGCTCTAGTGCCCTGTGGGTCTCCCAGAAAAATGAAGCCCAGAACAGGGAGCACCAGTCAGAGTTCTGACAGTGGGGTCCTCCCGGCTGGCCAGCCTCTTGCAGCCATTCTACAGCCACATCGTGCAGCTGGCAGAGCTGCTCCAAGTGGGACCTGAAGAATCCACTTCCAGTCTGGTCTGGCCAGGCTACGCCTAGTCCCTGCTGGCAGAGGTGTGGGCATGCAGACTCCTGTGCCCATTCCCCCAGTCCTCCCTACCCTGGCCCTGCCTCCCAGGAAGTCACAGCTGGCCAAGGCCTCCATGAAACATTTATTGCATCTCTGAAACATCTCCGACTTCAGTAAAGAAATTGGGGCATGGTTTGTGTCTTTCAAGAGCTCCAATTACCACCCTTAATGACGTGAAACACTGCATGCAAAGGAAATGCATGATATATATCAATGATTGTTGATCCACTCTAAGTCCCCTGGGATGGTGATATCTCAGGACAGGGCCTGGAAGCCACCATCAAGCAGGTCTGCAGCAGAAAGAAGCTAGATCCTGTGATTTCCACCCTGTTTTCTAGGCAGAGAGGGTACAAGAGGGAGACAAAAATGCAAATTATAGCCAGGGCTTCCAGGTCTAAGACTCCTTCTCCTTGACCAAGCTGCAGACCTCCTGAGAGAGGGCAGGTCCCATTCCTTAAGCCCTGCAGAGCTGGGAGTGAGAAGCTCTGAGGAGGCTGATCACCCCAAAATAAACTTGGTTTTTTTTCACAACTTTTTCATGAGGCATTAGCATCTCTTGCAGCATGGAAAAAAAATAGCCTGAACTGTTAACAAATAAAGATTATAAAAAGCCCCAACTGTTCCCCATGGGTTTCTATGTGGCTGCAGTATTTAGAGGGGGCAGGGGAGATGTGTGTCCAGGAGCCCCCCCATCTCTTCTCCTCTGACCCACCTCTCTCCTTTGGTAGTTGGTTCTGCTCACAGGGATGACAGTTGATGTCAGGGATGAGAAAGTTATATGTTGACCTTCAGAAGTGGTCCACTGCGCGTGCATATTCTTGTTTACTGCTTCCAGATAAAGGAGTGCGTGGAACAGAACAGGCTGCTTAAAAACATGATCACATTGCAATGAGGCTGGTTTCAATTAGGCTGTCTGACTAGGGGTACAGGATCTGTGTAGTAAACACTTGGAAGACTCAGTGTTCTTATCAAGGTCAGCTAATCCTGAACTTTGACCCTTCCCTTAGGCATTGCTGGATGTCAGTAACTAAGCATGAATTTAGGGTCGTAGCTGCTTTTGACCCAGGTTGGAGGATTGCCAGGGGCCACCTGGGAAGGGCTGTGGTTCTCACCTGTGCTCTGAGCTCCTCTTGCAGAGTTCCAGGCTGGACCCTGCCCAGCCATCCCCCTTACCCTCTGCCTTCTTGGTACACAGACCCCCAAATGACAATGCAAGTCAGAGAATGGTGTAAAAGCCGTGGAGTGGAGTCAGGAGCTGAGTTCCTGTCCCCATGGGTTCTTCAAGAAAACAGGTCATTGGCCTGGATGATACCTGAGGGGTCTCTGGCCCTGACTTTTTCTAGTTGAAAGAAGAGAATGCCCTCAACTGTCCAGGGCTCTGTGTTTTCCACCAGACTCATTCATCCATCAAAGACCCTCCAGCCCATCTTCACAGACCCCTCTTTTCTCCTTCTTTCCTCCTCACTTCTCCTCCTCCCTTTTGTTTATCTGTCCTATCCTTTCCTCACTTCCTGAGCAGAGATTTCTGTAAAAATAAATGCACATGGCCCTGGCTTGTACAGCTCACAGATTAGCAGGCTGGGACGGCCAGGACCCCAGGGACCCTGGTGGGAAGTATACAAGGCTGGATGGGCCCTGGATGGACGAGGGCAGGGAAAGCCGGCCAGAAGTTTCCTGAGGTGCTGACAGTGATGAGAAGCCCACAGGGCAGCTGCATTGCTTTGGCCTTCTCCGGACCCACAGCCCTCTCTCAGGCTCCCATCAGCCCAAGTTAGCAGCTACCTCTGAGCTCACCCACGGGAATCCCACCCCCTCCCAGAGTGACAAATTTTAAGCTAAGAAGAGGGAAAGGACTTGGGTGGAGAAAACCAAGTGTCCAGTCTGACTTGTCACAGCCAAAGCACTGCGCTGCAGGACATGGCTATTCCCCCCGACACAGCCTCTGACCCCTCCACAAGGCATGAATTGAGGTCGGGGGAGGCAGGCAAGCAGGCCAGACCATAGGCAGCTGATGCAGGGACTGGAGAGGCAAGAAGCCGATGCTGAGCTAGAAGCCTTCTGTGGAACAGGCTGGACCCCAGATGGCCTGGGATGCGGGGGCCTGGGTTGAGCGGCGGGGGCCACAGGCTGCTGCTGTACTGCCCATTGGACACACGGTTCAGGGTGCCTCAAAAGCCACTAAACACACGCCTCAACCTTCTGGTTGTCTGTGGCTTACCACTTGCCTGGAAACATTCACTCTAGGTCACATGATCTTCCTCCCAACCCACCCTCTTCCTCCTCCTTCTGGGAGGTGCCAACAGAGAGCCCCCTGGGAGCCTGGGCTGCTGGTGGAAGCCTGGCTGGAGGGGAGAGTCTCCCTAGAGTGGACTGACGCGCTGCCACCTCTGCAAAGCCTCACAGCGGCCGCCCCTTCACAGATGCAGAACTGAGGCCCAGAGAGCCGGGGACTAGGAGGTATCAAGTCCAAGGTCCAGCCAAGATGTCCTGCCTGCAGGCTGCCTCCCAGCTGCAGGCCTGCAAGGTGGGGTGCTGGGGGTGTGGAGGGCGAAGGTGGCACGGGTGCACCAGCAGCCCTTCTGGGCCAAAATACACCTGACCTGCCTGTACAGCACCCCAAGTCCCCTTGCTTAACCTGGGTCCCCCTTTTCTCTGAAAAATATGAGACTTGTTTGGTCCTTCCTTCGTTTATCCTTTCTTTTTTTCATTTATCAAATGCATGTTAAGCTCTCGCTAGTGCCACACCCTGTGCAAGAGATGGTGAGGATGATAAAATGATGATATGCTATCATGTCATCAAGGAGCTTAAGTCTAATAATACTAATACTAATAATAACTTACTGAATGTTTATTACATGCCCGGGATTGTGCTGCATGTACTACCTCATTTAAATTTCAAAACAATCCTATGAGATGGAGGAACTATTCTTATCCGCATTTGGCAGAGAAGGAAACTGGAGCTCTGAGAGGGGATGTGACTTGCCAGGGCTGCAAAGCAGGCAGGCAGGATGAGGGTTCTCATCAGGCGTCTGGCTCAGAGCCTCTTGGGGAGACAGACGCACAGCACAGCCCTGAGGCCTCTTGCCCTAGCACGTTATGCTTAATGTATGTCAAAATCACCCTCTTTATCTTACAGATGAGCAAACTGAGGCCTACGCAAAGTCACGGCTAGTTTGCAGTTGTGTCAGACCCCAGCGCTGTGGTTCTGATGCCAGCTTTTACCTCTGGCCTTCAGTTTCCTCTTGCTTGCCTGAACCTAGGCAGTTTCCTTAGATGATCCCCAAGTTCTGAAATTCTGATTGTATGATGTTAGCCTAAGACATGTTAGGGAGACAGAACAGAGAGGCAGGAATGGCTCAGCTGAAACTAGACCTGGAGCCCTGCCACATCCACAAGCACCCCGGGGAACAATCCTTGCCCAGTAGGGAGTTAAGAATGTTGAAATGCGGCCAGATGCATGGCTTATGCCTGTAATCCCAACACTTGGGAGACCAAGGCTGGTGGATTGCTTGAGGCCAGGAACTCAAGACCAGCCTGGCCAACATGATGAAACCCTGTCTCTACTAAAAACACAAAAATTACCCAGGCGTGGTGGCATGCACCTGTAATCCCAGCTACTTGGGAGGCTGAGGCAGGAGAATTGCTTGAACCCAGGAGGCAGAGGTTGTAGTGAGCCAAGATAGTGCCACTGCACTCCAGCCTGGGCGACACAGAGAGACTCAGTCTCAAAAAAAAGAAAGTGGAAATGTTTTCTTGCTTCAAGGCACGTGACTTTTAACTCAATTGAAGGAAAGTATGCGTGTATTGATAGAGATGGCCATCAGAGGAACTGACAGGTCTTAGCAGTTACAGATGAGTTTCCTCTAGAGGTCAGGGAAGAGGGAGAAGATACAAAGTTCTTTAACTTACAGTCTGAGGCAAAGGTGAACTTAACAGGGCCAGCAAGATCCTTACATGGTGAGGTAAGAGGGCCCAAATCAGCCAAGCTGCCACTTCTGCAGAGCCCGTGCCCTTCTCCACCTGTGTCGGTGGAGGCTATCAGCCTCAGCCCCTTGTCTGAGTTATCATAGCCTCGCTAGCATCTGTCTCAGCCCCAACCCTTCCAAAAGCCAGGGTGACCCATTCAGCTACTCCTTTGCGAGGAAGTGACAGCAGCCTGGCTGGGTTGTGGGTGGGGGAGTGGTTGGGGGTCTCTGTTGCCCTGGAAGGAATTCCTACAGTAAGCCTGAGAGCTCCTGGCCAAGTGTGGCTACAGAAAGGAACAAAATTTGGGGGGCTGAGGGCAAGAGAGGGAGAGGATTAGGGATGCTGCTCAGTTTCTCTTGATAAATGGATCCTGCTGCCTGAAGGATGGGGAGCTCCCAGAGTTGGGTGGAGCCATGAATGGGCCACCCAGGACGTGGGAGTGAGTAGTAAGAAAAGGGGGAAGGAGGTCAGGTGCGGTGGCTCACGCCTGTAATCCCAACACTTTGGGAGGCCGAGGTGGGCGGGTCACTTGAGGTCAGGAGTTCGAAACCAGTGTGGCCAATATGCTGAAACCCTGTCTCTATTAAAAAAACAAAAAAATTAGCCAGGCATGGTGGCAGGCCCCTGTAATCCCAGCTACATGGGAGGCTAAGGCAGGAGAATCACTTGAATTCGGGAGGCGGAGTTTGCAGTGGGCCGAGATTGCGCCATTGCACTCCAACCTGGGTGACAGAGTGAGACTCCATCTCAAAAAAAAAAAAAAAAAAAAAAAAGGGGAAGGAGCAGGACAACAGAGATGCTGGAGAGCAGCCTTCAGTTGGGGAGGGGCAGGAGATAGAGTGGGCATGAGGGCCTAGGCGGCCCTTTATCACAAGCTGTTCCTGTGTTCCCCTTGGCCAGTGACCCCTCTGGATGGATAGGATTCAGTGGGTTGTGGGGGGTGGGGTGCAGTGTCATCTACTTGATCTTGGGGGCCTTCCGTTCCGTCCTGGCCAGGGTCACAAGGAGAGAGTGGCATCCAGGCCTGCCGCTGGCACATGGCGACTGGTGACACTCCCCCTGGACACCCTCATGACGAGTGGAAGCCCTCCACCTCCTGCCCCAGATCTGGCTGCCACAGGTTGCTGCTGGGCCACAGTCCAGGGGCCACCGCACCTTGATGGGGAAGATTCCTGATTGCTGATTGCCCCCACCCCTCGTGCTCCCTTCACACATCCCTCCTTTGGAAGAAATCTGATTCTGAGAACTGGAAATTGTGCAGTGCTGTGAGTGACCAGGTGAAGATAGGTTAGAGAAGCCAGGGCTTGGAGATCCCTCTCTTTTCCCTGGGCACAGAGCAAGGGCCCAAGGATTGTAGACTTACCTGCCACCTCGCCTCTGGGGCTCTGCTGGCCTGTCACTATTCCCTGTCCTGAAGTAGTGTTCTCGACCAGGTCTGCAGGAAGAAACAACACAAGGGTTTTAAGGGCTGGGATCCAAAGTCCAGCTTATGGGAAGGCAGGTGAAGGACATGATTCCTGTGACCAGGGGGCCGGCCTGCTGGTCAGTTCCCTCCTCCTCCAGGGCTGTGCAAAGCCCAGAGATAAACCCTGGGCCAGAGGCTTTGTTCCCCGTCCAGGGCTGTGCAGAGCACAGAGATAAACCACCTAGACCGGAGGCCCTGTTCCCCATCTTTGGCCAGGTGAGCATTCTTGATGCCTGGCCCAGCCCCTGGCCCTCAGGGCACTATTTTGGTCCACATCCTGCTCTTATTGTCCTGGCCTGTTCTTCTCAGCCCCTGGTGACTCACACTGCTTTGGAATTTCACTCACTGGCCTTTCTGACGCACATCTTGAGAGCCTGGCCTACAGCCAGGGAACAAGTTATGGCTTCAACCCCACCAGTAATTAATTCTGGCTACCTGAGCTAGAGGCCATGGAAGGTGGGGAGAGGGAAGGCCACGAAGAAGCAAGGTAGGGGTGGTTGCTGGTTGATGGGAGGAGGCTTTGCTCCTACTTCTGCTCACCTGCACACAGGTAGAAAACAAACAGCAGAAAAGCTATCGGCTCACAGTGGCCGGACATCCGGGGCTGGCCAGCCGGGAGACATGTGAAGCAGGACTGATCTAGTGTAAAATCTAGACTGGCCATTATGCTTCTTGGAGTGGATTTCTGGACCTTAGTTTACCTTTTTGTGAGTCCTATAGGTTTGATAGCTCCTGATTTGGGATGCTAAGGACCTTTATACTGAGGTGATCATGCCTCCATGTCACTCCAAATTACTTGAGCTCTGTTTTCTCTCCATTTTCAATATGTTTTGACGGGTTGGCCCTGGATAGAATTCTGGAGAAGGGAAGAGAGAAAGAAAATTGCCATAACAATGCACTGGGGGCCAGGCGTGGTGGCTCATGCCTGTAATCCCAGCACTTTGGGAGGCTGAAGTGGGTGGATACTTTGAGTCCAGTAGTTCAAGACCAGCCTGGGCAACACAGCAAAACCCCGTCTCTACAAAAAATTAGCCAGGCATGGTAGCCCATGACTGTAGTCCCAGTTATCCAGGAGGCTGAGGTGGGAGAATCATCTGAGCGCAGGAAGTTGAGGCTGCAGCTGCAGTGAGGCACTGCACACCTGGGCGAAAAGAGTGAGACCCTGTCTCCCAGAAAAAAAAAAAAAAAAAAAAAAAGCAATGCACTGGGCTGGGAATCGAAGACCTGGATTCATTTCCAGCAACCCATTCCCTGGCAACCCCTTACCAAGTGCCTCATCAGTTAAATACGAAAGAGAGAGAGAGAGAGAGAGAGAGAGAGAAGTCCACCGTCCTTGCAGTGTTCCCTCCCATGGGTCTCTGATGTTCGCTGCAGTCACTGGCAGAGGCCCCCTGGTTCTCCACTCCTCTGGAAGGCAACTACTTTTCCCATCTCTTACTTAACTGTCCTTGACCTGCTTCCCCCTTCCAGCTTCCCAGGCTTGAGGGGTCCCAGCCTTGCTCCTGCGCCTGCTAGCACCTCTGTTGAGAAGGGCTTTGTGCCGCCTGCTGGGCTGACTCCTGTGGGTGCACTGGTGGGTAGGCCAGGGGAGAGCCTGAGTGGGTTCTAGAAACAATGCCCTTACATGTAACTCCAGCCCGAAGAGTGACTCCAGGCAGAGGAACGGCTGGCCAGGTCAGGGGCATTGGAGTGCCTGTGAAGACACACCCTGAGGTCTGGTCAATCCTCTGCCTTCTCATCAGGCAGGTCTGGCTGGGAATGTTCTATAGGGAATGCCGGAAAAGCATGCTTCCAGCCCTCCATCGCACCTTCCTCCCTGTTGGGAAAAGGGCTTGTGGGGCGCCTGCATAAACTGGCCATAAAAATATGGGACAATAAGTTGTGGAAAGCCACAAGAGGCCTCTGAGGAGGAAAGCCTCCTAATTGCCATCATGTTCCCATGCTCAGAGCGAGACCTGCTCTCTTATCTATAAACACTGTGTTCAAGGAGAAAGACACTCCTTTGAAGCATTGGAATGTGGACAGACGTGCAGCCTCCTAGTTAAGCACACTCCCACTAGCTCCTCTCCGATAAGTTAAAGATACGCTGTTTGAGCACAAAGGAGATTCATTTAAACCGCTATTGCTATAGATTACGCCTGTGACGCAGTGCCTCCCTTTCACTGTTTCACCCTGAACATCTGCTTCTTAGATCGAAGTGATTGTACTCAATAAATAGTGTGGAACCAGAACTCTGGGCCTTTTGCAGCCTCCATTTTGCAACTGGCCCCCTGGCTCCCACCTTTATGAACTCTTAACCTGTCTCTTCTCATTCCTTTGTCACCACCAGACTTTGGGTACCCTATGGGTGGTGTTGAGACTGGTCCCCAACACTCCCTCTTAGCCACACCCATGGGAACCACGATCATTTGGGAAGATCAAAGGACTAAGGGGTGGGGGTAGGAAAATGAGTCTGGGCCTCTAATTCTATACCAATGACTATAACAGATTTTTTTTTTTTCCTAAACTGAAAACACTCTTTTTTTTTCTTTTTCTTTTTTGAGATGGAATCTTACTCTGTTGCCCAGGTTGGAGTGCAGTGAGTGCAATGGCTCACTGCAATCTCTGCCTCCCAGGTTCAAGTGATTCTCCTGCCTCAGCCTCCTGAGTAGCTGGGATTACAGGCATGCACCATGATGCCCGGCTAATTTTTGTATTTTTAGTAGAGACAGGGTTTCGCCATGTTGGCCAGGCTGGTCTCGAACTCCTGACCTCAGGTGATCTGCCCACCTTGGTCTCACCAAAGTACTGTGCTGGGATTCCAGGCATGAGCCACCACGGTCGGCCAGAAACACCTTTAAAAAGACAATACTACATCATGATCAGGTGGGTTTAAGAGTCTGGAATCCCAAGTCCAGCTGTCTGGGTTTAAATTGAAGATGTTCCACTTGCACGTTGTGAATATGCCTCATGTCTCCTTCTGCTATAGTCACCAACATATTTAAATGATGTAATATATGGTGCGTAAGAATATTACACATATCTAAGTCATAAAACACAACAAGGACCCAATCAACCATGAAACCTTGATGTATTACACAATCAATACACTGCCTGGTTGAAGCTGCACCTGTGTGGTGACTTCCAATTTCTACCTCCGACCTCTCCAACAGAGCCAGCCCCTGTTCTGTATTTTGCGCTTGTCATTTATTTGATGGTGATATTGTCTTTGAAGATATTTTGTACCATATTGTATGGGCATCCCAAAATTATATACTGTTTAGGTTGGCTTGCTTTTAAGTTTTAAGAAACTGTATTATACAACATGTACAACAGCTTTTTGTACTGTTTTTTTTTGCACTCAGCCTTGCATTACTAAAAGCTGGTCACATTGATATGAATAGCTGTGGTGGCTTCATTCCCACTGCAGTGTAAGATTCTGTGGCACTGGCTGGGCGCAGTGGCTCACGCCTGTAATCCCAGCACTTTGGGAGGTTGAGGCAGGTGGATCACAAGGTCAAGAGATCGAGACCATCTTGGCCAACATGGTGAAACCCCGTCTCTACTAAAAAATACAAAAATTAGCTGGGCGTGGTGGCGCACACCTGTAGTCCCAGCTACTCGGGAGGCTGAGGCAGGAGGATTGCTTGAACCTGAGAGGCAGAGGTTGCAATGAGCCAAGATGGCGCCACTGCACTCCAGCCTGGGTGACAGAGCAAAACTCTGTCTCAAAAAAAAAAACACGTTACACTGCTGAATATTTAACAGAACCATCCAAAGTATGTGAAACCAGTTATTTAAGTGATAAAAAAGTCATACCTCTATTTCTTTTGCACATCCAAAACCTTTTTCCCTCAAGGTAGAAAAGTAAAACCTAGGTTATGATAACCATCACCAAAACTAAGTAACTCTCTATATTTTTTTACTCATGCTTTACTCTGGCTGAACTGTCAACCTCAGAGTTTCGTTTCTTTTGTTTCTTTTTTTTTTTTTTCTTGAGAGGTGGGTCTCACTTTGTTGCCCAGCCATACCTCAAACTCCTGGCCTCAAGTGATCCTCCTGCCTCAGCTTCCCAAAGTGCTAATATTACAGGCATGTGCCTGGCCTTGCTCCTTCTTCTTCTTCTTTTTTGTTTTTTTTTTTTTTAACTAAATGGTTTGAACTGTCTTTCACTGGATCAAGGTAAAAGTGTCACACATCAGTGCAGATTTATCTGCATGTTGTCCATATTCCCCCTTTACACATGGCAAGCAGAGCTAATCCACCGTAGTTCCCAGAATTTCTAACCCAACATCAGAGGCACCTCCCCATCCTCAAGACAGTGCCTGTGTCAGTAATTGGGGTGTACACAGAAGTGAAAGTCTAACTTGCTGGACAGTTCTATGTTGTTATGTGCTATGATCTGAATGTGTCCTCCCCAAATTCATATATTGAAACATAATCTGGAATGTGGTAGTATTAAGAGGTGGGGCTTTGGGCAGGTCATCGGGTCATGAGGGCTTCACCGTCAGGAATGGGATTAGTGCCCTTATAAAAGAGGCAGAGGCCTGAGGAAGCTTGTTCGGCCCTTCTGCCCTGAGAGGAAGCAGCCAGAAGGCGCTGTCTGTGAGAAACCAGCCCTCACCCGACACTGAGTCAGCTGGCACCTTGATCTCAGACTGTCCAGCCTTTGGAACTGTGAGCAATAAATTTCTGTTTATAAGTCACCCAGTTTAAGGTACTTTATTATAGCAGCCTGAATGGAATAAGATAGTATGTGAGAAAGATCCATGGGGTTTTCTTCATTTGTTTGTTTGTTTTTGTGACGTTGTCTCGCTCTGTCTCTCAGGCTGGAGTGCAGTGGCGCAATCACAGCTCATTGCAGCCTCAACCTCATGGGCTCAAGTGATCCTCTTGCCAATGGTGTCATCTCAGCTCACTGCAACATCTGCCTCCTGGGTTCAAGTGATTCTCCTGCCTCAACCTCCTGAGTAGCTGGGGTTACAGGCACCCACCATTATACTCAGCTAATTTTTGCATTTTTAGTAGAGACAGGGTTTCTCCATGTTGGCCAGGCTGGTCACGAACTCCTGACCTCAAGTGATCCACCGACCTCGGCCTCCCCAAAGTGCTGGGATTACAGGCATGAGCCATCGAGCCTGGCCAAGAAAGATTTGAGAATGAGGAGTGGCAAGAAGACTATTGGAAGGAGATGGTAGAGCAGTGTGTCCCGACAGCAGGTGGGAAGGCCAGGAGACAGGGAGAACGGGTTTAAAACACACTGTCATCTTGCCCAGGCCCTTTCTTGGCTACTTGATGGCATAGGGATGGAGGCACTGAACCAGTGGCCTCTGAGTCTTCCTGCACTTGGGTTAGTTGCAATGGTGGCAGGACAGAGCCAGAGGTCACTGGAGCAAGCAGGTGGCTGCTCTCTTCTAGTCTACTGCAGAAATGCCTGGGCAGGTCCCAGGACTCAGCCTCTCTGGTAACGGTCACCACCATTTATACATTGAGGGCCTTAAGATCCTGGTAGGGGCGCCTGGTATCGGGGGGCAGGTGGGCAAAGTGGCCAGTTGCACCTGAGTGTAAAGTGGCGGATATGGAACCGCCCAGGCTGCAGCAGCAAGGCGCCACTGCAGCTGGTGCTCAGCTGACTGGGCTCAGGGCCAGGCTGAGACCCTAAACTCGTCTGGAAAAGCTGGCACTTTGCTGTAAGAGTATGCCAGCCAGGAGTGGGCCTATTGCTCATTCTGCACACCAAGAAAACACACTGAGTTGCTTCAGGGGCAGGCAGTGGGGGGACAGGGCAGCTGACTGCACCCACCTCTGTCCCTTTCAGCTTCACCCCTACCCCACCTCCCACCTCTGCCCTCTTTCAACCCCCACAGAAGAAGCCTGGACTACCCACAGCTGCAAATTCCTGAATTCCCTAATTCGAGGCAAGGACCTGGTGTCTTATTCAAATGAATCTGTTTGGCAAAAGACCCAGCTCTCAAAACCAGCCTACTTACAACAGTCTAGAGGGGCCTGCCCTGGCGAGAGAATGTCTCAGGGCTCCACTGAAGTACAGAAGAGCAGTAGCCAGGGTGAGGGGGTCCTACACCAGGAATGAGCTGCGGGTAGCTCCCCCAGACTCATCCAAGCTCTCTTTCTTTTGAATATCGATAAAATTCAGCCTAGGTTTAAAAATGATTGTCACCACAACCAGAGATAAGGAAACATTTCACTTTTACTGGGTGGTTGAATCAACTCCAGCCAGTAAGCATTTCTTGAATGAGTTCTGGCAGGTGTGCCAGGCACTGACAACTTGCTTTACAACAGGAAATGAGATCGTAAGAAAAGAATATGTAATCTGACAAGCAGACCTTTTATATGTACTGAAATAGAATTCTGGAAAATACTTGTATAAATCTCAGAGACAAATCAGTTGGTGGTTTAAAATTGGAAAAGTTGTGAACAAATTCTTTTGCTTTAATCTCTACAAACAGATAACGTATCATACTTGGAAGAAGAAACATCACCAAGCAATTTGGTGTTTTCTTTTGATTGGCTGTGGCTGAAAGAGAAAGTTAAATATAGGAGATGAGAGCAAATTTAAAAATATTGTTTTTGGGTCACGGCTATGGGGTGAGGTGCACTTAATGTAATCAAGTTGAAACACGAAGTTGTAATTTGGGATTTCTAAAGTATTTGGGACATCACACAAAGTTGTTAGAAGAAAAGATTCCTTGGAATTTAGAGCTCTGATTTTAAATATCCACAGAGTTTGTTTTTTAAAAAAACTTGGTGTTGGACATTAGTTCAGAATTTCACTTTGAAGACAGCTAGCATAACAATCAAAATTGCCCCGATTAAATGAACTGGCCCTTCTGTTTTTCAAAATTACTAAGGAATTTGGTGATTAAATGAATTCTTATTTCTCTTCACACTGGTAAGGTAAATACACAAGTTTTTCACTGTTTATCTTCATAAATATTCTAATGTAACAATTGAATACGTAAAATCTGAAGGATTTAAATTTACTAGTAAATGATTTCTAGCAAGTAAAAATAGGCAATGAACATGCAGTTATAATTCATGAAAAAGGAAATAAATATAGAAGCAACCATTTAAAAAGGTTTTGCCTTACTTAGTAATTTTTAAAGTGAAAATTAGATTAATTTTTAACCTATCAAATTGGTGAGGATTTTAAAGAGTGATAATACTCCTTCTGCTTAGTAGGAGTGTAAATTAGCAAAATATATCTGGAAACTAATCAGATGATATATGCTACTTCTTTTATTGACTCCCACGTGCACATAAATAAACCTTTTTTTCTCCTATTAATCTGCTGTTTGTCAGTTCAATTTACAGCCCTCAAATAATGAACCTAACAGGATAGAGGAAAACTTTTCTTTTTTGCTTCTCTACATATATATTAAGAGGCTTAAAAGAATTCTTATACCTGGCTGGGCACAGTGGCTCACACCTGTAATCCCAGCACTTTGGGAGGCCAAGGAGGGTGGATCACGAGGTCAATAGATCGAGACTATCCTGGCCAACGTGGTGAAACCCCGTCTCTACTAAAAAAATATAAAAATTAGCTGAGCGTGATGGCACGCGCCTATAGTCCCAGCTACTCAGGAGGCTGAGGCAGGAGAATTGCTTGAACCCAGGAGGCAGAGGTTGCAGTGAGCTGCGATCGCTCCACTGCACTCCAGCCTGGTGACAGAGTGAGACTCTGTCACAGAGTCTCACTCTGTCCCAAAAAAAAAAAAAAAAGAAAGAAAAGAAAAGAAAAGAAAAAGAAAAAAGAAAAAAGAAAAAAAAAGAATTCCCATAATTTGGCTCAAGAAAACTCTACTAACAAAATCTAAGGAAATAATCACAAGTCAGGAAAAGGTTTATGTATAGGACGTCATAAACACTAGTGATAGTGGGGAAAAAATGAAGAAAAAAATAAACTGTCCTCCAAGAGGGGATGTCTTCAATAAATAATGGCGTATCCATAAGATAGAATCTGTGTGGTACATGCGTGCACACACACACATCCACAGTACATGATTGTACACAAAACCAAAAAAAATTCATACACAAAGGATAGAAAGAACTATTACAAAATATAAAAAGTAGTTATCTCCGGATGGTAAAATTATTGTTCTTAGAATTTTCTTTTCTGTATGTATTTTTATATTTTCCAGATTTTTACAATATGTATGTAATACTTTTAGATTGGAGTGTTTGAGAGAAGCACAGATTTATTTATTTACCAAAATAATAAACAAATTAATTATTTTGAAAGGAAGGGAGGAAGAAAGAAAAATGTTTGGAAAGATCTTTTATTTCCCTTGTAAAATGTCATTAAAGCAACAAATATGGGTGGATTTTGTTTTTCTTAGGGTAAGAACAGTATTTTAATTATTTTATTGCATCCCAAAGGTCAGTGATAAAAGAAAATGTAATTTAACCAAGTCAAAACACAAAGTTGCAACTTGGTATGTTAAATAACTTGGTTCATAAAAGATTCTAATAAAGATGGGAATATATGTATACATCATGGCCATATATAAGATAAAGGAAGACAGGCAGGGAACTACTTTCTGTAAATAACTTTTAAACTTACTTTCAAAGATAAGAAAACATAACAGGAAGTTAAGTTAAAAAAAACACATGATTTCAACATCTGAATACCAACTATTTTTAGTTATTCTATTTGCATGTCATATACTGTTATATGTTTTTTGCTTTTTTATCAGATATTTACTCGTAAATGATTTCTAGCAAGTAAATACAGTCAATGAACATGCAGTTATAATTTATTAGAAAGGAAATAAATACAGAAACATTTTTTCCTTTCTTTCTTCTAGCCTCCTGTTACGTGGAATACATTCTGTTTTCTAACTTCTTATTGTAAATGTTTGCAAACATAAAAAAAACTAAAAAAAAAAAAAGTACAATAAATACTGATATTCTCCTTACCTAAACTTAACAATTGTTAAGTTTTGGGGTTTTTTTTGTTTTTTTGTTTTTTTTTTTTTTGAGACAGATCTCGCTCTGTCGCCCAGGCTGGAGTGCAGTGGCACCATCTCGGCTCACTGCAAGCTCCACCTCCCGGGCTCACGCCATTCTCCTGCCTCAGCCTCCTGAGTAGCTGGGACTACAGGCACCCGCCAACACGCCTGGCTAATTTTTTGTATTTTTAGTAGAGACAGGGTTTCACCGTATTTTGGGGTATTTTTTAAATAAACTGAACAATTGTTAAATTTTGGGGTATTTTTTGGGCCATAACTTTTCAAAATAACTTGTAGACATCATGTCACTTTACTCCTAAATACCGATTTTTTATTTTAACACAATTATTTTAAAAGATTTAAAAAGAAGATATTTTTCTTTTTTTAGAGATGGGGTCTCACTATGTTGCCCAGGCTGGAGTGTGGTGGCTAGTCACAGGCGCAATTCCACTACTGATCAGCACGGGAGTTTTCCTTCCTTAGGTAACCTGGTGGTCCCTCATTCCCAGGATGTCACCATATTGATGTGGAGCTTAGTGCAGACATCTGGTCAGCATAGGACTCTTGGGCTCAAGCAATCCTCCCACTCCAGCCTCCCCAGTAGCTGGGACTACATGCCTGAGCCACCATGCCTGGCATTACTCCTAAATATTTTAACATGAATTCTCCTATATAACCACAAAACCACCATCACATTTAAGAAAATTAATAAAAATTCCCCAATATTATCTAGTACCCAGTTGATAATCATATATCCCAATATGTCCCCACACATTTTTATAGCTATTTTCTTATTCATACCTTTTTAACAGTTGCCTAATACTACTATCAATGGGTATACCATGATGGAATTAACCAGTTCTCCTACCACTTAAGGTGTTCTCAGTGATCAAGGAGCTTCTTTGCAAATTTGTTCTTTCAACAGCTTTTTTTTTTTTTTTTGAGAAAGGGTCGCATTCTGTCACCCAAGCTGGAGTGCAGTGATATGATCTCGGCTTACTGCAGCCTCCACCTCCCAGGCTTAAGCAATCCTCCCATCTCAGCCTCCTGAGTAGCTGGAACTACAGGCACACACCACCATGCCCAGCTAATGTTTTGTAGAGACGGGGTTTTGCCATGTTGCCCAGGCTGATCTTGACCTCCTGGGCTCAAGCAATCCACCTGCCTTACCCTCCCAAATTGATGAGAATACAGGCATGAGTCACTACACCTGGCCTTCGACAAATATCTATTGAGCATCCACTGTGTTCCAGGAAAGTGCTGGGTGCTGAGAAGTGTAGGGTGAAAGTCATTGCTCCTACCTTTGTGCAGCATGTAGTTAGTGGACAAGGAAGCTTTTGTTCTTCATTGAAGTATTACTAAATTAGCTGAAGGAGGAAACTGAGTTAAATAGTGGGAGCTGTTAATAAATTAATTAATTTTGTAGAGATGGTGTCTTGCTATGTTGGCCAGGCTGGTCTCGAACTCCTGGAGTCAAGCAACTCTTCCACCTCAGCCTCCCAAGTAGCTGGGATGGCAGGCATAAGCCACTGTACCTGCCTGGGAGCTTGCATCTTGATATGTATATTTTCATTAAAAAATTGTTCTAGGCCAGGCACAGTGGCTCACGCCTGTAATCCTAGCACTTTGGGAGGCCGAGGCCGGTGGATCATTTGAGATCAGGAGTTCGAGACCAGCCTGGCCAATATAGCAAAACCCGTGTCTACTTAAAAAAAAAAAACCTATCTGGGGATGGTGGCACATGCTTGTAATCACGGCTACTTGGGAGGCTGAGACACAAGAATCACTTGAACTAGGGAGGTGATGGTTTCAGTGAGCTGAGATGGCACCACTGCAGTCCAGCCTGGGTGACAGAATGAGACTGTATCAGAAAAAAAAAAGTTCTATGGATTATGCTATGTCAACAAAAACAGTGCTTCTGACATTTACCCCAACTAAAAATGGCGGTATTCCCAATATTGGGATCACTCTCTTTTATTTTTCTTCTTTGGCACTTTGTTGGGTAGAAAACAATACTGCCTTTTTATTCCTTGACGACTTAAGTGGATTTTTCTTCCTGAACCCCTCAAGTGCCTTGCTTGGCTCTGCTTCCAGGTTCTTTCCACAGCTCTTTTTGTCCCGTCTTCCCCACCTCCAAAACAGAAATATTTACTGTCCGGGAATCTCTCTTTGCAGTAGGATGTCCTGGGAGACAGCCTGTTTTCAAACTGTGATACCCACTGGCTGTCGTCAGCTCTCTGCCTGAGGTGGTCTCATAATTTCGGCTTAAATAAAGGACTTTACAGCTTTGACCCTTGCCCTTCTCCCCCAGGAGTCCCCAGTGGTCTTTATTTTTTATTTTATTTTATTATTTATTTATTTATTTTTTGAGACAGAGTCTCGCTCTGTCACCCAGGCTGGAGTGCAATGGCATGATCTTGGCTCACTGCAACTTCCACCTCCTGGGTTTAAGTGATTCTCCTGGCTCAGCCTCCTGAGTAGCTGGGATTACAGGTGTGTGTCACCACACTTGGCTAATTTTTATATTTTTAGTAGAGACGGTGTTTCACCATGTTGGTCAGGCTGGTCCCGAACTCCTGACCTCATGATCCGCCCGCATTGGCCTCCCAAAGTGCTGAGATTACAGGTGTGAGCCACCGCACCTGGCCCCCAGTGGTCTTTAGAGAGAGAGATCTAGGAAGAGACAGGAGGGAGGGAAGAGGAGGGAGGGAAGGGGCCACCCAGCTGGAAAAGCAGGTTTGAATTCAGGCCCCCTTGGACTGGTTCCCTCTTTCTTGCCTATCCCACCTTTTGCTCCAACAAGCCTGTTGCATTCTCCAGGTTTCACACACATCCTGTGTGAGGTGCGTTTTCTGATCTTACCTGGGGGCTGTGTACCTAGAAGTTTCTGCCCATCCGTCAGGTTTGACACCCTCTAGTCCAAGCCTAGTTCTAGCACTTTCTAGTGCTTTTTATCTCCTTTCGCTTCTGCATTTTAGTTCACATCCCCTGGCCTTCTCAGCCTCAGGCCTCCAGCACTTGGGCCACATGAAACACACCGCATGCACCAACTCCCAAGGGCCTCACCTCTCCACTTCCTGCTGTGCCTCTAGCCAGCTCTGGTGGGAGGGAGTCAAGGGACCCTTTTGGTATGTGTGACAAACTCCCACCAAAGCCTGTCCCACAGCCTGCAGTCTTTTCTGGCAGTTCCAAGGAAATGCAACTTCAGGATCTCCCCAGCTAGTGAGAGAAGACCCCGTTCCACCCCTTCTAAGGTAGAAACAGGGTGGGGCAGGTGAAGGGGCCCCACCAAGAGCAGCATCAGAGGGGAGAGGGCTGGTTTGGGTGGGAAGGAAGCATGCAGTTCCACTTTGAGCCCTTTACATGTGATGCGCCAGGGGGACAACTGTTTGGAGATGTGGGCTTGACTCTCTTGGGAGAGAGGAGGCGCCTCCCATGTGGGTTTTGGGGTCAGCAGTATTGGGGGAGATGTTTAGGCCCTGGAAAGAGATGTCTAGGCCCTGGAAAGAGATGTCCAGGGAGATGATAGAAAGAATCTCAAGGGACAAAACATTGATCCAGGAGATAACCCCAGATGAAGAGGGACAATTGGGGCGCTTAGTGGGTGAGGCATTTCCCTTGTCATTTTATGCGCGGGTCTTTAAAGTTCGTGTAGCAGGAACTCTGAGTAGTACCTGATTGTGCACAGTACCTGTTTGTGCACAGTACCTACCTGAGCACAGTACCTGGGCCATGCAGCTCCCAGCAGCCCTTTCTCTCCCCCTGCTGGTCATGTGATTTAATTTTTACCTCAGGAAAGGGAATTCCCAGTGGAGGGGCTTGATGGCCAATTAAACTCTCTACAAACTGCACTTCATAGACCCAGGATGCAACCTGGCCTGGCCTTATAGCTTCTAGGCCTTCAGGGAACCGAAATCTCTCCCTGACCAATGTGGCAGTGACTAAGGTCTAATCTTTTAGCTGGGCCTCAGGAGGAGGAAAATTAGAATTGTGAAATGGGGCAGAGGCCTGGCCTGCGCTGGAGTGAGTGCTGTGGGCCCCCAGCTTGTCTGGTTGTCTCACCCAAGACACTAAAAACGGCACAAAGAGCCGGCAGGCCACCCTGCACCCCGCACTTTGCCTCTGCCTTGTGACTGTGCTTAATATAGGTCAAATGAAAACAGCTCCCAAAATAGACCTCTGAGAAGCAGCTGCAGTTGTGAAATGCTCCACAGAAAGGGAAGAGGTGTGGGTGACGGGAGCCCAGTTCTCCTCAGGTGTTATGTAACCCAGGCTTGGAAATCGGGGCCAGATGTCTGCAGAGAACAAACCAGTCTCCCCTGCCCTTTCCTCCCGGCTTTCCTCCCTCCATACCCCCACCCTAGACCCGGGAATCAGCCCAACCATATATCAGCAAACTCGGAGGGAGGGAGCTGGGCCCGTTCTGGACAGCAAGGTCACCCCTCAGAGCATCCCTTGAGGAGCTGGTCGTGCATACCTAAGTGATCACATGGCTCCCAGCGGAGCTGGCTGGGAGCCCCGGAAGTGGTCAGGTGACTCCCTGGAAGGGCTGGTGCCTGGGGTGGGTCTCATCTGACTCAAATGGTGGGGCGTGGGAGGGGTGGTGAGGTTGATGGGCTGAGATGGCTGAGAAGATGCCGGTGGGGCAGGCTGCTGCTCTGGTCTGTTGAGGGATAGAAGAGGCCTCCAGGAAGGAGGGTACCTCTGTGCTACCCCCTCCTGCAGACTTTGCCTCTTCCCTCTGTCCCCTAAGCAGCCTCTGCCTCTGACATTTCCATCTTTGCCTTAGCAAGGAGGGAGATTTTCATTATATAATGAAAGAGAAGGGCCTCCCTCCCATCACCCATTTCTCCATTCATTCAGTGATCGTTTCATCAGTGAGGAAGTGCCAGGCCCGGGCTGGGCACTGCTGATACAGCTGGGAGTGAGACCCACTGCTTGCCCTCCAGGGTCTCTCGTGGTTTGACATGGGGGAGAGCAGACCAGGTGTGGTGGCTCACGCCTGTAATCTCAGTGCTTTGGGAGGCCAAGGTGGGAAGATTGCTTGAGGCCAGGAGTTCGAGACCAGCCTGGGAAACATAGCCCAGGAGACCCCATCTCTACACAAAATAAAAAAAATTAGTCCTGTATGGCAGCACACACCTGTGACCCCAGCTACTTGGGAGGCCGAGAGGGGAGGATTGCTTGAGCCCAGGAGGTTGAGGGTGCAATGAGCGATGATCGGGCCACTGCACTCCAGCTTGGGCAAGGGAGTGAGACCCTGTCTATAAATAAACAAACCAACAAACAAATGTAAGAAAGAAAAATAAGCAGGCGGTTAGAGTTCAGGGAAATAAAAGCCAGGAGAGGTGAGCACAGGGTGGGGTCAGAGCCCCTAGAGGGGCACTGTCTTGGGGGCAGGTGGAGGACCAACATGACTTTCCTGAACAGGAGACTTCTGAGAACAGGCAGCAAGGTTGAGAAGCACCAGCCAGGTCAGGGGAAGGGAGTGAAGGCTGGAGAAGTTCCCGGCAAGGGAGGCTATGCCTGTGCAAAGGCGCAGGGGCCTGGTGGAGAGCATGCCTTCCCGGGAAACTGCACCCATCGCAGGATGGCTGCACGGCAGATTCAGAAAGGCAGGAGGAGGGATGAAGCCGAGAAGGAAAAAGAAGGCCATATCTGGAAGGGCCTTGTGAGGAAGTGTGGACTTCATCCTGACAGAACAGGGGAACTGCTAGAGCAGGAGGTTCTCAAAGCATGGTCAGCAGCCAGGGGAGCAGGTCAGAAAAGCCAGTTGTCAGGCTCCTCTTCAGATCTACTGAGTCTGAAACGCTGGGAGTAGGGTCCAACCCTCCACATCTTCGCAGCCTGCTCCGAGCGCCTCTGATGCCTGTTAATGTTTGAGAACCACTGAGCAAAAGGCTTTTATACCAGGGAAGTGCAGAAGCAGCTCAGGAAGATCTCTCTGGTTGCAGGGCAGAAAGTGGTGTGGAAGTGGGTGAGACTGGAGGCATAGCAAGAAGGAGGGTGTGTGGTGGCACCTAACGTCCCCGGGAGGGCTGACAGTGGTGACAACAGACATGAAGCAGTATACCAGATTCAAGAAACCTTAGCAAGGCCATGCGCTGACTTTGGTGGGGTCTGGGCACTTTTGACTTTGTGGACCATTTCCTCCATTAAATGATATTTAAAATTACGTGTGATGACTGCATTGGTATAAAAATGAATATACTTTGGGCCAGGTTATGTTAATTTTATTCTTCTAATTTTAAAAGAAATGAAAACTTTTTCATGAGCCCCTACATGTGTCATGAACCCTAAGCGCCGTGCCTAGTGGAGGAGTTGGTTTGGAACATCCAGGCTCTACTCTTAACAGGAAGTGGCCTTTGACGGAATGCGAGGAAGAGGGAGAGAGGGCATCGTGACTGACGCCCACCATCTGGGCTGGGGTCCTGGGTGGAAGGTGGTCCATTGAAACTGAGAACACAGAGGAAGAGCAGATTTGCAGAAGGAGATGAGGCCAATTCCTTTATACAAGTTCAAGTGCAAGGGGCCTGAGACACATCCAAGTGGAAACATCCAGGAGGCAGCTGGATACCAGGATTTGGACTTAGATAGGGATGTGTAAATAATGGCCAGCAAGGGGGTAAATCAACTTAGATAGGGATGTGTAGATCATTCCCAGCAAGGGGATAGCTGAAGCAGGAGAAGAGTGGAGGTTATCCTGCAGAAAGTAAGAAGATGAATCCAGTGGGCAAAACCTGAGGGAAAGTCACATTCAAAGGATAGACTGGCCAGGGAGGTGGAAGGAAAACCAGAAAGGCCCAGATACACCGAAGGAGGTGAGCATTTCAAGGGAGAGTAGTCAGGTGTCAAATGCTGCACAGAAGTTCAGCAATGGGCAGTGCAGCATGTCCTTCAGATTGAGTTGCCAGTGAACAAGCTGGCCTTGTTCTTTCAGAACCAGTGGAGCTGTGGAAGTCGGTTTGTAGAAGTGGAGGCAGTGCGTGCAGGTTGCTCTTCCAAGGAGTCTGGCTGTGAAGGAAAGGAGAGAGATAGGGCCAGGTGTAGTGGCTCATCCCAGCACTTTGGGAGGTCGAGATGTAAGGATCACTTGAGCCCAGGAGTTCGAGACCAGCCTGGGCAACATAGCAAGACCTCACCTCTACTTAAAAAAAAAAAAATAGATGGGCGTAGTGACACATGCCGGTAGCTGCAGCTACTTGGGAGGCTGAGGTAGGAGAATCGCTTGAGCCCAGGAGTTCAAGGCTGCAGTGAGCCAAGATCATGCCACTGCACTGCAGCCTGGGTGACAGAATGAGATCTTGTCTCTTAAAAAAAAATACAGAAAAAGGAAAAAGGGAAAGAGAGAAGTAATATGGGCTGAGTGAGGGTGGGAAGGAGAGGGCTGAAGCACAGGAAGAAAACTCAGCTTAGACTCAAGGGGAAATGGCTTCTCCCTCATGTTGGGAGGAAGATGGAGGATTTCAGGTGGTTTTTGTCTCGTAACTTCTATTTTTCTCTATAAAGTAGAAAGGACCATGAAACACAGATAGAGAGGTTTATTGAGGGTGCAGAAGGTTTGTAATGATTACACTGGAGAATGGGAGAAGGCACTAGAAAATTACAAATCAAACCGTGCAACATTGAGGGGACAAACGGAGGTAAAGACTGTCACAGTTTAGCAGCAACCATCTGCGGAGTTGTGTGTGGAAAGAAGGAAATTAAACGAGAACATAGAGTATGAGACTGATGGGTTTTTAAAAAATAGTTTTTGTGGTCGGGCATAGTGGCTCATGCCTGTAATCTCAGCACTTTGGGAGACTGAGGGAGGATCGCTTGAGCCCAGGAGCTCAAGACCAGCCTGGGCAACAGGGTGAGATACTGTCTCCACAAAAAATAAAAAATAAATCAAATTTTTTTTTTTTTTTAGGGACAGAGTCTTGCCCTGTGACCCAGGTTCTGAAATGCAGTGGCATGATTATACCTCACTGCAGCCTGGAACTCCTGAGCTCAAGCAATCCTCCTGCCTTAGTCTCCCAAGTAGCTGGGACCACAGGCATGCACAATGCCCAGCTTACATTATTTTTAATGGTGTATGCTATGGTCTGAACAAAATTCATATGTTGAAACATAATGGCCAATGTCATGGTATTAAGAGGTGGGGCCTTTAGGAGGTGATTAGGTCATGAGGGCTCCCCCCGGTGAATGGGTTCAAGGCCTTTCTAAAAGAGGCTTGGTGCCGTGTTCATTCCTCCTGTATTTCCACCTTCTGCCGCGTGAGGATGCAGCAACAAGGTGCCATCTTGGAGGTAAAGAGCAGCGCTCACCAGATGTGCAACCTGCTGGTGCCTTAATCTTGTGCTTTCCCGTCTCCAGAGCTCTGAGAAACTAAATTTCTTTTCTTTATAAATTATCCCACCTGTGTATTTTGTTATAGCAGGACAAATGGACTGAGACAGTGTGTTTCTAAATTATGGTGGTGCATTCTCCTGTATAAAATACTACAATTTGGCCAGGTACAGTAGGCTGACGTGGGCAGATCACTTAAGTCTAGGTGTTCAAGACCAGCCTGGGCAACATGTGGAAACCCCATCTCTACAAAAAATAGAAAAACTAGCTGGGCATAGTGACACATGCCTGTAGTCCCAGCTACTTGGGAGATTAAAGTGGGAGGATCACCTGAGCCCAAGGAGGTCAAGGTTGCAGTGACCCCGATCCTGCCACTGCACTCCAGCCTAGATGACGAGTGAGACCCTGTCTGAAAACACAGAAAACAAAACTATAATTTGTAAAATTCTAATTTCCTATTGTTAAACTGATATGGTTTTCAGATTATTACTATTATAAATAATATTGATTATACTTGGGCATTTCCTTAAGGTAAATTTCAGATAGAATATCTCGGTTAAATTATATAAACATTTTAAGGCTTTTGATAGGCATTATGTATCAAAATGTACCTGGCTTCGTTTTGCATTCTTTGAGTGCTAGTGCTTCATTTTGCATTGTTTTAGTCAAATTTTTATTTCTTCCCCTGTGATTATTTGTTCACGGTCTTTACACATTTTTCGAGTGGAAAGCTACTTTTGTTCTTATTGGTTTATAATGGCTTTCTTTATATATTATTAGTATTTTGTCATCTGTTGTCAATATTATTTCCCAGTGATATGGTTTGGCTGTGTCTCCACCCAAATCTCATCTTGAATTATAGCTCCCATAATTCCCACATGTTGTGGAAGGGACTCGGTGAGAGGTAATTGAATCATGCGGGGGTGGGGGGGTTACCCCATACTGTTCTTGTGGTAGTGAATAAGTCACACAAGAGCTGATGGTTTTATAAGGGGAAACCCCTTTTGCTTGGCTCTCATTCTCTCTCTTGCCTGCTGCCATTTAAGATGTGCCTTTCACCTTCCGCCATGATTGTGAGGCCTCCCCAGCCATGTGGAACTGTGAGTCCATTAAACCTCTTTTTCTTTATAAATCACCCAGTCTCGGGTATGTGTTTATCAGCAGTGTTAAAACAAATGAATACACCTAATTTGTTGCTTGACTTTTATACTGTTTTTTGACATTCAAGAATTCCAGATTTTTATCTTGTAAAAGATCCATTTTTTGTTTAGAGTGTCTTTTTTTTTTGCTTTTATTCTTAGAAAGGCCTTTCCCTCTCCAATATCATATAAATATTTTATATTATTCTTCTCATTATGTTATACTTTTCTCTTTGAACTATCTGATTTTTTTTATTAATAGTCAGTTGTCCCAGCGTCTTACTTCCCTAATTAAATCACACTCTTACCATATATTAAATATTTACTCATTCTTGGGTTTATTCCTAGACTTTCAATTTTGTTTCATTGAGCTATTTATTGTTGTAACATATCATACTGTTTTAATTATTGTAGCTTTACAGGAAAACTATTAATAAGGCATAATATTCTCCCCTCTACACTCCATTAACTTTCTTTTTCAAAAAATGTCTTGAATATTCTGCCACATTGACTCTTCCAAATGAAGTTTAGACTTATTTTGTAAAGTTGCACTAAAAACTCAAAATTTTGACTGGAATTACTTTTATGAATTCATAAGGAAAACTGATATTCTTGAAATATTAAATCTTCTCAACTAACTAGATATGTATCTCCATTTATTCGATATTTTTTTAAAAAGTTAAGATTTCTTTAATAAACTTTATTAAATTTAATCACTTTCTCCATATATATTTATGATTTAATATATACTTCATTTAATTTGTTAAGAAAAAACTCCCATTTTAGCTTAACTAAGATTTTTAAAATTGTTTTTTAATGTTTTAAAATTTTAATTGTGAAAAATATTCATAACATAAAACTTACCATTTTAACAATTTTTTTTTTTTTTGAGACAGGGTCTCACTCTGTCACCCAGGCTGAAGTACAGTGGTTTGATCATAGCTCACTGCAACTCAGCCTTCCAGGATCAAGCCATCCTCCCACCTCAGCCTCCTGAGTAACTAAGACTACAGGCGCGCACCACCTTGCTGGCTGTTTTTTGTGATTTTTGTAGAGATGGGGTTTTACCATGTTGCCCAGGCTGCTCTCGAACTCCTGGACTCAAGTGATTCTCCTGCCTCAGCCTCCCAAAGTGCTGGGATTACAGGTGTGAGCCATGGCACCCAGCCCCATTTTAACCATTTTTAAGTGGACAGTTCACTGACATTAAGTACTACACATTCGCATTGTTGTGCCACCATCCCCACCATCCATCTCCAGAACTTTTTTATCTTGTGAAACTACGACTCTATACTCCTTTAACAATAACTCTCCATTCTGCCCTCTCCACAGCCCCTAGCAACTACCATTCTACTTTCTGTGTCTATAAATTTGACTATTCTAAGTACCTCATATGAGTGAGATAGTATTTACCCTTTTTTTTTTTTTTTTTTTTTTTTTTAGACAGAGTTTTGCTATTGTCGCCCAGTCTGTAGTGCAGTGGCACGATCTCGGCTCTCTGCCTCCTGGGTTCAAGCGATTCTTCTGCCTCAGCCTCCCAAAGTAGCTGGGATTACAGGCGCCTGCCATCACGCCCAGCTAATTTTTCTGTATTTTTAGTAGAGACGGGGTTTCACCATGTTGGCCGGGATGGTCTTGAACTCCTGACCTCAGGTGATCCACCCGCCTCAGCCTCCCAAAGTGCTGGGATTACAGGCCTGAGCCACCATGCCCAGCCAGTATTTACCCTTTTATGACTGGCTTATTTCACTTAGCATAATAATGCCTTCAAGGCCCATTCATGTTGCAGCATGTCTGAATTTTCTTCCTTTTTAAGGCTGAATAATATTCCACTGTATGTGTATATGACATTTTATTTATCCATTCGTTCATTGAATGGATACATACATATGATGATGGTTGATGGACACTTGGGTTGCTTCAAGTTAATGAGATGATGCTACTACAAAGGTCTCTCTAAGACCCTGCTTTAAATTCTTTTGAATATATACCCAGAAGAGGAATTGCTAGATTTTATGGTAATTCTATTTTTTAATGTTTTGAGAAACTACCACACTGGTTTGCATAGCAGCTACACCATTTTCCATCCCCATCAGTAGTGCAGAGTATTTTAATGTCTCTACATCCTTGTAAACACTTGTTATTTTCTGGTATTAAAAATATATATAATGGACATCCTAGAGTGCTACATGGAATTTCTTTGCTCCACAGAGTATGGTCTGCGTACTTATTATGAGCTCCATTCAGATGTGTTTTTAATATTAGGGATAATATTAGGAAAAACAAGATTCTAAAGCTAATTACTATAGCTATAGGATATAGAGTGATATCTCATTGTAATTTTCATTTGCATTTCCTTAATGATTAATAATATTGAGCATTGTTGTTGATGTTCCCCCCACCACCCCGCTTTTTTTTTTCTTTTCATGGAGGTAAGGTTTTGCTGTGTTGCCTAGGCTAGTCTTGAATTCCTAGGCTCAGTCCTCCGACCCTGGCTTCCCAAAGTGCTGGGATTACGGGCATGAGCCACCACACCCGGCCTGATGTTGAGCATCTTTTCACATACTTATTGGCCATTTGTATGTCTTTGGAAAAATGTCTATTCAAGTCCTTCACCCGTTTTTTGCTTGGGTTGTTTGTTTTTTTGTTGTTGGGTCTCATAAGTTTTCTTTTTTTCTTTTCTTTTTTTTTGAGACAAAGTCTTACTCTGTTGCTCAGGCTGGAGTGCAGTGGTGCCATCTCAGCTTACTGCAACTTCCACCTCCTGAGTTCAAGCAATTCTCTTGCCTCAGCCTCCCAAGTAGCTGGGACTACAGGCGCAGGCCACCACATCTGGCTAATTTTTGTGTTTTCTTAGTAGAGATAGGGTTTCCCTACTTTGACCAGGCTGGTCTTGAACTCCTGACCTCAAGTGATCTGCCCACCTCGGCCTCCCAAAGTGCTGGGATTACAGGCATGAGCCACCGCACCCAGCTGAGTTTTATAAATTTTCTATATATTCTGAGTATTAATCCATTATTAGGGATGTGATTTACACATATTTTCTCCCATTCTGTGAGTTGCCTTTTTACTCTGTTGACAGTGTTCTTTGATGTGCAGAAGTTTCTAATTTTCATGGAGTCCAGTTTGTTTATTTTATTGTTGTCTGTCTTTTTTATGTCATATTCAATAAATCATTGCCAAATCCAGTGCCATAAAGCTTTGCCTCTATGTTTTCTTCTAAGAGCTTTATAGTTCTAGCTCTTACAATTAGACCTTTAATCCATTTTGAGTTAATTTTACATATGGTAAAAGGCAAAAATTTCATCCTTTTTAATGTAGATATCCAGTTTTTCTAGTACCGTTTGTTGAAAAGACTATCCTTCCCTCATTGGCTGGTCTTGGCAACCTTGTCAAAAATCCTTTGACCATATATGCAAGGGTTTATTTCTGGGCTTCTTCTCTATTCCACTGGTTGATGTTCTGTCTTTATGTCAGTGACACACTGTTTTGATTACTGTAGCTTTTTAGTAATTTTAGACATCAGGAAGTATGAGTCTTCTAACTTTATTGTGCTTTTTCAAGATTGTTGTGGCTATTCGGGGGTCCCCTGAGATTCTATATGAATTTTACAATTTTTTTTCTATTTCTGCAAAAAAGCATAATTGGGATTTTGATAGGGATTGCATTAAATCATTAAATTTATTTGGTAGTATTGACATCTTAGCAACATTAAGGCTTCCAATCTATGAACAAAAGATGTCTTTCCACTTAGATTTTCTTTTTGAGTCAGATAGCTTAATTGTATTACAATTATTTTTAAAGTCAGCTATGAGGTTGACAAATATTTGGGTTAGTCTATAGCAAGTCTCTAATTTCCAAGATACAAAAGACAATAAATATGGATTCAAATTCAGCCTAGAAATGAGATTCTAAAGCTAATTACTACGCCAGATGTGGTGGCTCACACTTGTAATCCAAACACTTTGGAAGGCTGAGGTGAGCAGATTATCTGATGTCAGGAATTCGAGACCAGCCTGGCCAACATGGTGAAACCCCATCTCTACTAAAAATACAAAAATTAGCCTGGCGTGGTGGTGGGCGCCTGTAATCCCAGCTACTCGGGAAGCTGAGGCAGGAGAATCACTTGAACCCAGGAGGTGGAGGTTGCAGTGAGTTGAGACCGCACCATTGCACTCCAGCCTGGGTGACAGAGCAAGACTCCATCTCAATAAATAAATAAATAAATAAATAAATAAATAAATAAATAAATAAATAAAATAAAGCTAATTACTAGCCGTGTAGCTTAGTTTGGGTATTTCAAATACATGTATAATTCTTAAGATGCTACAAGAACTCATATAATAAAGATATTGCTCACTGACAACAAACTACCAGATCTTCACTGACCATACACGATTGTATGGTGTCTTGGAGCCTTCATGTGAGTCCCCTGAGGGTTCACTGGTGCTGGGGGACAATCAGAGATGGCATCATGATGGCACTGGTCCTTTCTAGCAGGAGGACTGGTATAGGAGCAGGTGCTGAAAATGCCTACTGAGCAGGACAGAAATCTGATTTCCCAATAGCACAATAAATGGTCTTATTTTTTTGCAGAAAACAAGATTGTCGCTGTATATTTTTCTGATTGCTACATGGAACACCTTTGCCCCACAGAACATGGTCTGCTTACTTATGAGCTCCATTCAGATGTGTTTTTAATATTAGGAATGAATGTTGGAATGCTTTTATTTTCATAAGAAAGGTGATATGGTTTGGCTATGTCCCCACCCAAATCTCATCTTGAATTGTAACTCCCACAATTCCCACGTGTTGTGGGAGGAACCTGGTGGGAAGTGACTGAATTATGGTGGCGGGTCTTTCCTGTGCGGTTCTTGCAATAATAAATGAGTCTCATGAGATCTGATGGTAAAAACAAACAAACAAAAAAACAAAACAAAAAACAAAAACAAAAAAAACAGGAGGCTGGGCATGGTGACTCACGCTTGTAATCCCAGCACTTTGGGAGGCCAAGGTGGGTGGATCACCTGAGGTCGGCAGTCTGAGACCAGCCTGACCAACATGGAGAAACCCCATCTCTACTAAAAATACAAAATTAGCTGGGCATGGTGGCGCATGCCTGTAATCCCAGCTACTCGGGAGGCTGAGGCAGGAGAATTGCTTGAAACTGGGGGATGGTGGTTGTGGTGAGCCAAGATCACATCATTGCACTCCAGCCTGGGCAACAAGAGCAAAACTCTGTCTTAAAATAATAATAATAATAATATAAATAAATAAATAAAATAAGAGTGTCCCTGCACAACCTCTCTCATTTTTTGCCTGCCACCATCCATGTAAGATGTGACTTTGGCTCCTCCTTGCCTTCCGCCATGATTGTGAGGCTTCCCCAGCTATGTGAACTGTAAGCCCAATTAAACCTCTTTCTTTTGTAAATTGCTCAGTCTTGGGTATGTCTTTATCAGCGGCGTGAGAATGGACTAAAACAGTTGGTAATTACTCTTTTTTTTTTTCACTTTGTTAAGTTGTGGTATTACACTTGCGCTAGCTTTGTAAATTGTATTGGGAAACTTCCTGTGCTTTTCTCTAATGTGAAATTATATTTTATAGCAAGGGAAATATCTTTACCTATTTCATCTTTATAGCAGGTATGAATTTTACACAGGCTCAGAGATAAAAATATGTGTCTTCATTTCTCTGTAACAGATACTTAGTTCAGGACAGCCCACTTCTGCTGATGAGAGAAAACTTACTTTTATAAATCTTAGCTGCTTTTGTATTGATGTGTATCAATTCAGAGTATAAACTTAAGTCAGTTGTCTCCCTTTCCCCTCTTCTTTCCCATGGTGATCTTAATTCCAAGAGGCTTTCTCATCTTTCTAGCATGGGGTGGGTTATCTTGTCCTGGCATCATGTCCTTTGGCTCCTGCTGCCATATGCTGGTGCTGAAGCAGATGTGCCCAGCCCTGCTATATAGTCTCTAGTGGGCAATGGGCCCAGGAGCACTGCATACCTTTGTCCTGATAACAGGACCCTTCGAATCTGTCCACCTCCCTATTCAGCACTTCTGTGGCCACTAGTGCTTGGCTGCTTTCCCTTACCTGCCCATGGGTGCATGTGAGCAAATGAGGCTTCCATCCACCCAGGTGGTCCACTCAAGTATTTTGCTTTTACCACTCTTGTTCTTTGTCCTCCGAGGCTTGCTGGGCTACAGAAACCAGCCTATGGCTCTGCTCTGGGATGCACTAAATGATCTGGGTTTCTCTCATCCTGCTCTTCAGTGTCCAGCAGGAGACAGTCAGGTTGCTGAGCACTCTCAGAGACTCTCTGTCTGATGTCTCTCTACGTCACCAAAACTATCCTTTTATTATATGATCATACACTCTATGTTGTTCTCAGTGGCTTCATCTATAGCCTTTAATTGTAAAGTCAAGTTTTTTAGAATACAAAATAAAATAAAAATGGCTTCTTTCTCACATATCTGACTCTTGAAAATCAAGTGTTTTTGGCATTCAGGCTTTCTCCCATAAAGTAAAACCTGCTTTGAAACTCAAAGTTTAGCAACATCTTCTTGTTCTTGGAACTGCCATATCCTCAAAGCGGTGAATGCCTTTGAGTTAAGAACAATGAGCTGCCAGGCAACTAAGAGAAAGTAAGAGTTATTTTAATGAAAAGTACGTCAGTTAATGTAAAATAAAATATCCCATATTTGAAATAATTTTCTCGTAAAATCACCTGGGCCTAGTATACATCCAGAAGATAATTCTTTGATAGGCTTTTTTTTTTTTTTCATTTTAATTTATCTCTTTGTGGGTTACTTTCTCTTTCTTTCCTTTTTTTTTTTTTTTTTTTTTTTTTTTTTTTTTTGTAAATTCGTTATTGTTTTTAGAGACAGCCTTACTCTGTGGCCCAGACTGGAGTGCAGTGGCACCATCATAGCTCACTGCAGCCTCCAACTCCTGGACTCAAGTGATCCTCTCACCTTGGCCTCCTGAGTAGTTGGGAGTACAGTCACCAGCAACTGCACCTGGCTTTTCCGTAAATTTGGAAAACTTATATATTCTGAGAAACTATCAGATGTATCTATTTTTTTTCAAATGTATCAGCATAGTATTATGCAATTTATTCACAATTTTTAAAATGCCTTTTTATCTATGATTGTATACCTTTCCTTACATTGTTGGTCATTTCCCTCTTTCACTTGCATTTGTCAGGGTTCAGTTGCAGAAAAAGAGTCCCCATAACTGCTGTAAGCAGAAAGGAAATCACGTCAGTGCAGTAAATAACTTACAGAATTTTTGGGAAGACTGAAGAGATAGATGCAAAGCTGAGCTCTCAAAGACAACCTCAGAGCCACTGTGGACACACAGGGAGTCCTTGTGTGTTCATTTTTCCCCTCCCCACCCACCTTTTAGCTCTTTGTGAATATCGTTTCAGTGATGTCTGGCATCAATGATGTACCTTACGAGGTAGGACAAAAACAAAGACCAATGAGTTATTAAAAATAAAAACTTTAAGCAAATTAAATTTAGCAGAGTTTAACTGAGCAAAGAAGGGCTCGAGAGTCAGGCAGCCCTCAGAGCCAGCAGAGGTTCAGAGAACTCCATTCCACAAGGCAGGCAGGCAGGCAGGCAGCATTTATAGAAGGAAAATAGAAGAGAGGGACAGAAACAGCTTGATCAGTTACAGCTCCAGGTTTGCCTCATTTGAACATGGTCTGATTAGTTGGCTGCTTGTGATTGACTGGAGCTCAGAGGCTGTGAATGGTTGAGACTGGGAGATTTGTTACAAAAGTATATCCCTGTGTTAGGGTTTCAGTTAGTTTACTACTAAGGTAGATTGCAGGGCCTGACTTAATGGCTCGCTCCCATAATCTTATTATGTTGGGAGGCTGAGGCAGGAGACTTGCTTGAGGCCAGGAGTTCAAGACTAGCCTGGGCAATATAGGGAGACACCCTTCTCTACAAAAAACTAATTTAAAAAAGTTAGGTTGCAGTTCCTTCAGTAAGGACTCAGGTACAGAAGCATTCTTAGGCCAAATTTAGGTTAATTTAACAGAATCTACAGTCTCCATGGTTACAAGCAGGCTAACAAGTAGGGGATCAGGGCTAGAAATAACTTTTCAGGTTTGAAGCTGATAACCTACAGGTCACATTTGGCAGGCTTCCCAATGAACTGCCCAGGGAAGGTCTTACAATTCATGGCTTACATTCTGTCCCTGAGTAAAGAAAGTGATTGTGAGTCCCAGAAATTTTATCGTGAGTTCCTTAAGACATACTAATTCATGTGTAACTTGCTGACACTAAAAATGACACTGATTTGTTTTGGAATCACAAAGTTTTATTGATTGTCTTGCACGTAGAACATTTTAGCTGTGCACTGTGATCTGTAGCCAAAGATTGTACCCTCCAATGAAAAAGGACAACTCAGGGGCCGGGTGCAGCGCATGCCTATAATCCCAGCACTTTGGGAGGCTGAGGTGAGTGGATCATTTGAGGTCAGGAGTTTGAGACCAGCCTGGCCAACATGGTGAAACCCCACCTCTACTAAAAATACAAAAATTAGCCGGGCGTGGTGGTGCATGCCTGTAATCCCAGCTACTCAGGAGGCTGAGGCAGGAGAATCGCTTGAACCCAGGAGGTGGAGGTTGCAGTGAGCCGAGATGGCACCACTGCACTCCAGCCTGGGCAACAGAGCAAGACTCTGTCAGGAAAGGAGAGGAGAGGGGAGGGGAGGGGAGGGGAGGGCTCATCTATAAGGGGTTCCTCTTCCTTCTTCTAAACTTTCTTATAAAAGCATTTTATAAAAGCATTTCAACTTGTTTTTTGTTGGTTTGTTTGTTCTTGTTTTTTTGTTTTTTTTTTTAGATGGAGTCTCACTCTGTCGCCCAGGCTAGAGTACAGTGCCGTGATCTCAGCTCACTGCAACCTCCACTTCCTGGGTTCAGGCGATTCTCCTGCCTCAGCTTCCCAAGTAGCTGGGATTACAGATGCGCTCCACAACACCTGGCTAGGTTTTTTTTGTATTTTTTTTTTTTTTTTTTTTAGTAGAGATGGGGCTTCACCATGTTGGTCAGGCTGGTCTGGAACTCCTGACCTCAAGTGATCTGCCCGCCTCAGCCTCTCAATGTGCTGGGATTATAAACATAAGCCACCACACCCGGCCAACATTTCAACTTGTAACAAACTCTAGAATATGTCCAAATCTGTTGGTGTATCTTCCCTGGTCAGTCCTCACATCTGGCATCCAATAAACCTTTATCAAACTACTTCTGCCTGAACAGCCTTAATTTTGATTGACAAGGTAACCACAGGGGGTAGAGCAGAGCTGGGATGGACCATGAGATTTTGGTGGTCAAAGTGCCTAAAACCCAAAAAGTATGCGGATAACTAGGAGCTGATAACAGGAAGCAGATACCAGACTGAACCTGATCTTGAGATAGAATTATTTCTTCCTGGGAGAGCTGTAATTGAATTCAGCCCTAGAAAGAGTAGGCCAGGCATGGTGACTCATGCCTGTAATCCCAGCACCTTGGGAGGTTGAGGTGGACAGATAAGTTGAGGTCAGGAGTTGGAGACCAGCCTGACCAACATGGCAAAACCCCGTCTCTACTAAAACAAACAAAAAACAAAACTAGCTGAGCATGGTGGCATGCACCTGTAATCCCAGCTACTCGGGAGCCCGAGGCAGGAGAATAGCATGAACCTGGGAGGCAGAGGTTGCAGTAAGCCGAGATCGCACCACTGCACTCCAGCCTGGGCCATAGAGTGAGACTCAGTCTCAAAAACAAACAAACAAACAAAAAAAGAAAAATGAAAGATTAAAAATGGGACCCCAGGATGTGGCTGGATGGGTCTGTGGCTGGGGTAGTGCGGCGAAGGGAGAATGCTATGGCAGGCTACACACAGGGCAAAGACCAAGGAGGCATTGGTTGATGCCTCTGATACATCCCCTAAGGGGGTTAAGGAGAGTGAACAATGGATTTTCAAACCTGGAAGACTAGCAGAGTCCCAATCATCTTCATACAAAAACTTGAGGACTACTGGACTAGCCTGGAGCCTTAGACTTTCCAGGCCACACACATGTTTACCATACACAGTGGCCCCAATTGTGGCCAGAGAGTGTGGCCACTGTGTTTGTGTGATGCTGGCTTACCCCATTCTGGGTCCCATTCAGATGTGTACCCATAGCCTCAGAGCATACTTCAGATGTTCAACCTCTTTTTTTTTTTTTTTTTTTTTTTTCAGAGAGGGGCTCACTCTTGTCACCCAGGCTGGAGTGCAGTGGTGCAAATACAGCTCACTGCAGCCTCCACCTCCTGGCATCAAGCAATCCTCCCCACCTCAGCCTCCCATGTAGCCGGAACCACAGGTGTGCACCACCAGGCCCAGCTAATTTTTTTGATTTTTTTGTAGAGACAGGGTCTCACTATGTTGCTTAGGCTAGTCTTGAACTCCTGGGCTCAAGAAATCCTGCTGCCTCAACTTCCCAAAGTGCTGTGATTACAGGCATGAGCCACTGCACCTGGCCTGTTTAGCTTCTTGAGTAACTAATTTCATATGTGTCTTTCCCATGCTGGAGAGTCCAGCTTTTTTGCCTTGATATTTAAAACAAGTTCCTTCAAGTTTCAAGCTCTCCTTACCCCACACTATGCCCCAGTTTGCCAGCATTTAAAGAAACAAACAAAAGTTCATGTTGACCCTGTTATACCCCCTCCAGTCTTCACTTTTCCAGGTTGCAGAAGACTAACTTATGTAGCTCATCTTCATTTGAAATTTCTTCCCAGCTCCTTGTCAAGCAGGCTGTCTTGTTTCGAGGCATTTGGAGCATTCCCACATCTTTGGAGAGGGGAGGGCACCCACCTGTGCCAGGCCAGGTCTCCCTAACTGCTGAACAGACAGGCCTCCATCACAACTGTTTCAGCACTGACTGAGTGGTAAAGTTAAATATTGAAAGCCAAAAGAGCCAGTGCACGTCTACAAAGACTGGGATGTAACAAAAGCCCACCAACAGCTTTGCCTAGGCCTTTCCTGGGCCTTAAGGCAAGACAAGATAATGAAGAAATACTTCACAGGACCCGTTTAGGATTAAACACATTTATTGGGGGTCTGAAGAAACTCCCCAAACCTCCATGGCTTAGCAGGAGACAAGATAAGGGTAATCACCCCAGCACCTGGACCCATTTTGATTACACAAATTTACTGAGGCTCCAGAGGAAGGTCTTTAGGACTCAGATCTTAGTTATAGATTAAAAAAAAGTTAATCACTTATGTCTGTAAATGAACGTACTCTTACACATAGACATATAGCTTAGAAGGTATATAAGCTTTGGAAAACTTTGTAATTTTGAGTTGGCCTGGCGATATTTTGCAAACCTTCCCCCTGTGCCCTGTTACAGAAATGAACTCCGTCCTTTCCTAGTTCATCTGCATCTCGTTATTGGGCCACAAGAACAAGCAGCCCAACCCTCAGTTTGGTCCAGGAACACACATGCTGCCCCAGGTGGGAACAGCGTGGCTTCTTTGTGCCTGTGGGCAGGGGACAAAAGGGGCAGCAAGTGCCCTTTGTCAGCTGAGTAGCCAAGAAGGGCTGGCTGTCGGGGATAATCAGGCTTATGAAGCCCAAATCAGGGATGTGTTTGAAAAACAGCCCAAAGCAAAACTTAAGCAGAAAGAGGATATTTGCATAATCTCAGAGTATTTCCTCTCAAATATTTAGTGATCACAAAAGAGCAAAATAGTGAGCTTACAGTGGAAGATCCTGGAAGACACCACCTTAACCAAGCAGTGAAGATCAGCCTCACCAGGAATACACATCGGCATCCCACACCCCTGATCTGAAGCACCGAGAAGAGCTCATCATCTCTGTGGCATCCTCTGCAATAATATATCACCTCAACCTAATTGTGAGGAAGAGTTCTGCAAGGTATCTAGCCAGTACCCTTCAAAATGTCAAGGTCATGAAAGACAAGGAAAGACTGAAGAACAGACTAGGGCTAACTAAGGATGTGTAACATTGACTACAGTGTGGATCTAGGATTGGAAGCTGTATTAATTCTTTCTCACACTGCTATAAAGAAATACCTGAGGCTGGGCACCGTAGCTCATGCCTGTAATTCCAGCACTTTGGGAGGCCGAGGCGGGTGGATCACCTAAAGTCAGGAATTCAAGACCAGCCTGACCAACACGGAGATACCCCGTCTCTACTAAAAATATAAAATTAGCCGGGCATGGTGGTGCATGCCTATAATCCAGCTACTTGTGAGGCTGAGGCGGGAGAGTTGCCTGAATCCGGGAGGCGGAGGTTGCAGTGAGTCAAGATTGCGCCATTGCACTCCAGCTTGGGCAACAAGAGCAAAACCCTGTCTCAAAAACAAACAAACAAACAAACAAAACCTGGAGATTGAGTAATTTAGAAAGGTTTAATTGAAGTTTAGTTGGCTCATGATTCCACAGGCTGTACAGGAAGCATGATGCTGGCATCTGCTTGGCTTCTGGGGAGGCCTCTGGAGACTTACAATCATGGCAGAAGGCAAAGGGGGAGTGAGCACTTCACATGGCTGGACCAGGAGGAGGAGGGGGAGGGGCTACACACTTTTAAACAACCAGGTCTCATGAGAACTCACTATCATGAGAACAGCACTGAGGTGATGGTGCTAAACCTCTCATAAGAAACTGGTCCCATGATCCAATTACCTCCCACCAGGCCCCACCTCCAACAATGGGGATTACATTTCAACATGAGATTTGGGTGGGGACATAATCCAAAGCATATCAGAACCTGAAACAGAAAAAGACAATAACGGGAAAACTTGTGAGCACTGAATAAATTCTGTGGCTAATGTCCTAGCTTTGGTAACTGTTCTACAGTTATGCAAGACATTAGTTATTATTGGGTGAAGCTGGGTGTAAGGTATATTGAAAATTCTCTGTACTGTTTGTGTAACTTCTCTGAAAGTATGGAATCAATTGGAAAAAATACACCCCATGAACTCACAGGGGTGGGTTGAGGGGCAAACCAAAGGTGAGCATAGGTAGGGTCCCAGAGCCCTTCCTTAGTGCCCGTCTCCATTTGGGATTTAACTTCTTCATCTGCCTTTGGGGGGAAGCTCCAGGAGGTGGCATCCTTCCATATCCTCTATACCCAGCGCAGAGTGGGCACTAAAGATTTGTTGAGTGTCTGGGTACAGTGGCTCATGCCTGTAATCCCAGCACTTTAGGAGGCCAAGGTAGGAGGACTGATTGAACCCAGGAGTTTGAGATCAGCTTGGCCAACATAATGAGACCGCATCTCTACAAATAATTTATAAATTAGTTGGTCATGGTGGTGCACACCTGTAGTCCCAGCTATTTGGGAAGCTGAGGTGGGAGGATCCTTTGAGCCTAGGAGGTCAAGGGTGCAATGAGCCATGATCATGCCACTGTACTCCAGCCTGGGTGACAGAGAGAGACCTTGTCTCAAAAAAAAAAAAAAAAAAAAAAAGATTTATTGAATGAATTGATGGATGGATGAGATCCTGGTTTCCACAATGGAAGCAGAATTGACCTCCACAGTGAGAATCTTCAAAGCAACTGCAATTGTTAAAGTCTGTACATTGGTCTAGAGTCCTGGAGGACATGGAGCCAGAGTGGGGATAAACTTGGCATTCGGTAAACCTCGGGGGCCACAGTTGTCCCAGTAGGTTCCTTTTAATGGTTTGGGATGCAAGTGCTCTTCCGAAAGGCGGTGCAGGGGCTACTGCAGTGCGGAGTCATTTGCACTCACAGTCTCTTCCTAGAGCTTCCCCGCTTTTGCTGGGTTGTTGATTTTTTTCTGATTTGATTTGCAGGAGCTCTTTATACATTCTGGGAAAGTGGATCCTTTACTGGCCATAGGCAATGCAATAGTTTTTATCTGGGGTATCTTTTCTTTTTTTTGAGACAGAGTCTCACTCTGTCACCCAGGCTGGAGTGCAGTGGTGCAATCTCGGCTTATTGCAACCTCTGCCTCCCTGGTTCAAGCAATTCTCGTGCCTCAGCCCCCCAAGTAGCTGGGACTACAGGCGTGCTCCACCATGCCCAGCTAATTTTTGTATTTTTAGTAAGACTGGGTTTCACCATGTTGGCTAGGCTGGTCTCAAACTCCTGACCTCAAGTGATCTGCCCACCTCGGCCTCCCAAAGTGTTGGGATTACAGGCGTGAGCCACCGCACCCAGCCATCTGGGGCATCTTGACGAAAGAAAAGGTTTTTGTTTTAGATATAGTCAAATCTATGGTTTCCTTGGTACAGTTTGTGGTTTTTTTTCTGTCATATTTCCTTCCCTACCTTAAGGTACTAAAGATATTCTCCTGCATATTATTCTAAAGATTTAAAAGTTTCCATTTTAATATTTCATTTTTTAATCCACCTGAAATTTGTTCTGTTTAAAGTATGGCATCACAACATGATTTTATTTTTTCACAGTGAATCCAATTGTCTCAACACTATTTGTTGGATAGTGTGTCCTTTTCCCTATTCACTTGAAATGTCACCACTGCCAAGGAAGCTTGTAATAAACAAAAAAGATTATTAAGTGTCTGCAATAGAAAACGATACATAGCTTAGAGCTCATTCTTCCAGGTTCTCTGATTCATTGAATTAAGCTATTTTACAACTTTATACATTGTAGATAACTAGCAGCCAATAGAGTGATTTTTGTCTATACATACGTTAAAAAACAAAAACAGAAACAAAAACAAAACAAAACAAAACAAAAAAAACCTGTCTGGTGGAGCTTCAACTGACATTCCCTTTCCTGCTGTGGAAGAAGCCAGTTAGTTTTGCTGCCATTTTCATGTTCATGTCAATATCTCTGATCTATCAATGTGTCCATTCCTTGGATTGCCCTTGTAAGATCTTACCAGTTCCCTCATTAATGGTGAGTTAAATAAAAAATCTACCATGTGTTCATTTTATGTCTGTGTGAGAGTGATGATTTTACCCTTTTTGAAACCACCCTTTAACAGTCACATATCGATGGCATATAGCTTGAAGCAAACACAAAGGGATCAATTAGATAGCGATTATTCACTTATATAAGCTCTTCCTACATGACAATAGGATACGATTTACAAGTGTTTAGACCATTTTATCAGCAGCCAAGCCCTGAGTACAAAGGCAGCCTTGTACATCTGGCAGTGCTCTGACAGGCCAGGAAAACAAACCAACCATTCACATTCTTCTATGTATCATCATATTACAGGAAGCTTTTCAACATCGTGAGGATTGCATAATCAACTCTGAACATCTGGAATAGGAGCCTGACTGAACAGAGCAGAAGTGAACTTTCCCGGAGCTCCCATACTCCATCCACTCAACTCAACAAATGTTGACTTAGTGCCTATGATGTACAGCACTCAGTGCTAAAATGCAGTAGGGAAATAAATAAGTCTCTTTGGTCTGATTGAAATTAATTTCCTCATTTCTAAAGGAGGAACTAACCACATGGGCCCTACACTGAGAGATATGTTATGGGTTACCATTGCAACGAAAATGCAGGTTCAGTCACTCATCGCTTGCAGAATGCAATGAACAAGAGCAAGGTCTGATATTGTCAGGCAGATATGAGCAGGGCAGGAGAGGGTCCCTCCCACCCCAACCCCACCCCAGGAATGTCAGGTGGTCATCAAGTGATGGTCAGACTGTGGTTAGTTGTCTCTCTAAAATAATAATTGGTAGGAGCCAGCACCAGGGAAAGGCAGTCTGTCAACACATAGAAACACCTGAAGCTGGTGATCAGCAACAATAAGATCTTAGGAGTTGGGAGAGTGGGCTCAAGCATGCGCACCATGGGGCAAAATGGCGGAGTGTAACTGGTACATGACGTTCCTCTAGGAACACTCAATTGGTAAGGGAAAAGTGCCTCAAATGAGCACGTGTATAACTCCAGTAAACACGCCGCACATGTGGTTCCTCCTAAGTGCTGGCAGGCCACTGCGCAGGTGGACAGCCCACCCCAGGGGAAAAATCAGGGGAGAAGGGATGCAATTCCCCAGAAGCATGCCAATGTATAAGACCCCAAGTCAAAGGCCATACCAAGCACTTGATCTCTCAAGTAGCCCACTTGGTGCTCTTCCAAGTGCACTTTACTTCCTTTTGTTCCCGCTTGAAACTTTTTTTTTTGAACAGGAGTTTCACTCTTGTTGCCCAGGCTGGAGTGCAATGGTGCAATCTCGGCTCACTGCAATCTCCGCCTCCCGAGTTCAAGCAATTCTCCTGCCTCAGCCTCCCATGTAGCTGGGATTGCAGGCATGCGCCACTATGCCCGGCTAATTTTTCATATTTAATAGAGATGGGCTTTCACCACATTGGTCAGGCTGGTCTGGAACTCCTGACCTCAGGTGATCCACCTGCCTTCGGCCTCCCAAAGTGCTGGGATTACAAGCATGAGCCACCACACCCGGCCTCAAAAGCTTTGGAATACACTTTCACTCCTGCTGTAAAACTTGCCTTCCTCTGTCACTCTGCCTTATATCCTTCAGGTAAATTCCTTCTTCTAAGGAGGCAAGAATTGAGGTTGCTGCAGACCATTATGGATTCACTGCTGGTAACAGTATAAAGAAAGTGCCTTTATTCCAAGACTTAGCTTTGGGGAAGAAGTACAGACTCCTGCCTTTAAGGGTACTGCTTTACTTTTGGGGCAGAAATCAGGGGATTTTAAAGGGGGACTTGGCATGCATGCATGGCATGCAGAGGAGGGAGCGAGCAGGTGGGGGTCTGCATGACTCACTTTGGTGCCTTATCTACCAGGTGGTTCAGCTGGTGCCACCACAAGCAGAACTAGGTTGTACAATGGCCATTGTTTCAAGATACTCGCCAGGTGGGACAGAGTTGGGTCAAGGGCATACTTTAGGTGGCAAATTGACTGTTGTCTCTCCCAGTGGGTCAGCGTTCTGGCTATGGAGGTTCTAAGTAAGCACGTAGTTAGATAAGCTTGCCCTGTAGGGAATGCCTGGTGAAGGGAAGGTAAAGGTTGTAATTACATTTCTAAAGAGCTAAGTAGAGGCTCTTTAACCATGGTGGCTCGCTCCTGTAATCCCAGCACTTTGGGAGGCCGAGGCAGGCGGATCTCTTGAGGTCAAAAGTTTGAGACCAACTTGGCCAACATGGTAAAACCCTGTCTCTACTAAAAACACAAAAATTAGCCAGGCTTGGTGGCGCACACCTGTAATCCTAGCTACTCGGTGTCAGGCCTCTGAGCCCAAGCTAAGACATCATATCCCCTGTGACCTGCACGTATACATCCAGATGGCCTGAAGCAACTGAAGATCCACAAAAGAAGTGAAAATAGCCTTAACCGATGACATTCCACCATTGTGATTTGTTTCTGCCCCACCCTAACGGATCAATGTATTTTGTAATCTCCTCAACCCTTAAGGAGTTTCTTTGTAATCTCCCCCACTGTTAAGAAGGTTCTTTATAATTCTCCCCACCCTTGAAAACGTATTTTGTGAGATCCAACCCCTGCCCCCAAAACATTGCTCCTAACTCCACCGCCTATCCCAAAACCTATAAGAACTAATGATAATCCCACCACCCTTTGCTGACTCTCTTTTCGGATTCAGCCCGCCTGCACCCAGGTGAAATAAACAGCCTTGTTGCTCACACAAAGCCTGCTTGGTGGACTCTTTACATGGATGCGCGTGACACTCAGGAGGCTGAAGTTGGAGAATCGCTTGAACCCGGGAGAAGAAGGTTGCAGTGAGCTGAGATCGCGCCACTGCACTCCAGCCTGGGTGACAGAGTGAGACTCCATTTCAAAAAAAAAAAAAAAAAAAAAAAAAGAGCTAAGTAGAAAGTGGGAAACGGGGAAAAGGAGGAAAGAAAAAAGAAAGGAAAAAAAAATTTTTAAACCTTTTTGTCTTAGAAAAATGGGGTTGCTCAGTTACATCATGATAGGATAGGCTATGTTACAGTACTGATATCAGTTAAGAGGAAATTATTTGGGCAGATAGTAAGGGTAAGGAAGTCCTTGGTAAGGTTTTTCTTCTAATGAAAAACAGCCCCCAAATCATTTTCTTTTCTAACAAAGAGCAGCCTATAAAATAGAGCTGCAGACATAGACAAGTAAGCTAGAAACTTGCAGCGGTGAATGCCGGCAGTTGTGCCAATAGGAAAAGGCTACCTGGAGCTAGGCATGTTCCAAATGGCGGCTCCGTGTTCCCTTCTCTTTGCCACTCCTTACTTCCACGTGTACAGTAAGAAGCAGACAACACAGCACAGACCAAGTGGAAAGCCCTTTGCATAATAAGATTAGAATGGGGTAGCTAGCCTACCCTGCGTGTTATGTAAATTTCACAACTGGTCCAACCAATCTGTGGGCCCCATGTAAATCAGGCACCACCTCCTCAAGCCAGTCTATAATATCCAGTGCACTCAGGCACAGGCCAGAATTCCCGTTGAGACCCCTGTCTCTCTTGCAAGAGAGAGAGAGCTGTTCTCTTTTCTCTTTCTTTTGCCTATTAATCTTCCACTCCTAAGTTCTCTCCTGGTGTGTGTCTGTGTCCTTAACCTTCTTGGCTGAGACAACAAACCTCAGGTATTTACCCCAGACAATGACGCCACTTCAGTATCATTAAATGATACAACTTAAGAGAGATAATATTTTCACTAGATAGAGTGGGCCAACAGCAAGTTGCAGTGTTGCTGCCTGTCTTAGATAGGGGTGGGGAGAAACTGGAGGAGCTCAACCCTGAAGAGAGTGAAGAGCTCCAGTCTTCACCATTGCAGATAGGGGCACATGGTCTCCGTTGGCTGAGAGGGGCTGGCATTCTTCCAGCAGCCCCATGCTTCCAACATGAGCAACTGGGAGGGTTCTGGTGGGTCCTCCAGAAACACCTTCCTCCAAGGGACCCAGTGGGTGAAGCCATGGCATCATCTGTTTATAATTGAAGGCCTGTGGACTCTATTAATTTAGTAGGAAACCTGGTGACCAAAGGAAGAAGGTCTCGTTGTCAAGTGATATTTTCTTGGGAGGCCCAAGCCCCTCAAAAAAAGTTTTCCCAAGGACCCCTACCAATACCAAGACAGAGAAGCTGCCATCAAGAAATATATGACCTACTTGAGAAGGCAAGATCTGCACAGGTAGAAAGTCAAGTGCAGATGCCCCTTGACCTATGAAGGGGTTACATCCTGATAAGCCCATCATAAATGGAAACTATTATAAGTCGAAAATGCACCTAATACCCCTAACCAACTGAGCATCGCAGCTTAGCCTAGCCTACCTTAAATGTGCTCAGAACACCTACATCAGCCTACAGCTGGGCAGAATCATCTGGCACGAAGCCCATTTTATAACAAAGTGTTGACTCTCTCATGTAACTTACTGGATGCAGGACACAGCAGCATGTGGTATCAGGTTGTTCACCCACGTGATCGTCTGGCTGAATGGGAGCTGCACTCTCTGCACTGCCCAGCATCACGGGGCAGTATCCTACCACATACTGCTAGCCCAGGAAAAGATCGAAATTCACAATTTGAAGTATGGTTTCTGTTGAACGCATGTTGCCTTTGCACCATCATAAAATTGAAAAATCATAAATCAAATCATTGTAAGCGGGGGGATGTCTATAATGATGTCTCAGCCTGAGTGATGCTGGCCCAGGCGACCATTAGGAAAGCTTGAAGAAGGCACCGGGCCAGAGCTGGGCATTTTAGGTGGCGTGGGATTTGGTAGCCGGGTAACGGGGGTAGAGAGCATTCCCAAGGCAGGCCCCAGACAGAAGGGGAGGGAGCTAGAGGAGGCCCAGAGACAGGGCACTGGGGACAGCCTGATTGTTCAGAAATGTTATTACTCCCTAGCCAACCAGCTTAGGAAGTCCCCCCAAGGCCACTCATTTCAGAAACCTTTCCCAGTCACATCTATGGAAAAATACTCAGGCTGCACATATACCCAGGCTGGGCCCCAGGCCGGCCTTTGGGGAAGGCTCCTTCCCTCCATCAGATTGCATTCCTGCCCCACAGGATTGCGCTTCCGAAGGGAGACACACAGGGATCGGCAGTGAAGTCAACTCAGGCACATTCATTCAGAGTTGCCAGGGTCATCTGATCAAGGACAGAAACACCAAATCATAGTCCTCAGAGGTGAGGTGGGGAGAGGGATCAGGAGAGCGCCATGGGAAAGAGTGGAGGCCCAGGGTCAGTGTGGCTGGCTTAAAACCCAGCCACTGCCATTGACCAGCAGTGAGCCTTGGGCGAGCTCTCCCACTCTCTGTGCCATTTCCTTGCCTGAAAATGGGGCCAGTCGCCGCACATCTCATAGAGTATTTCTGAGGATAAAAATGGGCAACACGGGTCAAGAACACAGAAGAGCAGACAGCAAAGGTGCAACAGAGGTGTGTTCATACATATTGGCCCACTCAGTGAGTTCTTGACTATTTACCAGCAGAATTATTCTGCAGGTATATAAATTTTTTTTTTCTTTTTTTGAGACGGAGTCTCGCTCTGTCACCTAGGCTGGAGTTCAGTGGCGCGTTCTCGGCTCACTGCAACCTCTGTCTCCCAGGTTCAAGAAATTCTCCTGCCTCAGCCCCCTGAATAGCTGGGATTACATGCATGTGCCACCACACCTGGCTAATTTTTGTATTTTTTTTTTAGTAGAGATGGGGTTTTACCATGTTGGCCAGGTTGGTCTCAAACTTCTGGCCTCAAGTGATCCACCCACCTTGGCCTCCCAAAGTGCCAGGATTACAGGCATGAGCCACTGCACCCGGCCTTATTCTTTAAAATATACACTAAACAGAACATTACTGTAGAATAGCTTGTACAGGCCCAGGCTCTCACCAGTCAGCTTTCCTTCCCCACACTTTGCATCCACAGTGGTTCTTGAAGCACCTCCCTAGAGCAGATGTGGAAAAACCACTGCTCCAAATCCATCCTATTCTCAAGAGTGGGATCCCTTCAGCAATGTTCCTGGCAGGACATAGCTCCCCCAGAGGGTCCCTTGAAGGAGGGCTCTCTGTAGGAAAGCCAGACATTCACACCCACCAGAACCCTCCCAGATGATCATGTCGGGAGCACGGGGCTGCTGGAAGGATGCCAGCTCCTTTCTGCCATCTGTATCAGAGCTTGGGGCTGAGCTGGTTCCTCTGCCTGGGATAGTGAGAACCCAAGCTCCTCATGCTCCCCTAGGCTGGCTCCTCCCATTTCTCCCCACCCTGGGCAGTATCTAAACACTGTGTTGATGGGTCCCTTATGAATCCTCAGGTGGTCCTGCAAGGGACCAGTCATCTCATCAGTGGTGGCTGACCTGATGCTGAGCAGAAACCTGCTTCTGGGTAGCCTGATCCATTTCCCCTCTGGAGCTACAGAGGACTAGGCTTCCCTCAACCCTTCCACCCGCACCCATCTGGCATTGCTTTGGGAGATGATTGCTACATATAAAAAGAAAACAGTCGGCCAGGCATGGTGGCTCATGCCTGTAATCCCAGCACTTTGAAAGGCTGAGGCGGGTGGATCACTTGAGGTCAGGCGTTGGAGATCAGCTTGACCACATGGCGAAATCCCATCTTTACTAAAAATACAAAAATTATCTGGGCATGGTGGCAGGCACCTGTAAACCTAGCTACTCCGGAGGCTGAGGTACAAGAATGGCTTGAAACCCGGAGTGGAGGTTGCAGAGGTGGAGGTTGTAGTGAGCCGAGATCACACCACTATACTCCAGCCTGGGCGACAGAGTGAGAGTGTGTCTAAAAAAAAAAAAAAAAAAAAAAAAAAAAAAGACAAAGTGAGCTCCACAACGTCCCACCCTGACCTTAGCAGTTACCTTCCTGAAAAAGCTCCCTCCCAGGTAGGCAAACATCATGGATAAGGCCAGGGTAAAGAGGAAGAAAGGTCAGAAGGCCCAGGAAGGCCGCTGTTGTGTTTCCTGAATTCTCAAATGACTTTCCCGGTGAAGAGCAAGAGCCTGGCCTTGTCCCAGACCCAGTCTTTATTCCTTGGCCGGTGTCTGCAAATGTTCTGACACATGGGCCAAGCCTCTCACGGCTCCCAGCGCACACTTGCTGTTGGTGGCTTTGGGCTTAATGACTTGGCTGCCTTCACTCCTCCACCGGGCAGTGTGACAGCCATCAGCCCTCAAACCGAAGGCTGCAATTGGTGCGAGGACTCATTGAAGAGGCGCTTCAGAGCCAGGGCCGCTCTAATGAGACTCTGCAGCAATACCTAATCAGATGTCAGAGCTTGGGACTCAGACAGGCCTTGAAGGATTCTATGCAAGAGTTCTAGTCCCCCTCACAGAGAAAAGGATGAACTCACGGTAAACAGCCTCCAAGACTCATTGCAAAATACCTTCTCTACGGTGAAGTCTTCCTCAATTCTGTTCTCACAAGTTTCCCTACTAGTTTACCCCTTTGTTATAGCCTTATCACAGGCTGTCTTGTTTTGGTGTTGGTTAGATAAATGTTCGTCTTTCCCATTAAACTGTGGAGGTGAATATTGTGTTGCATTTATTGTGGCAGTAAGCCTCAGAGCTTAGGACATTGCATTGTACGTGGCTAGGCAAGGATTTTTTTTTTTTAATTGAGATGGAGTCTCGCACTGTTGCCCAGGCTGGAGTGCAGAGGCATGATCTCAGCTCACTGCAACCTCCGCCTCCCGGGTTGCCAGGACTACAGGCGCATGCTGCCATGCCTGGCTAATTTTTTGTGTTTCAGTAGAGACGGGGGTTTCACCATGATGCCCAGGCTGGTCTCGAACTCCTGAGCTCAGGCAATCTGCTGGGATTATAGATGTGCGCCACCGTGCCCAGGTGGCCCATGGATATTTAAATTGCCTGGGCAGCTACTCTACTCACCTTTCCCAGAAGGGATCAGCTAAACTCCGTTCTAGACCCAGCTTAAACCACTTTTTTTTTTTTTCTAGTTGCACACTGGTATAGTGGGAAGGGAGCACACAGCCTCCGAGGTACTCGACACCTGGCCTGGAAAGGACCCCAGTGGAAATCTGTTGATTAGATGCATGCATGAATTAATAAGATGAGACACAGGAGAGGTATCAAAGAGGGAAGATCCAAAGTGTCACAGTTTGGGTGAACTGAATCAAAGAGATACAGCCCGCACAACAAAGGTTCGTTGTCCACAGGCCTTTGGACTGAGGCTGGAAAATCCAAGTGGCCCAAGACACCCTCGTGCAGGGAGGAAGCATACAGGCTTTGGATTCAGGCAGATCTGGGTTGGGATCCAGCTCTTCCATTCACTAGCTGTGTGACCTTGGATAAAGTTTTCAATCCCACCAAGCTTCAGCTGTAAAGCAGGGTAAGAGTCCCCATGCCAAAAGGCTGTGGGAGGAGGAAATGGAACAGTGCTGGTTACACGCACTTACATGCTCCTTTGCACACAGTGAGTGCTCAGTCAATAAAAGCTGTTGTTGTCATTGGAACAGCCCTAGGGGCACAAAGCATCCACGTGGAGCAAAGACCTGGAGGCAGAGAGTGGGGATGGAAAAGACTATCCCCAGCCTTGCCTTTCTACAGAGAAGCTCAGGAAACAGGACGGGCGGTATCTGAGCTCCTTGGGCCTATTGCAACATCTGTTTGCCCTGCAGTTTTCTCTGGAGGCTCTCCAGGAAAGTGACAGGCCTTATTTAGCACAAGATGATGGAAGCTGACACTGGCTAGCTGAGAAGATCTTGTGGTTCCTCCGCAGATCAATAGCCCCAAGGAGCCCCTTATGGCACTGATTGCCTGGAAGAGATGCCCTTACTGAACTATCATCCCTTGGCACCTCCTGAGCTGCTGTCTTGCAGTTTTGATGGATCCCCTCTCTTTTCGTTCTCATCAGAGTTAGAATTTTTCTTGGTTTAAGAGGGAAAAGATAAGGCTGGGCACTGTGGGTGATGCCTGTAATCCCAGCACTTTAAGAGGCCAAGGTGAGAGGATTGCTTGAGCCCAGAGGTTCGAGACCAGCCTGGGCAACATGGCAAAACCTCGTCTTTACAAAAAAAAAAAAAACAAAAAAATTACCCAGGTGTGTTGGCACGTGCCTGTAGTGCCAGCTACCCAGGAGGCTGAGGTGGGAGGATTGCTTGAGCCTGGAGGGTTGAAGGCTGCAGTGAGCTGTGATCGTATCACTGCACTCCAGCCTGGGCGGCACAGCAGGATCCTGTCTCAATAAAGAAATAAGAGGGAAAAGATGGAATCAAACATACTATGTGTCAAACACCCATGCTCACCCTTCCCCTTCCTCGTCTACATGGCCCATGGGTTAGTACACCCACTCTAAAGATGAGGAAACAGGAATAGAAAGAATAGGAAGCTTGACTAAGGCACAAGCTGGCAGTGGTAGGTCCATGCCCAAAGCACATATCTTCTCTCTTAAAAAGGAGTTTTGCCAGTATAGGCTCTCTTCCCATAGTTTCGGGCCAGGAATGTTGGTGCCAGCCTGAAGCCTCTCCACTATGACCTTGTTAACCTCACAGAAACCCACACGGAGAAATGGGTTAGTTAGGAGGACTTGCTGGAGAGAAGACAAGTGCGTAAGTCAGCTCTTATTTAAGGAAGAATCAACTTTTCAGCATGCCCCAGTTTCCCATCTGTAGAATAGTCTCCTGTCTTCTATCCAGCTCTTGGAGATGTTGTAAGGCTGAGTGACAATACGAAAGGGGGGCATCCCGTGCTGCCCAGGGTTCCCCGATCCAGCCTAAGACTTGCACGCTGTCCCCACCCCACCTCTCTTGGTCCCTTGTGTTTTGTACTCCAACAATCACATCCTGCTCCTTGTCCACCAGCCTCCGCACCCTTCTGCCCCAGTGCCTTCTCACCTCCTCCTGTCCCTCTCGCAAAGCCTTTTCTGACCCTCACTCCGTAAGAGAATCATACCTTCTGTCTTGATTGTATTGGTGGGATTTTAACTGACAGAGGTTACCAAGTGACAACACGAAGAGGCCAATGTCACTGAAAGTATTTATTATCTATAGTCTCCAAGAGAAGGGGCATACCATATCATGCAGGGCCACATGGGGAAGCAGCTGGTAGGTCAGGAGGCAGGAGGAGCCGGGACAAAGTAGAGCCCTGATTGTGTTTCCTATGGGAAGGAAAGAAGGAAGGGGCAGGTTGGGTGGCTGAGCTGGTTGAGGATTGGCTGGTTTGTATGATGTTGGTCTGGGGTGATTTAGGGCAGGGGTAATACTGGCTCGGTGTGACAGTAGATAAAGGAGGTGGTTGGGGGTTGGGGAATGAATTGGCTGATGTGCACATGAAAGGCAAGTTCACAGGCAAGTTATTTACTATCTTAGGAATTAGCTAGCCCTGGGAGGGACAGTCTCTTCCAGGCCAGCAGGGCCCTCAAGATGTCAAACCATCATAAAATACAGAAAATTAAAAACATAGGCAGGCACAGTGGCTCATGCCTGTAATCCCAGCACTTAGGGAGGCCGAGGCGGGGGGGATCACCTGAGGTCGGGAGTTCAAGATCAGCCTGACCAACATAGAGAAACCCCGTCTCTACTAAAAATACAAAATTAGCCGGGGTGGTGGCACATGCCTGAAATCCCAGCTACTTGGGAGGTTGAGGCAGGAGAATCACTTGAACCCGGGAGGCAGAGGTTGCGGTGAGCCGAGATCGTGCCATTGCACTCCAGCCTGGGCAACAAGAGTGAAACTCCGTCTCAAACAAAACAAAACAAAATTTAAAAAAACATGACTGGCTGGGCACAAGGGCTCACACCTCTAATCCCAGTGCTTTGGGAGGCCAAGGCAGGAGGATTGCTTCAGCCCAGGAGTTCCAGACCAGCCTGGGTAACATAGTGAGACTCCCATCTCTACAAAAATTTTAAAAATTAGCTGGACAAGGTGGTGTGCGGACTGTAGTCCTAGCTGTGTGGGAAGATCCCTGGAGTCCAGGAGGTCAAGGCTGAAGTGAGCTATGATTGCACCACTGCACTCCAGCCTGGGCAACAGAGTAAGACCCTATCCTCTAAAAAAATTTTTTTAAAAAACATGATTAACGCACCCTCCTCTTTAATCTGGGAGTGCTTCTATGACTGAACTCAGCACACAGTTGGTGATTTTGTTTTTTTTTTGAGATGGAGTCTCACTCTGTTGCCTAGGCTGGAGTGCAGTGGTGTGATCTTGGCTCACTGCAACCTCCACCTCCCAGGTTCAAGCAATTCCCCTGCCTCAGCCTCCCAAGTAGCTGGGATTATAGGTGTGTGCCACCACACCTGGCTACTTTTTTTGAAGTTTTAGCAGAGACGGGGTTTCACCATGTTGGCCAGGCTGGTTTCAAACTCCTGACCTCAAGTGATCCGCCCACCATGGACTCCCAAAGTGTTAGGATTACAGGCATGAGCCACTACACCCGGCCCACAGTTGGTGATTTTGTTTTCTGTGTTTTTTTGTTTTGTTTTGTTTTCTTTAGACAGAGTCTCACTCTAGGCTGAAGTGCAGTGGCACAAACATGGCTCACTGTAGCCTCTACCTCCCAGGCTCAAGCATTCCTCCCTCCTCAGCCTCAAGGTGTGCACTACCACACATGGCTAATTTTTTTCTTTCTTTCTTTCTTTCTTTTTGTAGAGATGGTGGGGGTGGTGGGGGGTGGGGTGGTGGGGGTTCTCACTATGTTGCCCAGGCTGGTCTTGAACTCCTTGATTCAAGCAATCCTCCTGCCTCAGCCTCCCATTATGTTGGGATTACAGGTTTGAGCCACCACACCTGGCTGTTTGTTTGTTTGGATGCTCATCTCCCTTCTAAGCTGTGAGTTTATCAAGAGCGGGATCCTCACCTTGTTCATCTTTGCACCTTCAGCACCTGCCGCATGCCTGCTATTTATCTAGATTGAATACAAGGACTCCCCAGCCTGGCTGCATATGCGAGTCACCTGGGAAGCATTTGAAACCCTCCATGTCTAGGCTTCACCCTCCGAAATTCTGGTCTAATTCACCTGGGGTGGGGCCAGGCATTGGTGTTTTTCACGAATTCCTCAGGTGCTCTACTGTGCAAAACTACTGGGTAAGTGTTTGACTTCTCATTGATTTGTTGATTTTCCTGGGAGGAATTCTCTAGAAAGAAAGTAAGGAGATGGTTCCAGGTGTGGTCATTTAAAACACAGCAGGAAACCCAGGACCTGAAAACCACGTACTTGCCCTGGGCTTAGTTACCTGATTGGCAGAACCTTACCCAAGTGTGAGCCAGCCTGGAAGACCTGGGTCTGAGCCAGGTGGTGGTGGTCTCCATTATTCTGCAGGCTCCAGGCCACACTTGTTGGGGAAGGGGATGATTCTAAATCCCCGTGATGGCCAGGTGCGGTGGGTGGCTCACACCTATAATCACAGCACTTTGGGAGGCCAGGGCCAGTGGATCACCTGAGGTCAGGGGTTTGAGACCAGACTGGCCAATGTGGTGAAACCCCGCCTCTACTAAAACTACAAAAAAAATTAGCTGGGCATGGTGGTGGGTGCCTGTAATACCAGCTTCTCAGGAGGCTGAGGCATGAGAATCGCTTGAACCCGGGAGGCACAGCTTGCAGTGAGCCCAGATCGAGCCATTGCACTCCAGCCTGGACAACAGGAGTGAAACTCCGCCTTAATCAGTCAATCAATGCCCGCAGACTGGGAGCTCTGAAGATAGTTGTCAATCCCGATCTCTCCTGTCTGTGGCTGAGGGCCTGTTGCTCTCCGTGGTCAAACGTTGGACATCTTTCCACGGACGCTGGTCTCAGTGGTTCCTCCCTCCAACCTTCTGCACCTGTCTCTGCGGCCTTCTTTTCCTGCACTCTAGTGTCCCTTCTGCCTGACTCTCTGTGCATCTTGAAAGGAGAAACGGTAAGAGAATTGTCTCCGCAGTTTCCACTCTTTTCCTTAGAATCCTTGGAAGGAGGAATGCTGGCAAACCCACCCATTCTTTTTTTTCCTATTCTCTCCTGCCCTACATATCGGCTCCTCCCTGGAACTCCCCTGGAACTTTCTCCAACTGTCTCCCCAACCACCAACAGCTCCCTCCTGTCCTGTGGCTCTAGGAACCTTACTGAACCTCTCAAACTCTCAACATCCGCTGGCTCTGATTACCTTAAGGGCCCAAACTGAGGGGCACCCTGGAGGGAACTTTCTCCCCTCGTTCTCCAGGCCAGAAACCTGTCAAGGTGTGTACCTTCCCACAGCCAGCACCCAACAGCTCCCACACTGTTCTGGACAAGTGACAAGGGCTCTTCTTCCCTGTTTGTGTGCGGTAGGAATTTGCTACGAGAGAGGAGACAGAGGAGAGAAAAAACACCTTGGCCTAGGGAGCTATTAGAAATTCGTGGTAAAGGCTGGCCGTGGTGGCTCACGCCTATAATCCCAGCACTTTGGGAGGCCAAGGCAGGCAGATCACGAGGTCAGGAGATCAAGACCATCCTGGCTAACATGGTGAAACCCCGTCTCTACTGAAAATACAAAAAAATTAACCAGGCGTGGTGGTGGTCACCTGTAGTCCCAGCTGCTCGGGAGGCTGATGCAGGAGAATGGCATGAACCCGGGAGGTGGAGCTTGCTGTGAGCCATGATTGTGCTGCTGCACTCCAGCCTGGGTGACAGAGCAAGACTCCGTCTCGAAAAAAAAAAAAAAAGAGAAATTCATGGTAAAGGTGGTGTTTCCAATTTTTTCACTCTAGCGTGATTTGAGCACATCATTTGAGGCATTATTTGTGACTTTCTTCATGGCGTTTCTAGGTGCCTATCTATGAGCCTCAAACATTTCTCTAATTCTCCTCAGAAAGGCCACTTTGGTGAATTTCTCACTGCCTGAATTTTGGGCTGCGATGAGCCTCACTGATTTCAGGCAGGCCTTACTTCTGACAGATGTAGTGAGTTTCTTTCCTTTGTGAGGTCCTCATTCTCCCTTCCATGATATAGGAAGAAGGATCCCCATTTCCTCCCATCCTGAGAAATATAGGGGGAACCAGAGATTGACTCTGTCCCTGCAAAGAGGGGCAAGGTAAATACATAGCTTCACTAGGCTTTAAGTTCAATTCTCACCTCCACCAGATGGACAAAACATTCAACCTTTCAAGGGTGACATGACGGCAGGTGATTGCCTGAGGCACCACCATTTCATAGCCCCTCTGGAGCCTGCCATTCCATGGGTGAAGTGATTCATTAATAGATGCAATGTGCATCTGTTAATGAAATGGGCTTATTAAGTCAACTGTTGATTGCTGAGACCAACAAGCTGGGGCTACCTAAAAGAAGAATTTGTGTCCCTGGAGTGGGAAGGTCCTGGCCCCCAGCCTCTGGCCCGAGGTCTAGCAGGACCTTTGGATAAATGGAGGGGTGAGGGAAGGGGTCAGAGCTGGGTTTATCTCACAGACACTCTCCTGACTCCTGGGTAATAAAATTGTTGGGAAAATCCAGCCCTGGAGCTCTCTTTGCCAGCCCCATCATTGCCACCATGAATTCCTCTGCCTTCTGCTTGGTAGAAGGAAAGCGAACATCTCTTAAAACAACAGCAAGTGCAGATACCCTGTAACAGAGCATTCCTCATTCCTTCCTCCCATTTCTTAGACATTGCTAGCATTCATGAACTTAACAATAAGCCATAATCACTTGAGACATTCTTGTTCTTAACTATTTTAAACAAACAGTTATCTATAAGGCCAATTAAGAATAATAAAGGTAAAATATTTTCCTTTACTTCCATTTAGTCCATCTTCATTGTTCTTCCTTTATGTAGAGCCAAGATTTCATTTTCCTTTTCATTGAAGGGCTTCTTTTAACATTTCATGCAAGGCAGGTGTAAGGGCAAAATCTTCTCTCAGTTTTTCTTTGTCTTCATATCCTCTCCACCTTTGAAGAAAAATTCCCCTGGATACAGATTCTAGGTTGATGGAAGTTTTAACACTTTTTAAAATATTTCACTCCATTCTCTTGTTGCTTGCCTGGTTTCTGATGGGAAGTTTGATGTAATTCTTATTGTTCATTTAGAAGTAAGCCCCACTCCCTGAGAAAAAAACAAAAGAAATTATATTTTTATACTTTTACATTTCAAGACAATTTTCAAATTGGTCATCTGAAATGAAAGGTACATAAAAAGCAACAAAGAGTTGATAACAAAAGATGGCCCAAGTGCATGTTGGGTGACTTTGGAATTCTTTCTCTGTCTCTAAGTAGGACAACCAAAGGTCAGAATAGTTCCTTTACAGCATACGGTTTTTATATGTGCGTGCTTATTTATGTAACGATTTATTAAGCATCTGCTATGTTCATAGTGCTGTGGGGAATGCAGAGACAAATGGGGCCCTCACAGAATGAAGTACGTGCACAGAAAACTAGAGCAGAAGGCAGAAATCAATGAATGGGAGGTGGGAGGAGCAGCTCTGCTCCTGGAGCTTCAGTGAGACCCACATCTATAATGGGGGGGAAGTGTGACCTTTAGGAATTCAATATCCACCCCTCCCTCTCTGATTTTCTCCCTTTCCCAATCCCCGAGGGGTAATGGAGCACCTGCTGGTCCCAGGCACTGTACTGGTGGCAGACACAGCAATTCTTAGGCTACATGGGGTCCCTCCTCCATGAAGGTAACAGCCTAGTGACAGAGAAATACAAGTAAATAAACAAAAATGGCCAGATACTATTATACTGTCCTGGTGGAAGTACTGCAGATGCTGTCTGCAGATATGACAAGATACCCAGGAAGGTACCCTAAAGGAAGTGATGTTTAAATAGCACATGAAGGTGAGCAAAAGTAAGCCAGGTGGGTCATGGGGCAGGAGACAAAGGTGTCCGTTACAGACAGAATGGTTTGTGCAAAAAGGCCTAGAGGTGGGAGAGAGCACAGCTGATTGGGAAGACAGAGAGTAGTCCACACAGGCTGAACAAGAGGTCTACACAGTGAAGAGGACGGAGTGGCCAGTGTTGTCGAAGGGGGTTCTAGAGAACACCAGTTCCTGGGATTTTTTTTTTCTCTCATTCTGCAGGTTGTCTCTTCACTGTCTTGATAGTGTCCTTTGATGCCCAAAAGTTTTCCATTTTCATGGAGTTCAATTTGTCAGTCTACTTTTGCTGCCTCCGCTTTTGGTGTCCTATGTAAATCAATGCCAAATCCAATGTCATGAAGATTTTCCCCTGTGTTTTATTCTAAGAGTTTTGTGGTTTCAGCTCTTACATTTAGATCTTGATCCATTTTGAGTTAATTTTTATATCTGGTGTAAAGCAAGGATCCACCTTCATTCTTTTGCATGTGGCTATCCACTTGTCCCAGAATCATTTTCAGCACCCTTGCTGAAAATCATTTGAACACACACACACACACACACACACACATACATACACATACACACATATGAGGGTTTATTTCTGGGCTCTCTAGTCTATTCCGTTGGCCTATTTATCTGTCTTTATGCCAGTACCAAACTATTTGGATTACTGTAGCTTTGTAGTAAGTTTTGTAATCAGAAAGTACGAGTCCTTCAACTATGTTTTCTTTTCAAGACTGTTTTGACTATTTGGGGTCCCACAAGATTATATATAAATTTTAGGATGGGTTTTTCTATTTCTGTAAAAAAAAATTGACATTTTCATAGGAGTTGCAATTAATCTGTAGGTCACTTTGAGTAACTTTGTCATTTTAACAATATTAAGTCTTCCACTCCATGAGCATTGAATGTCTTTACATTTATCTCTTCTTTAATTTATTTTAGCAAAATTTTGTAGTTTCAGTGTGCAAGTCTTTCACCTCCTTGGTTAAGTTTATTCCTAGTTTATTCTGCTTTATGTAATCATAAACAGAGTTGTTTTCCTAATTTCCTATTTGAATTCTTCGTTTTTAGAGCAAAGAAATGCATTTGATTTTTGTTTGTTGATTTTGTAAATTACAACTTTACTGAATTTGCTTATTAGCTCTAACAGTTTTTCTTTTTTAAAAAATTAGAGTTTTCTATATGTAAGATTGTCATCTGCAAACAGATAATTGTACTTCTTCCTTTCTAATTTGGATGCCTTTTATTTCTTTTCTTGCATAATTGCTCTGGCTAGAACTTTCTATATATGTTGAATAAGAGTGGCAAATGCATACATCCTTGTTTTGTTCCTGATCTTAGAGGAAAACTTGAAGTCTGTCACCATTGAGTATGTTGTTATCTGTGGGCTTTTTGTATATGGCCTTTATCATATCGAGGAAGCTTCTTTCCCTTCCTAGTTTGTTTTTATCATGGAAGTGTGTTGAGTTTTGTCAAATGCTTTTTTTGCATCAATTGAGATGACCATGTAGTATTTTTCCTTCATTCTATTAATGTGGCGGTATTATGTTGATTGGTTTTTATATGTTGAATCATGCTTGCATTCCAGAAATAAATCTCACTTGGTTATGCTGTATAATCCTATCGGTGTACTGTTGAATTATCTATGCTAATATTTTGTTGGGGACTTTTGCATCAGAGTTTCTAAGGGATATTGCTTTGTGGTTTTCTTTTCTAACTTTGGTTAGAAAATTGGCTTTGGTATCATAGTAACGCTGGCTTCACAGAGTGAGTCAGGGAGTATTCTCTCCAATGTTTTGGAAGAGTTTGAGAAGGATGAGTGTTCATTCTTCTTTAAATGTTTGGTAGAAATCACCAGTAAAACTATCTGGTTCAGAACTTTTCTTCACTGGGGCATTTTTGATTACTGCTTCAATCTTCTTACTAGTTGTGGATCTATTCAGGCTTTCCATCTCTTTATGATTCAGTCTTGGTAGGTTTTATGTTTCCAGGAATTTGTCCATTTCATCTGGGTTATCAAATTTATTACATAACCAACAACCTTACCCATTGTTTATATTAATCTCTTATCACCCTTTTTATTTCTGTAAAATATTATTTATATTTTTATTTTTATAAATTTTAGAGTAATCTCCTCACTTCATTTCTTATTTTAGTAATTTGAGTCTTCTCTGTTTTTTAATTAATCTGGCTGATAGTGTCAATTTTACTGATGTTTTTCAAAGAACCAACTTTTGGTTTTGTTGATTTTCTGTTTTTCTGTTCTCTATTTTATGTCTGTTGCAATCTTTAGTATTTCTTTCTTTCTGCTAGCTTTGGGTTATCTTGTTCTTTTTTTTTTTTTTCCCTAGCTCCTTAAGGTGTAAATTTAGGTTGTTGATTTGAGATCCTCCTTCTTTTTTAATATAAGCATTTACAACTTCTCAATGTAAGCTTTTATAGCTATTTTACAGCATGTACAGCTTTCACTGCATCCCATACATCTTGGTATACCAGTTGTTTCCCTTATCGAAAACACTTGGGACAAGAAGTATTTCAAATTTCAAATTTTTCAGATTTTAGAATATTTGCATATATGAGATATTTTGGAGATGGGACCTAAGTCTAAACATGAAATTTATTTATGTTTATATATACCTTATACACAGCCTAAAGATAGTTTTATACAATATTATTAATAATGTTGTGCATAAAACAAAGTTTTGACTGTGACCCATCACATGAGGTCAGGTGTAGGATTTTTTCACTTGTAGTATTCCATAGGCCTTCAAAGTTTTAAATCTTGAAGCATTTCAGAATTCCAATTTTTGGCTTAGGGATGTATTGTGTTTTTTGTTTTTGAGACAGTCTCACTCTGCTGCCCAGGCTGGACTGCAGTGGAGCGATCTCAGCTCACTGCAACCTCTGCCTCCTGGGTTCAAGCAATTCTCCTGCCTCAGCCTCCCAAGTAGCTGGGATGGGACTACAGGTGCCTGCCACCATGCCCAGCTAATTTTTGTATTTTTAGTAGAGACATGGTTTCTCCATGTTGGCCAGGCTGGTCTTGAACTCCTGACCTCAAGTGATCCACCCACCTCGGCTTCCCAAAGTGCTGGGATGACAGGTGTGAGCCACCATGCCCAGCCAGTCTCCCATTTCTTTAATTGGTCTTCTGCCTAGTTGTTCTATTCACTATTAAAAGTGGAGTACTGAAATTTCCAATTACTGTTGTTAAGCTACCTATTTTTCCCTTCAATTCTATCCTTGTATGCTTATATATTTTGGATCCCTGATGTTTGGTGCATATAGGTTTATAACTGTTATATCTTCTTGATGAATTGATTCTTATCAATATACAATGCCCTTCTTTTTCTCTTGTAGAACTAGACTTTAAAATCTGTTTTGTCTGATATTAATATAGCCATCCCTGTTCTCTTTTCGTTACTGTGTACATCTTTTTAAATCCTTTCTCTTTCAATCTATTTGTGTCCTTAGAGCTAAAGCAAGTCTATTGTGGACAGTATATAATTGAATCATTTTTAAAAAATCTAATCTGCCAGTTTATAACTTTTGACTGAGGCATTGAACCCAATTAAATTTAAATTTAAATCCATTTACTGATAGACAATGACTCAATGACTTATTTTGCCATTTTGTTATTTGTTTTCTGTATGTTTTAGCTCTTCTTGCTTGCTTGCTTGCTTGCATTCTTAAGAGATGGGGTCTCACTATGTGGCCCAGGCTGGCCTCAAACTCCTAGGCTCAAGTGATCCTCTCACCTCAGCCTCCCAAGCAGCTGGAACTACAGGCATGTGCCACTGCATCTGGCTGCTTTTCAGCTTTTTGTGTTCCTCATTTCCTCCATTTCTACCTTTCTTTACATTTAGTTGATTTTTTTTGTAGTGACATGTTTTATTCACTTCTCATTTCCTTTTGTGTATATTCTATAAATACATTTTGTGGTTACCATGGGAATTACATATAACATCCTAAAGTTATAATGATCTAATTTGAATTGATACTAACTTAACTTCAATTGCATACAAACATTTTACTTATACAGCTCCGTGCCCCCCATTTTGTGTTACCGATGTTAGAGTTTACATTATTATATACCCACTAACAAAGATTTATAATTATTTTATTCATTGTCTTTAAATCCTGTGCTATAATTTAGATATTTGTGCCCCGCAAAACTCATGTTGAAATTTGATCCCCAATATTGGAGGTGGGGCCCAATGGGTGGTGTTTGCATCTTGGGGGCAGACCTTTCATGAATAGAATGCAGTTCCAGGGGAGTGCATTCTCACTTTATTAGTTCCATGAGAACTGGTTGTTAAAAAGAGCCTGGCACCTCCCATTTCTCATTCCTGCTTTCTATTTCACTGTGTGATTTCTGCACACTCCAGCTTCCCTTTCCCTTCTAAAATGAGTGGGAAAAGGCTGAGGCTTTTACCAGATGCCCAGTCTTCCGGCCAGCAGAATTGTGAGCCAAATAAACCTCTTTATCAATTATCCAGCCTCAGGTATTCATTTATAACAGCACTAAATGGACTAAGACATCCTGTATTTAAAAGTGGAATTACAAACCAAAATTCCAACAATACTGGCTTTTTAATTTGCTGTGTGTTTACCTCAAACAAAGATCTTGATATATTTCTTCACCTAGTTTCAGCTTACTGTCATCTTTTCATTTCAACCTGAAGATCTACTTTCAGCATTTCTTGCAGGGCAGTGCTGGTGGTAATCAACTCCCTAAGCTTTTGTTTATCTGGGACTTTCTTAATTTCTCTCTTACTAATATTTTGGAAGATACTTTTGCTGGACATAGAATTCTTAATTGACAACTTTTCTTCTTTCAGTACTTTATATCATCCCAATGCCCCCTGGGCTTCAAAGTTTCTGCTGATAAATTGGCTGATAATTTTATTGAGGATCCCTATACATGATGAGTCTTCTCTCTTATTGCTTTCAAAATTCTCTCTTTGTCTTTGGCTTCCAACAGTTTGATTCTAATATGTCTCAGCGTAGGTCTCTTTGAGTTTATTTTACTTGAAATTCCTTGAGCTTCTTGGGGCTTTAGATGGTCTGTTGTATGTCTCAACTGTAATCTTTGTCTTCAGTGTCTGAAGGTCTGTAGTCGGTCTGCTGGTTTCATAAGCAATGCTTCCCCTTTTCCCTTAGGCAAAGCAGAGACTACTCCTGCAAGTGGACCCCAGACAGATTAGAGCATTGCACATGATGGGTCTGGCTCTCCTTCTTTGAGTTTAAGGAAGAGCTGGGGCTTGAGCTACTATCTCCTCCAGACCAATACTGCTGGCAGTGGAGGTGGAACAAGGTAGAAAGAAAATGAAATTTCCAACCTTTTTTTTTTTTTTTGGAGACGGAGTCTTGCTCTGTTGCCCAGGCTAGAGTGCAGTAGTACGATCTTGGCTCACTGCAATCTCCGCCTCCTGGGTTCAAGTGATTCTTCTGCCTTAGCCTCCCAAATAGCTGGGATTACAGGTGCCTGTCACCATGCCTGGCTAATTTTTGTATTTTTAGTAGAGATGGGGTTTCACCATGTTGGACAGGCTGGTCTTGAACTCCTGACCTCAGATGATCTGCCCATCTCAGCTTCCCAAAGTACTGGGATTACAGGCATGAGCCACCGTGTCTGGAAAAATTCCTATTATTTTGAAGGAGGCTTTTAAAAATTTTTTGAGACAGGGTCTCCTTCTCTCACCCAGGGTGCAGTTAAGGAGGCTTTCCTTGATTAGGCATTTACTTGGCTGCTCTAACCTTTGGCTGTTTTCCAGAGCTTCTATAAAGTTAGTTCATCCAATTCTCTGTCTCTCTGGGGGTGTGTGTGTGTGTGTATATGTGTGTTTAGCTTTCCATGAGGGAACAAGAGCTTGGAGCTTCCTAATCATCCATTTTGCTGACATCCCCAGGATGACTTTTTTTAAACAGCTTTATTGCTATATGCTCCACTTATCTCACAATTCATAAATTTTGAAGTGTATAATTCAGTGGTTTTTAGTATATGTATAGATATGTGCAACCATCACATAGGCAATTTCAGAACATTTTCATCACCTTTAAAAGAAACCTCATACCCTTTAGCTATCATCCCCATACCTCTCATTCACGTCTTATCCCACCTCCACCTCCAGCCTTAGCAACCACTAGTCTACTTTCTGTCCCTGTGTATTTGCCTATTCTGGACATTTCATATAAATGGAATCATACAATATGTCCTCTTTTGCGACTGGCTGCTTTCACTTAGCACAGTGTTTTCCCCCATGGCTCCTGGGCCCCACCCTGGGCTCTGTAGAAGGCACAGGATACTGAGAGTAGAGTGGGAGCAGGATTGCATGACGGAGTAGCCAGATTACTGGACTGTTCCAAATTTGAAGTTGCATCCAACAGCTGCAATGCGAAGATAAGGGCGAAGAAATTGAAGATGTTAGCAAGTGAATAGTACAAAGGTTTGTAAGACCCAGGTACCAGAGGGAAGGTAGTCAGAATAGGTAAGGAAAAAGGAGAGTGGTCGAGGGACCAGAGTTTAGAATCAAATGAAAGACTAAGTGCAGAGAAGTAACAAGAGGGTAGAGGAAGGAGAAGAGATGGTGATCAGAAGAGCTGCTTGAAATTAGCTGGGCATAGTGGTGCGTGCCTGTAATCCCAGCTACTTGGAAGGCTGAGGCAGGAGAATCACTTGAACCTAGGAGGCGGAGGCAGCAGTGAGCTGAGATCATGCCACTGCATTCCAGCCCCGGTGACAGCGAGACTCCACCTAAAAACAAAAACAAAAACAAACAAAAAAAACTGCTTGAATTTAATATTTTAGGGATGGAGCAATTTGTAGTGATGAAAATGTCCAAGAAAGTGGTCATGGGAAGGGAGGCTGGAAAAGAGGGAGGGGAAAATGTTGGTAGAGGCATCCAAAATAGGCAAATTCATAGAGACGGAAAATAGATTAGGGTTGTCAGGGGCTGGGGGTAGGGAGGAATGGGGTGTTACTGCTAATAAGTACAGGACTTCTTTTAGGTTGATGAAAATGCTCTGTACTTTGGTAGTGATGGTTGCACAAGCTTGTGAACATACGAAAACTCACTGGATTATATATATTAAAAGGGTGAATTTTATGTGTGAATTATATCTCAATTAATTTTTAATTAGGAATCAATGAAAAGAATTCAGGGGAATTTGTTCACTACAGTTCAGAGATTCCAGAGGGCCTATGTGGAAAGGTTTAGGAGGGAGAGAAATAACAAGAGTCTGTGTCTGGGTAGAGAAATGAAGTGAGGCCTAGGCAGTGATTGGAGGGTGTCAGGCACAGGAGGCCTGGAGGGATAAGAAGGGAGTGAAGAGTTTCAGCAGCAGTGGTCCAACAGATCCCAGTAGCTGGAGGGACCAATGTGTCTCAGGAAGCCACAGGTTTGGCTTGAATGGTGGTGTCTGGAGGTGGTCCCAGCCCAGGTAACTGAAGGAAGAGAGGGGGACTTCAAGGGTGGGCACCAAGAAATCTAGCAATGGGACTTTCCAGGAGCCGGGGTGGTGATGGGGAGGGAGAATTGTCACTCCGCAAGCTTGAACACGGCTTTCAGATCTTAGGTTTCAAGTATGAATCAAAGTCCTGAAAATCCCCAAGAGAAAGATCAGGTTTGAAAAATCCCGAGAACCACTGCATTCTGCCAGATCTCTCTGCACAAAAACAAGCCAGAGAAGGTTAGATAAATAAGCAAAAGGCATCCAGGGCTAAGGGCCAACCTGAGTGATTAGTTTCCTACTGATGTTTGTACAGAGTTAAGACCTGTTAAGTGAAAATGAGGATGATCAGAAACGGAAGTGGCGTGTGTCATGCACTTAAACAAGAATTTTATTAAGCTTCTATATACTCCATGTAAGATGCTCAGAATGCTGGACAGTCTCCGTGCTGCCTCCGAGAAGCTTATAGGCTGGGGGGATGAGGAGATACTATCACTAAGCAAATAACTATAAAATAATTTATTACAACTATATGAGAATAATGAAGAAAGCAGTAAAGTGCTCTAATTGTTTATAACAGGAATCTGATGGACCCTAGGGGAAAGAGCAAGTTTCTCTTAGGAAACGACATTTCAGCTACCCCCCTAATGAAGGTGGGAAGCAGGGTCAGTGCCTATCACAGCCCTGGCATAGAAAGGAGCTTGAGGAACCCGCCAGAGGTAACATGTGAGAGGAAGAGGAAGTCAGCTAGAGAGACAGGAAAAGCCTGATCTCGCAGGGTATTGTGGTCCACGTGAAGGACTCTGGGTCCTTCTCCCAAGAGCAAAGGGAATGTAGAGGGAGTGAGTGAGAGGCAATGGAGCAGCTACAGAGTGCAGTGGAGCCAGGTGGTTAAGAGCGTGGACTCTGGGCTGGGCGCGGTGGCTCACGCCTGTAATCCCAGCACTTTGGGAGCACACAGGTGGATTACTTGAGCCCAGGAGTTCGAGACCAGCCTGGGCAACAATGCAAGACCCCGTCTCTACAAAAAATACAAAAATTAGCCAGAGCCGTGGTGTGCCTGTACTCCCAGCTACTTGAGAGGCTGTGGCAGGAGAATCCCTTGAAGCCCAGAAGGCGGAGGTTGCAGGAGCCAGCATCACCCCATTGCACTCCAGCCTGGGCGATGAGAGTGAGACCCTGTCTCAAAACAAAGCATGGACTCAATGGACTCAACCCAGTTTCCACAGGTTCAACCAGAGCCTGGGGTTCAAATTCCAGGTCTGCCACTTCTTGGTGACCAAGATCAGGTTTTAACTAATGTCACTGTGCTGTCTCCTCCTCCATAAGATGGGGTGATAATAGTGCCTATTTCCAAGGATTGGCATGAGGATTCGGAGATAAAAGTGCCTGGCACGTGGAGTAAGGAAGAACCGCCACTGGAAGTGGGCTCAACAGCAGCAACCTGCACTGTGGGCTCTCCCTTCTTCCAGGCCGCCATCACTGTGCTAAAGGAGTTGACACCCAGAAAAGTTGAGACTTCTCTAGTGGATGCCATTTGGAAGATGAGTTTCTTGGTCTTGGGCAGCCCTTCTGGCAGCATCTCCTTGGCTGTGGCTGTCCTGTGAGCTGCATGCTCAACCTATACCCCAGGGCCCAACATGGGGCAGGCACGTGGGAGGTGCTTAATGCCTATGAGTGAAGTGGGTTGCAAAGGAATGAATGAATGGATGGATCCGTGAGAGAATACTTAGACTATTCATAAATTATTGAGCATTTACTATGTGCCAGGCACCTTACTGAGGGCTTAACCTGGTTGATTTCATTCTCATAATGATCTTGTGAGGAGGCTACTATTAGACTCTGTCCACTAGGGGAGATCTTGGGAATATGTTTTCTGGTTGGGGCAAGGGGGAGTCCTGGTTGTACTTCAGAGAACCTAATGATTGAGAAATGTGTTTAATATGTAGCCCCTAAGGGGGGCTTTTTGCTACAGGTTGGGATCCTGGAGGCAGGAATTGAGCCAGAAAGCAGACTATGCTGAAAGTAGTTTCTCTAAAGGTCTAGCTGCGTGTACTTTACAGCGATGATCTCATATTCCTTAGCAAGGCACCACGGTGACAGGAATTATTTTACTTGTTTGTGAAAAGGAAAAGTGGTGCATTCTAGGGAGACACAGTGGCCTCCCAGCATCCAGAGAGAGCTCAGAGCAGAAGCCAGGAGTCCTGAGTTGCTGGCACGTCTCTCCCACCCCCGCCTCTGAGAAGCAGAGAGCAGAGCTATTGGAAAGCCTGTTGCAAGCCGCCTTTATTCTTCTCCCTGCCCACTCAGGCTCAAACCAGAGTCCCACATGCACCTGGTGGCAGGACTGTTCCCCAAGGGAATGCAGGCGACAGTCCCCGGCTCCCCTTCCTCCCAGTGCACTGCTGGGGCAGGCCACCCCTTTCTGAGCCCCAAGCAGCTCCCCAGACCTCCTTCTCCAGATACGATTATTTTGGGAGAGTGCTGAGTGCAGCACAGCTGCAAGGTGCACCCAGACGCACCCTTCTGTCCTCAGCTGGCCCTTCGGAGCTGGCCCTTCGGAGCTGGCCTCGGTCTGGGGTGCACCTACCCCCACCCCCTGCAGCAGTCCCTCCTACACAAGGTCACTGTGTCCAACCACCTCCACCTTGGGGAAGCTCACAGGCTGTGGAGACAGGTGGTGGAAGAATGGGGGCCAGGAGAGTCAGAGCCGGTCTGAGGGGCACAGCCCAACTCCTAGCCCTGAGCCTGGGGTCACCAGCTTCCCAGGGCTTGCCTTACAGCCAAGGAGCAGGCTGGCCTTTGGCCAGCTGACCATCCCTGGGCCAACAGCAGGGACTGGACAAGGAGCTGCACCGAGGAGCTTATATAAGCACTTCTACTTTGCAGCCTGCTCTCTGCCCTGGCAGCCAGGACAAGAGTGACAACAAAGCTGTGTCCTGCCAGGGGAGGGGCCTCTGCCAGGAACGTACATTGAGTCCAACTTGGAAGAGGCCCAGTCCTCCCAAAGTACTTGTGTCCGGGTGGTGGACTGGATTAGCTGCGGAGCCCTGGAAGCTGCCTGTCCTTCTCCCTGTGCTTAACCAGAGGTCTCTATCCTGCCAAGTGGGCCCCTGGGGTCGGGGGCACAGGTAGTGGGCAGGAAGGCCCCTGCAGGGGATCCAGCCGCTCTAAAGTTCTTTCTGTTCCAGGTGCCCATGGGTTGGACAATGAGGCTGGTCACAGCAGCACTGTTACTGGGTCTCATGATGGTGGTCACTGGAGACGAGGATGAGAACAGCCCGTGTGCCCATGAGGCCCTCTTGGACGAGGACACCCTCTTTTGCCAGTAAGTCAGGGCAGGCTTGGAGGCGGGAGGCACAGAGGCTACCAGGCAGGTAGATGGCAGGGAGGGGTATATCCAGAACCAAGAAGCACCATCTCCTGAGCCTGATTTTATGGGAAGGCAGAACACGTGTCAGATCTGGAGACCACCTTGATGGAGGATGGCACTGAGAAAGGGATTTAGAAACAGACTCCTTCCTGCCTTCCAGAATGCACCTCTCCCAGGACCAGGAGGGCTGTGTATGTGGTCGGCTCTGCTTGGGCCCTCCAAACCTGGGGGGTCTTTGTGGGGGCAGGAGGCTGAGACCCTCAGAGAGAGACCCAGAGAGAGACCATCCCTCCCTGCAGCCTGAATGCCCCCTCTCCCCAGAACCCCAACAAAGAGGCATTTGAATGAAAGAAGGTGTATGATTAGACCCTTCCTGTGTGAGAGGTTTTTGTCAGTGATAGGACCCAGGAGCGTTTGTGCAGGGCCCTTTAGGGATCATGGCACTGGATGGAGTTGGGTGACGAGGCTGGCTTCTTCCCTTCCAAGGGCACAAGCTGCTTCTACTTTGGGTAAGCTGGAAAGCCTGGCGTTCGGCTCTCTCCTCACCAACTCTGCCGGTTAGAAAAGCAAGCCTTCATTTGTGTGGACTTGTGGGTCATCCTGAGGACTCCCCAGGCCAAACTGATGCCAAACCTCCCTGCCAGTTTGGTGGCTGAGGAGGGGGACACCCCACTGAGCCCACGTGTGAGAAATGAGAGAGGAGGAAAAAGAACTTTGACTACTTACTCTCTTCTGTACCTTTGAATTTTCACAAACATTACTGTTCATGAAAATGTTTGTTTTTCTTTTTAATTTTATTTAAAACATTTTTGACAAACATTACTTTTAGAACCATAAATACATGTCTTCTCTTAAAATTATGTAGTTGAATCCTTCTTAAAAAGTAACATTTTTGTTGGGTGAAGTGGCTCACATGTGTAATCCCAGCACTTTGGGAGGCCAAGGTGGAGGATCACTTGAGCCCAGGGGTTTGAGACCAGCCTGGGCAACATAGAGAGACTCTTTTCTCTACAAAACAGTTTAAAAACTAGCCAAGCATGCTGATGCACACCTGTCGTCCCAGCTACTCAAGAGGTTGAGGTGGGAGGATCGCTTAAACCCAGGAGGTCAAGGCTGGTCTGAGCCATGATTGCGCCACTGCATTCCAGCCTGGGCAACAGAGCCAGACCCTGCCTAAACAACAACAACAACAACAACAAAAAGTAACAAACTTTGTTCGTGTCAGTATATTTTGAAAAATCTTGTTAAATAGTTCTGGGTGTAGGCTGGGCACGGTGGCTCACACCTGTAATCCCAAGACTTTGGGAGACTGAGGCAGGCAGATAACAAGGTCAGGAGTTTGAGACCAGCCTGACCAACACGGTGAAACCCTGTCTCTACTAAAAATAAAAAAAAATTAGCCGGGCATGGTGGCGCACACCTGTAATCCCAGCTACTCAGGAGGCTGAGGCAGGAGAATCCCTTGAATCTGGGAGGTGGAGGTTGCAGTGAGCCGAGATTGCGCCACTGCACTCTAGCCTGGGCGACAGACCAAGACTCTGTCTCAAAAAACAAACAAAAAAACAAACAAGCAAGAAAACAGTTCTGGGTGAAGTTTTCACGTGGAAGGAGGAAGAGAAACGTGGTTGCCTCTCACAAGTGGGATCTAATTTTCTAGGTGCTCTGCTGAGTGAGCTGAGGGGCTGGCAGGCTTCTCGCTCTGAGCAGTGCAAGGTCAACACCCCCGTAACCAGGAGAGGTCAGCTGGGCCAGGGTACAGCAGGCCTGGGCCACAATAAGGGCCCCTTAAGGAGGACCTCAGCAGTTCCTGGTGTTTCCCACACTGTGGGAAATGAGGATGTCTGTAGGGTCATTGGGGGTGACCAGCCTGAGGCTCCAGATGCCCTAGGCTCTGCCCTGCCAAGATCACATGTTGGTGCCCTGGTGACCCATGCATGGGGACACACGTGGGAAGTCCCAGGGCACCTTCTGTGTGCCAGGTGCTCTGCCGGTGCCTGGACTCCTTGACTCCTTTCACTGTCAGTAACGAACCTACAAAGTCTGTGTTAGCACCCCCATTCTGCAGATGAAGAATCCCCAGAGATTAAGAAATCTGCCCACAGTGTTTACATAGCTTAAAAGTAGCAGAGCCAAGATCTAGCCCCCTTGTCTGACTCCACACTCACGCTCTTTCCCTATCTGCTTCTGACAACCTTCACCCCAGGTTCAGGGCTCCCAGACTCGAGTCAAGGGGGCCCATTCTCAGGACTCCCAGAATACACCAGCAGGCCCCCAGTCTGAGAAAGAGACTTATGACCTTAAGGTTGCATGCCAGGAAGATGTCTTTTGATTTCAAGCCATCATCGCAAAAGAGGAGCTTTGTCTTTATTGTCACTGAAGATTTTTGTTTGGAAGAGAGCATCATGAATGATGATGAAATGAAAAATGCATCAAGGACAGATCGGACCCCTGAGGAGACAGCAGGACCTCCTGCACTGACCCCTCCTCAAGATCCCCACTCGGCTCAGGCTCTGACCTTGGCAAGAGATCCCCCAGAGAAGGCACTCCTCTTGTGGGCATTTGGTCTACCAGGGAACTCTTAAAGATTGGACTCAATGCCTAAAGGTATTAATCTATAAGGGAGGAATTTTATGTACTGTGACAAGCTGTGAGACATTGTTAAGAGTAACGCTTCTCGGGAATCAGACCTTCCCTGCTTCTGAGATACCCCAGACAAGACCAGCAAAACCACCGACGGTCCCAACCCTGGGCTCAGTCGCAGAATGGAAAGAACCATGATTCTCCAAACCTGCAGCCAGGAGGTGAATCCACTCAAAAAACCCCACCTGCTGCTGCCATCCAGTCAGCCCTGCAAGCTCCCCTAGGGATGGGAGCTGCTGCTCAAAGCGTCCTGCTTTTTGGTGTTGAAAAGCTCCGTTCTTCAGAAAGTACATTCTTACCCCGAGGCCCTGCTGCTCTTCTTGAACACCAACCCTACCTGTTGTAGTGCGGATCCACGAGGTGCACAAACTAGTCTAGTTTCTCATCTTCTTTGTGGTCATTCATGTGTGTGGTGACAGGTGCCATGCCCTGCCCTGCCCCTTCATCCCCAGCTCCCCCCAACCTGGGCAGTCATCCCCAGTCCTTCAACCTCTCTCAGGGGCCTTGGTCTCTCCTGTTTAAATACATTTCTTTTAGAGACAGAGTCTTGTCTGTCACTTAGGCTGGAGTGCAGTGGCCTGATCATAGCTCACTGCAGCCTTGAACACCTGGGCTCAAGCAATCCTCCTGCCTCAACGTCCTGAGTAGCTGGGACTACAGGTGCACGCCACCACACCTGGCTAAGTTTCTTATTTTTTGTAGAGTTGGGAGTCTCGGTATGTAGTCCAGGCTGTTCTCAAACTCCTGGGCTCAAGCAATCCTGCTGCCTCAGCCTCCCAAAGTGCCGGTATTACAGGCATGCACTGCCATACCTGGCTTGCTGTTTTTCAAGTGGGGTGACCCACACTTTCACAGTGAGCCCCCTCTTCGAGGCAGCCTCATATCCCATGTGTCTTTTTGTCATCCTCACTGTCTTAGTCTGTTCAGCTACCATAACAAAATACCTTAGACTAGGTCATTTCTAAACAGCAGGAATGTATTACTCACAACTCTGGAGGCTGAGAAGCGCCAAAATCAAGGTGCTAGTGGATTCAGTGTGCGGTACAAGGTTGCTCTCTGCTTCAAAGATGGCACCTTCTTGCTGCGACTTCACATGGGGGAAGGGAAGGGCAGCTCCCTTCAGCCTCTCTTATGAGGGTGCCTTTTATAAGGGTGACTTAATCACCTCTTCCAAGTCCCGCTTGTTAATACCATCATATTGAGGATTAAATTCCAACATATAAATTTTGAGGAGACACAAACACTCAGACCATAGCACTCACTGAGGGGCAGCTGAAATTCTAAGCCCTTCATACAGGCACAGCTGAGAAGCCACGTTTCTAGAGACAGGGTCTCAGTGCATCACCCTCTGTCACCCAGGCTGGAATGTAGAAGCAGGATCATGGCTCACTGCAACCTTGACCTCCCAGACTCAAGCGATCCTCCCACCTCAGCCTCCCATATAGCTGGACTACAGATGCGTACCACCACACTTGGCTAATTTTTTCTATGTTTTATAGAGACAGGATCTCACTACGTTGCCCAGGCTGGCCTCTAACTCCTGGGCTCAAGTGATCATCTCACCTCAGCCTCCCAAAGTGCTGGGATTACAGGCTTGAGCCACCACGCCCAGCCCTTGTGATCTAATTCTTGCCATGACAGAGACCCACATGACCACCTAGCTCAAACTGAAGCCTGGAGGAATGAAACAGCTCACTAGGGAAAACGTGTGGTGCGGGGAAGAAAGTGCAGCCAAGCCCACAGTACTAGTTCTCTGTTGTACACAACAGATCACTCCAACACGTAGCAGCTGCAAATAGGTATTGTCCAACAGTTTCTCAGTTACTCATCTGGAGATAGGAATAGTGATAACAGCTGCCTCAAGGTATGGTTGCATGAAATGAAATCATACATATGTGATGTCCCCGATATATTGGGGTGGCCCAGTAAAAGTCATGCCCTTCATCCCCAGTCCCTTATGTAGCATTAGTTCATGGCAAAGCTGGGGCCAGGGCCCCTGATCTTTTCACTCCACTGTCTAGAGTGCCTTCAAGTCTTGTCAAGGAGATCAGGAGATCCCCAAACTCTCCACATGGAAATTAGAAGAATTCCATGTCAGGTAAACCACAAGCAGCAAGGGCACACAGGAAGGTGGCACCTTTGAGGTTTTCTGGCTTGAATGCAAGTTGTTTTTGAGATAGGGTCTTGCTCTGTCACCCAGGCTGGAGTGCGGTGATGCAATCATGGCTCACTGCAGCTTCTACCTCCTGGGCTCAAGTGATCCTCCCAAGTAGCTGGGAACACAGGCAGGCACTACCATGGTGTTTTTTTTTTGTTTGTTTGTTTTTTTAATTTTTGGTAGAAACAGGGTCTCACTATGTTGCCTAGGCTGGTCTCAGATTCCTGGGCTCAAGTGATGCTCCCACCCCAGCCTCCCAAAGAGCTGAGATTATAGGCATGAGCCACCGTGCCTAGTCTTGAATGCAAAATTTAAAGTGTATTTTCTCAGTAACTTTAATTTTTGATTCAGCTCACCTCAGGTTTGTCCAGGTCGTCTCGTAAGTCAATTTGATCATCAGAATTGTTGGTTACCAGCTCTGTGCCATCTGCAGATCAAATAAATTTGTCTCCGTGTCCTTCTCCAAGACTTTGCTAAAGCAGCTGAGCAGGGCAGAGGCCTGCACATGCCCCTTTCCCATCATCCTAGGTGGGGCAATACGCTATGTTCAAACGCTGGCCTGGCAGTGCCCTATGGGCGTGAAGAGAGGGACAGAGACAAGACCCAAATCCCTGGTTCCCTGGCATGTGCCCTGTCCTTCAGGGCACTCTCTGTGGCTCTGTGCCCACCTCATCAAATAACAATTTGATGATTTTGCTTGTTTAATCCTTTTGATATTTACAACAATTCCACTCTGATAAAAAGGGGAGAGGGGTTATGGGCGTGAGGGCGTCCCTCCACCCTCAGTTTACCTCCTCCCTACCTCTCAGTTTTCCCATCCTGTGCTGTTTGCTGTCTGTCTCTCTGCCCTTGGTGGGTCCCCTCTCTGCCTCGCATCTCGCTAGCTGCGGCAGCAAGGAGTTGCAGCAGAAACAAACCAAACGGTCCTTAAGATGATGCTAGGAAGATAAAACTGGTCACCTAAAACTTCTCCAAAAGCTGTGAAAATCTTGCCATCCACCAAGAATTGCTGTAAATGCGCAAAGAGTTAGAAGAAACAAACTTGCTCAGCAAGCCCATGACTCATCCGGCTTCCACTCTCTGAGACCAGAGCATGTGACTTCTGGCACTGGGGGCGCTGGCCCACCGAAGTGTCCTGGTCCGGGGCTGCCAGGTGCTGGGGGCTCAGCGGCCTTTTGCCCAAGGCTGGACTTCAGGAGCCACTGGAAGGGTGGGAGGTGGAAGGTGGGAGGGGCAATGCAGGGTTCCCCACCAGGAAGCTGCTCTTGGCCTACTCCCAGGCCCCAGGTTCAGGGAGCTCCCTTTCCAGATCTATTCTCCAAATTACATCCTCACAGGGTCCCCTTAGATATCACCCCCAGCAAGGCACTGTGGACCGCTGTGGGTGGCTACCGGCAGGCTGTAGAGCGGCTTAGCCCTGCAAGGTGTTAGGAAAGGCTGGGGACCTGCAACACCCACTCTCTACCCACACCCTTTCTCTCTCAGTGATGTCTTAACCCTCGTTAACCCTACAGAGGACTTAGGTCATGGAGATAAATTATAATAGAAGGGCAAGCAAAAACAGTTTTAAAAAATGTCTTTGAAAAATCTTACCTGTGTTCCTGAGTGTCAAATATAAGCATGCACTTACAGCCAGCCTGGTGCTGTCATGGCCCAGCCCGGCCTGCCCTGCCCTGCAGGCTCTGTTGCCTTGCTCTGCATCATATTTTCTTCCCTTCCAGGAAGCCACATTCTTAGAACCCTGGTGCTGTTCGGGCCCTTCTTCTCAGGGAGCAAATACATGAACTGGTTCATTCATACTGACAGTCTTAGTGAGCCAGTGTTTTACCCCCTGAGGGATGTTTGCATTTTGAAAGAGAACCTAGGCTACAGTCAATGCTTAACCCAAAGAAGCCAATTCTTCACCTAATGGTGGGATTTCAGGCATGGGGAGCTCTTGATTGTTTAGGGGAGAGAGAAGGTCTATGCCCTTGAAGGAAGCTGTGCTGACTTGCTAAGCTTTTCTTTCTGTAATAAGAATGTTCCTGAAAAGCAATCTATAGGTATTGTTTTTATAAACTCAATCCTACTTTAAAGACACTAAGTTTGCCTAAGGATATCTGTTCTTCTAGGGAAGTAAAGGCTGATGATAATTAATATTATACTTTCTGATGACTTACAACGTGCCAGGTTCTGTTCTGACCATTGACCGCCACTTTTCTTCTCACACTGACTCCATGAGGGAGGAATTATTAGTGTCTTCGTTTTACAGGTGAGGAAACTGAGGCACAAGGAGGTCAAGTAACTCTTCGGTCACACAACTAGTTAGTGGCAGGTTTAGGATTTGATCCCATTTCACTTTACATTCCCAATAGTGCTAGACTGAAGCCTTGGGAACCCCAGGCTCCCTTAAAACCCTGACACAGGGCAACCTCCCCTCTCTCTTCATAGGGGCCTTGAAGTTTTCTACCCAGAGTTGGGGAACATTGGCTGCAAGGTTGTTCCTGATTGTAACAACTACAGACAGAAGATCACCTCCTGGATGGAGCCGATAGTCAAGTTCCCGGGGGCCGTGGACGTGAGTGAGCAGGGCTGTGTTAAAGCGGGGGGACAGTTGGGGGTCTTGATGTTCCTCCAGGCTTGCTCATCTGGGTGACTTGAAGCTGCGTGCAGAGCCATCTGGGTTGGGTCTGGTGGCTGCAGATGGCTGTTGCCATAAAGTTGTGCCTTCCTTAGAGTGGACTTGAGGAGAAGGCTGGGGGCTGGTGGGAGGGCTGCAGACTGGAAACTTTGGTGATGGTTGAGGCCATTCTGCCCAGGCCTTTTCCTGCTCCCCTGCTCTGGGAGCTCCTTGGCTGCCCCTGAGATCTGGGACCCCAAGCCTGGTGGAGACCAGCTGGTGTGTGCTTTGGAGTTGGCAGATAAGTGGAAGAAGGCGTGGTATGGGAGGAGTCCTCTCTCAAGGCGCGGGGTGCCTGGGCCTTCAGATGGCTTCTGGGCTGGAGAGAAGCTGGTATTTACCAAGACAGAGCTTCCCAAGTTGCCTAAACAGGCAGAGGTCAGTGCATCTTGACGCTTTGTTGTCACAACATGAGACACGCTCTTCTTTTGCCCAAAGTTGTGTAAAAGAAGAACAAAGCATTTTAGGAACTGGAAATAACTATTTTACTGGGCAGTGATTAGTGCTATTACATTTAGGGGTCTGGAAAGCCTGGGGAAGAGTCATAGAAGTGGGAAATGGGTCTGCTGCTGCCCTAAGCAGCCAGAGTGTGTTTTGGGGAAGCTGATCTGGCCTTCTGGTCTCCGCTTCTTTATTTCTTGACTCCTGGGCCAGACTGAGCCCGCAGAGTGTCAATGGTGGAGACTGGCCTCTTTTCTGCTGTGTTTTAGAAGGAGGTGCTGCTGTCAATCTAGGCAGGACTTGGGTCACAAATGCCTGGAGATGGAAGGGTCGTGGCCGGGATGTGACCAAGCACACACACCAAGGCTGACCTTCTGGTCCTTTCTGTGCAGGGTGGCAGGGAAGGGCCACAAGGGGTTCTTCCTTCCCCTCAGTGCTGCCTTGGTTAGGCCTCATGCAGTCAGCTAAGCCCAGTAGGACAACAAGCTCCAGAGGGCGGCAGCACACAAGTTACTCCAATGCGGGGAATAGACTCTTCTCTTTGAAGTGTTTTTCACTATCAGAGAGCAAATAGATTGTGATATGGCTCGCAAGTTATGAGGCTGTTGTCATGAAGCTTTGCTAGGTTGTCTTGTTTGCAAACACGACAAACACCCTTTCCTTTGGGAAGACGAGCAATAAAGTGCACACGTGCACATGTGTGCACATGTGCACACACACACTTGCATGCACACCCATGTGCACACAGCGTCAGCCCTCTTCCCTGGAAACCCTTGGACTGGGCACACCTGTGGACAGCCAAGAGGAGCAGAGAAAGGAAGCCTGCTGATTCTAACTCCTGGGATGGGAGGTGCAGAGGCCGGGCAGGAACCCAATCTTTTAGAGGAGTATATGCTACTCTGCGGGACAGGACTCTCGGCTTCACCATCCATTCACTTGTCTTGGGGTTTGTCCCTTATGTAGTGAGGGTCAGTCGGATGCTTTCACAGGCCAGGGACAGTCCCAAGGGAATTCTCCCCAAAGGGCTCCCTTCCGCGTGCTGATGATGCTGCAGACATCCACTAGATGGCAGTGTAGACTTTTCTGAGCACCTGGTGTCCTCCAGAGCAGGGATTTGAAGCCTGTTGGGAAAGTCTTTGGTTTGATTTGGTTTCGTTGCCCTGGCTTATCAGCACATTACACAAAGACGACATCACCCACGCCACATCCTGAAGTCTTGTACTGTTAAACCCATCCTGCCTCAGCCCGGGGGTGGGGTGGGGAGAAAACGGATGTGGAACATAGAGATTTATGAGGAACACAGAGCTGTGGTCAAGAAAGCCTGGGAGAGTGAAGATTTTACAAAGGAAGATTTGATCGAAGCTGTGGGAAGAAGAAAAACATAGTATTCTACTACTATGGAACTATAGTTTATGGAAATGTAACAGACCTATGAGAAGGCAGATTCAGAGAGATTTGCCAAAGTGGTCAGTGAGTGCCACCTTATTCCATTCCTGGGCACTACTCGGACCTTTCATTTAAGTCTCCAAGTTAAGTATTTCTTTCATCAAGACTATTAATGGCATGTGACAAAAAGTCAACTCAAATCGGCTTAAGCCAGAAAAGAGGGGGAAACATTGGTTCACAAAACTGAAAACTCCAGGGATAACTTCAGGCGAGGCTGGATCCAGGTGCTCAGTGTCACCAGGAATCTGTCTCTTGATTGTTTTTTTCTGTGCTGTTTTCATTTGTAAATAGAGTCTTCCCTTGTGACAAAGATGGCCCCAACAGCCTTAGGTTTGTGTTTGACCAATTTGTCAACCCCAGTGGAAATAGGGTTTTCCATCCATTAAAAGTCACAGGATTGGTCTCGCTTTGGTCTTGTGCCTATCCCTGAACCTAGCAGTGACCCTCTACAGCTCCCCTTAATCTACAAGGACTGAGAGTAGAGGAGGATGGTTGCCCTGAATGCAAGTCAAGGTGTGATTGATCAGATAAGGGTGAAAGGATGTTAGGTAGGAAATGCAAGGCAGGTCCTATGGAAGTGAGTAATCTGGCCAAGTACAGAGCTGAAAGGTGCCAGAGCCAGAGTCAAAGCCAGGTCTGCCCAACTCCAGAGCCCATGGGCCTGGCCAGTGGGCCACTGGCAAGGGCTCTAAGGGAGACACCAGGGGGCGCTGGCACAGGCAGGGGTGGGCTGGCCGAAGGGAAGCTTTCCCTGGTTAGAATGGAAGGGGGTGGGCAGGAAGGATAGTTCTTCCTAGGGAAGGTGGTAGTTGGAGCTTCCCTTAAGGGAGAGGGCATGACTGGTGAGGCTGGAGGAGCAAGTGCTACCTGGGTCCCTCAAGAAAAGGGTGCGGGGAGCCTGAGTGTTTAGGACAGAGAAGAGCATGAAGGTATTTCTTCTGGGCCTGATGGAGAAGGGCACGAGTTGGTGACTGCTATGTGGGGATGGTGCATTGCTTCCAAGGTGACTGAAGCAATGCCACCAAAGCAGTGACTGCCATTGGACATGCCTGGGAACACCCCCCCCTCCCCCGCCCCCAGCAAACTCCAAAGCCCTGGAAAGAGGGGTGCAGCAGTGCCTCTGTGCCCACCATAGAGCTTCCCACCTCCATATTCTGGCATTGGCCACTTCCCCATCCTTGGCGTCTTTGGACCCTGCTCCCGTCACAATGCTTCCTCCTCTAGGAAGCCTTCCCTGACTGCCTCCCTCTGGGCTCCACCTACATCCCTGGCTGATCTTTTCTTTCTCTGTGCTTTTAAAATGTTCCTACCCTCTAAACTGGGTTTTGACTTCCCTGTGTCTTGTGCTGTAGTTGCTCATTCCTGTCTCTCAAAGCTTCAAGCACTTTGTAAGTTAGGAGAGAAAGACTATGTGTTGTCTTTCTTTGAGTCACCCGTGGGCCCCACCAGCACCTCAGATGCCATGCTGGCTGACTGGGTGACTAGGTGAGAGAGTGAACAGGTGAATGCATGAATGCATGAATGCATGAATGAATGAATGAATGAATGACATGTGGGAGAGCATCTCCTGGAGTGTGAGCTATGAGCTGTGTCAGCCAAACTGTCGGCCCTTTCAGCATCTGTTGAAGGAAAGCTGCTAAACCTAGTGAACCCAGGGCAGCAGGACTCTCTCCTCCCCCTAGGGGTGGGGTGTGAGCTGGGGGGTGGGTGGGGAAGCAGGCAGAGAAAGAGAGGAAGTCAGGCAGGTTCATGAGAAGGCAAAGTAACACAGGAAAACGTGGCTGGCTCCCGTGCCAGCTATGGCTGAGCGAGAGAGGTGTGGAAGTAAGAGGAAGCGTTTCTCCCCTGGCGCTCTGACAAACATGAAGAGGCAAACATTTAAAAATGCATCCCGTTCTCAAGCCAAGGAAAACTGAAAGGCCCCTGAGAAGCTTCTTGACTGGGGGCTTATTCTCCACCTTAAATTTCGCCAGCTGGAATCCTTTTGAAGTGCAGAAATTGCCTTTAAGTGGGGAATGTGCATTGCATTACAGGGAGGGAACAAAAGGCTGCCTCGGTCTGTCCTGCTCTCCCTGGAGTTTCCAATCAGGCTTGGCCCAGGCACTATTTCTTCTCCTCACAAAGCAGGTGGCCCTGAGTGCCCTATCCACCTGGGTCAGTGCATTTCATGCCAGCCCAGGCCTCTAGCCGCAGCCTCCCAGGGAGCACCTTCTCGCCCTCATTGGCCCATGGTGGAGACACAAGTTTCAACCCAAATTTTCTAGAGGCCTGGAACTCTCCTCTCTATAAGAGAGCTCGGAACTCACAGGTCCACCGCCCCTACCAACCCTTCTCTGTATACACAGAGCAGAAAAATACAGGCTGCTGCAGTCACAAAATGATTAGCCGAGGAAGGACACGGGGCTCCCAACACCCACAGCAATTCTAGAAGAACAGACCCTAATGGATGGAGCAGAGACGTCTTCCAGTAGACTACATGTGGAGTCTCCTCTCCTACATGTGGAGGCGGTCAAGTGCAGGCCCACTGGCTCAGGGGACTGCAGCCGCCATGGACTATTTGGTGTTGGGGATGGGCGGTGACTCACTTCGTAAATATTACTGAACACATTGCATCAGGCACCATGTCAGTGCTATTGATTCAGAGACGAAAGACACTATCACGGAGCTTGCAGTATAGCTGGGGAGATAGACAGGTAGCGGGCAAGCATGGGGACACAGGGTGTCAGTGAGCCGGGACCCAGCAAGGGACAGATGGGAGCCAGGATGGTGAGGTGAGGGATGAGGCTTGTGGTTGGGTCGGGGGTCGGGGCGGGTAGGGCAGGGGCACATCCATGGTTAGGAGCCAAGAACTTCATGGCCCTGGTGTGGAGTTTAGAGTTTATCTTAAAGTTTGGCTGGTGGCTGGGGGAGGAGAGTCACCATTTGATTTTTAGGCTGGTAAATGTGATCAGATTTGCAATTTGGGAAGGTCACTCCAGCAGCAGGTGGAAGAATGGAAGAAAGGTAAGATTGAAGGCAAGGTGCCCACCCTGCAACCTAGGTGATGGCATGGACCATGGGCTGGGCTTAAAAGGTGTTAAGGACGTGGAACCCATAGAGCTTGGGGGCTGTGGGGATATTGGGGAGAGGGAGAGTCCAGATGACCCTCGGGTTTCTGTGATGAGCAGGCGAGTGGGTAACAATGAGGTTGAGTATATAATTTCTCATCTAAGACAGGACCCTTTTGAGACTAAAGGGGGATGCTGTTAATAGTTATGCCAGGACAATGTGTGTCATTGGGCATGGCGCTGGCAAGCTGGGGTATATGTTAACTCTAATAACGGTGCCTTCACCAAGAAGGGGACACAGAGAAGCACTGGGTTTTTTACAGGGATGGCAGCCATTGGCACCGACTTCTGCACAGAAACCCATAGAGTTTGAGGAGGCTGTAGCATCCAGAGGTAGCTGCCCGAGAGGCAGGTCTGCCATCTGACTCCAGAAGAGAAGGCAGGGCTGGGCACCTGGGTCTGCATCCTCAGTGTTCCAGCAGGCGTGGACTCTGAGAGGAGGACAGGTTTACCTGCGGGTAGGCTCTGCTATGCTCAACAGCAGCCAGCCAGAGAGGTTGGGTGAGGCCACAGGAAACGCACGCACTGCCTTACCCCAGCAAGCCACTGGTTACCCGTGTGAGGGGACCAAGGAGTGAATGAGGAGTGGATCCCATGGAGTAGGCTACTCACACCACCGCTTTGCCAGGGGAGAAGAGATGCCTGCGAATGTTTAAGTGCTGGCAGGGGCTGGGCACAGTATGTGTTCAGTAATATTTACGAAGTGGGTCACATCTCTAATCCCAGCACTTTGGGAGCCCAAGACAGGAGGATTTGCTTGAGGTCAGGAGTTAGAGACCCCATCTCTACAAAAAAATGAAGTTAACCAGGCCTTATGGTGGTTGATGCCTGTAATCCCAGCACTTTGGGAGGCTGAGGTGGGCAGATCACTTGAAGTCAGGAGATCAGCCTGGCAAACATGGTGAAACCCCATTTCTACTAAAAATACAAAACTTAGCTGGGTGTGGTGGCACATGCCTGTAATCCCAGGTACTTGGGAGGCTGAGATAGGAGAATCACTTGAACCCAGGAGGCAGAGGTTGCAGTGAGCCTAGATCGCGCCACTATACTCCAGCCTGGGCAACAGAGCAAGACTCTGTCTCAAAAAAAAAAAAAAAAAAAAGTAGCCAGGCCTGGTAGTTCACACCTGTAGTCCTAGGTACTGGGGAGGCTAAGGTGGGAAAATCACTTGAACCCAGGAGTTCAAGGCTGCAATAGGCTAAGGAGCTATGATTGTGCCACTGCACTTCAGCCTGGGCAACAGAGCAAGACCCCAACTCTAAATAAATAAGTAAATTCTGGCAGGAAGGAGCCAATAAAAGGGCAGTGTCAAAATACAGCAGAAGGAGGGGTTGAGGGGTCGACTGGAAATGCTCATTCCAAGGTGATAAACGGTGTGAATGGTGGGAGTTAGGAGGATATTTCAAAGGGTGTCCAGCTCCTTTGGAGCCAATGGGACCTGGCCACTGACTGGAAGTCAGGGGTGGGAGGTGCCGGAGATGCTTCTGAGGGAAGAGGAGGAGGAAGGGGATAGTGGGCAGGAGGGGTGCAGGTGTGGCCGCAGGGGCTGGAGGGGGCTGCCCTATGCTGGCCCTGGGAGCTGGAGCTCAGCCAGCCAAGCCCCTACTGCAGGGGGAAGAGGCAATGTCATGAAATTGCAGGGTGGAAGGACTTTGGGGCAGAGCGTGGGGAATGATGATGTCACGGACATTGCAGAAGAAGTAAAGGTGCACAGAGGAGGGAGGTGCAGGGAAGAGGCAGGAATGGGGAGCAGGAGTCACCAGGCTCCACTGCTGGGAGAGGCTGCATGGGGCCAGGCTGGGGAAGAGCCACTGGATCTGGATCGTTCCAGGACTGCGGGCTGGGAGCAGAAGGTAAAGTCAGGACAGGGTAAGGGGCCACCCTGGGGAGATCACCAGTGCATCAGGTGAGGGTTTAGGGAAGAATTCATGAGATGCCACTGTATTTGGTGCCGAGCACCTAACTGGAGTTTCATGGATGGGATCAGTTGTCACTACAATAGAAAGAGATGGATTTGTAGTCTGAAGGACAGAAGACACAAAAGAAGAGTTGGACTTTCCAAGGTTCCAGGAGAACTGTGTGTGTTTGAGGCCCAGAGGCAGAGGGGACAGGAGGCCGCTGAGCTTGTAAATGAAGGGCTCAGGTGCTAACAGGCGGAGCCAGGTGTGGGAAGGCAGGTGAGGAGGGCGCGCAGCACCCAGGCAAGGACGAATCAGGTCATTTTATCCTTTGTCCCTGGCTCCTTCAGTGCAAGTAGTCAAAGTGCTAACATCACTCAGCTGTGTCCCACTCTAGCCCAGGTCCCCAGCCAGGTCATCCGGGGCTCCTCTGGGTGCAACTGGACTGGGTGAAAGGGGAGTGAGGATTGTCAGCATTTCTAACCTTTGCAGTTAGATGTTCAGGTTGCAAAGACACTTCCTATGCAGGACTTCACAGGACAGATCCTCCTAGCAACATGGGGCGATGGATAGAGCGGGGATTATCCCCTTGATGACAGATGAGGGCGCTGCCCAGGGTCACACTTGCCAAACCTGGGAAGTGGGAGAACCAGCCCCGGATGGCAGCTTCCCTGGCTTGCAGTCAACTACCTTTCACCTATGTAATTTTGCCTCCGGAATCCCCCGGTTCCTGAAAACAGGCCTGTAATGTTGACAGTGGAGAGGGGGTGTCATTCAGTCATTCATGTATTCACTGGAGCAGATCCGGATGGAGCTCCACTCTCTGCCCCTCTGCCAGGTACTGTTCCGGTAGTGAGGGATACACACAGAACGCACCCCTGCCCTGCCTGTGATGGGCATCTTGCAATAGTGAGAATGTCCATTGTTGTTGTTATCACTTGTCTGTTAAACACTTAATGGCTGAGGGGAAACCTTAACAGAACGGCCACGTGCTCCGGCGACTGTCTTACTCAGGGTGGCTCCATTAGGAGGATTCCCAGTCTTAATCTTCACTCCCAGGGCTCCTTATCCTCGTGGCCTTCTCTGTCATTCCAGAACTTCCTGCCAGACCTGAACCTGCCCCCAGCAGCTTTTAATCAAACAGCGCCCCCCCTTACCCAATCCGCCACCCCCAGTCCGATAGATCTTGCCGGCAGCTCAGGCAGGCAGGGTGCACGCTCAGCGATTGGGCCGCTGACATCCACTGAAAGCTCCCAGCCAAGTGCTGGGGAAACAGGTTCCAGATGTTTCTCAGATCAAATACTGTTTCTTTGAAAAAAACTGTGTGCGCTGATCTACCAAGGGGGCACATGGGACCTGAAAGGAGCACTCAATGGATTTGCATCCTGGGTTGTTTTTTTGTTTGTTTGTTTTAAAGGCATTGAACAAGCGTCAGTGTAGGGCTCTTCACATGTTTGGGATCTGTTCACAGCGGTATGTTGGGAGTGTCAGCAAAGGCTTCTTGGATTTTAAAATAGCTGCCGGCCTTTGTGGGAGCCATTTAGAAGGAAGAGCATTTTGAATGCTACAGGGACTTGTTGCCTGCTCTCACTGGTGAAAGAAGGTTGTGGCCTAAAGGGGAGTTTTGAGAAAGGTTTGGCAGATTTTTAGAAGAGCAGTATCATGTGTTATTTGTTAAAACTTGCCGGCTTGTGGGTGAGGGGTGGAGAGAAGGAGGTGGGTGGAGCTCCCAGCTCTGCTGTGGGGAGCTGCTGCTGGGAGGAGGTGCCCACTGCAGTCCAAAACCCCCACTGCCTGGTGGGGAGGTGAGAACTGCCAGAGGAGGGGGCTGCAGCAGCTGCTGGGGGCTGGGCTGGCAGGGGCAGTTGTCATAGGATCCCGACTTTGAGGGCATCTCTCATTCTTCCAGGGACCAGCGCACCCCTGACATGTTGGTCTTGTACTCGCAGAGTCCACTAGACCCCAATCATGGCCATGTGGGTGTCATGGCAGGCAGAGCAGGTATTAGTGTCTCTGTTTTACAGGCGAGGAAACAACAGATCAGGGAAAATTATTTATTTATTTTTAATAGACTTTATGTTTTAGAGCAGTCTTAGGTTCACAGCAAAATTGAACAGATGGTGCAGAGAATTCCCATGTACCCCTGCCCCCACACAGGCACAGCCTCCCCTACCCTCAGCTCCCCCCACCAGAGCGGTGCATTTGTTCTACTCAACGAACCTACGCTGATACATCAGTATCACCCAAATCCATAGTTCACATTAGGGCTCACTCTTGGTGTCACACATTCTGTGGGTTTCTACAAATGCGTGATGGCATCATAGTATCATACAGAGTAGTTTCATTGCCCTGAAAATCCTCCGTGCTTCACCTATTCATGCCTCCCTCTAACCTCTGGCAACCACTGGTCTTTTCGCTGTCTCCGTAGTTTTGCCTTCTCCAGAATGTTGTAAAGTTGGAATCATACAATATGTAGTCTTTTCAAATTAATAGAGAGCCTAGACTACCACCCAGGCCTCCTGACTTCCGTTCCAGCACCTTCTTCACTATACAAGGGCTCTGTAACCCTGTCCATCGTTGCCAAGCCATTGGGCAGTTGCCCTGGGGCTAAGCTTCTCTTCTGAGAATTGTTGTTCCTTCACTGGGTGTTTCTAGCAAGGATTCCAGGTGGATGGAGAACTGCCTACCTCTGCCCCTGGTATTACCTTCAGGGTTCTCACCATTCATTTTCTTGTTTGTCTCTCCAATGAGAACATAAACTTCTTGAGGGCAGAGACCTCTGTATGCTTGGGAGACCAGCAAGAAAATAGGCAGATCCCACGCAGGGAGATGCGTGCCGTGATATGGAGCAAGCGCGGGATGTTGGGGGCTTGGTCTCTTGCTAACAACGGGGTAAGCTGTACAATTTTCAAAACACTTTCCCTATCATGACAATCCTTTTTATTTGTAGCACGTCAGTGCTGTCATTTCACACTCTTCATCTCCAGTTACTCCTGGGAGGTGGGTCAGGCAGGTGTTGATCCCTGTCCGTGATGAGAAACCCACAGCCCTTAGAGATAAAACGACTCTCTCAAGATCAGCAGGAGAGTGCAGCTGGGCTGGCTCCCAACCTGGCACCCATCGGTGTGCTGCCTCAGTACCTCGTTTGAGCCTCCTCACAACCTGGCGGACATTAGTTTGCTCTAAAGTACAGTTGTATTACATGGCGTGGTGAGACTAGAGCCTGGATCCCCTGGCTGTAGCCTTTTTCCCACCCACTCCAGCCCTCTGGTCCCCAGTGTTTACTACATGGTGATATTTGCTGGCCATTCTCCACGTGGCCAGGCTCTGTGCTAAGCACTTTATGAACAGTATCAGACTTAAGCCTTGCAGCCACCCAGCACAGAAGGCATGAGTGCCCTCATTTCACAGATGAGGAAACTGAGGCACAGAAAGATTCCCACTGCTCATGAGCAACAGAGTCAGGATTTGAACCCAGGTCTGTGTAGCCTCCAAAGCTCCTGCCCCTAACCACTCCACAGTACTGCTTCTGGTGGGTGGAGAGCAACCTGCAGTACACCCCGAACATCCTGAGGTGTTTCCAGGGACTGCTCCAGGCCCTGGGAAGAAGCCAGCCACCTAAGCCAATACAGGGAAGGAGTGGGTTGTGAGACTCCTCTGGTTCTGTCACCTCCCTTTACAAATGGTTTAATGGTGGCCTGGCAGTATCAAGTGATTCAGCCGAGGAAATTACGTGGGGGTACAGTGGTGTGCACAAATCAGGGACCCTCATTTCTTTACTGCGGGTTAGGTCTGCACTGCTAACCTGACATTGAGTCAGAAGAAGCCATTACACATTCGAACTCCCAGGTGCTGGCAATGCGGAGGGTTTGTGCCATGGCCCAGGTGTAGAGCCGCAGAGGATGGGGTAGGGAGAAGGACCCTGGACCCACGTCTTAGGTGTGGCTCCCCAGGCCTCGCTGGCGGGTAGGCGGAGATCGCCCTCTATCTCCCGGGGCTGCAATGGGAAGAGCCGACACCAGGGGGAGATAGGTGACCGTCATCCTACCCCAGGAACCTGTGAGCTGGCTGAGTGGCTGGGGCCACCAATGCAGGAAGGCATTGCAGAGGGCAGGTCACCCAGGAGTGAAAAAAATAGAGGATCCCTGATTTGGGTCGGGTGGGTTCACCTCTCTCTGCAACCCCTGCCCTATCTCTCTTTGCCACTTGGTTGTGGAAATGCCCTTCTGCCATTAAAATGCAAGTATCTCCAGGATGCAACGCTTTAAAGCTCGGCCGCTAACTGGAAGTGCCTTCCAGGGTCAAGCCCCTAGTTACCTGGGTGGGATGGTCATTTGCAAGAAAAGAAGGCCCAGCACTGAGCGTGCCTCTCACACCTTGCCCTGGATTGAGAAGATTTTAAAAATTGCGCTGTCAGTCCCATATTCACCTGCAGTTTCCCCTCCCCTCAGGCTTCCTGAGTACGAATACCTAGCAGGAACATGAATTGTTGCCTCTCAGAGCTGCCTTCCTTGGCCTATGGAACACTTGGAGCCCAAGGGGTGAGTTTGAGAAGTGCCAAGGCCCCTGGCTTTGCACAGACCTGAGTTTAAATCCTAGCGCTGTTGCTTGCAGCTTGTGACCTTGGGCAAGTTACTTCCTCACTCTGCGATTCCTTTTCCTCACCTTAAAATGGGTGGAATATCCATTTCAGGGGTGAGAGCCAGTGGTCAATCCTCAGTCCTAATCTTTCTTGACCCATCAGCAGCATTTTACTGAGTGGGTCACTGCCTCTTCCTAGACAGGTTTTTTTTTTTGTTTGTTTGTTTGTTTGTTTGTTTGTTTTCCCCTTGGCCTCCATGACCCACACTCTCTGGACTAACTTTCACTCTTTCTGGCTCTCACTTCGGTGTCTCCTTTTCTCCTTTCTTGTTCCCAGCTTCTTCTGCTGGGTGGTCTCATCCAATGCCATGACTTTAAATTTCATCCACATAACAACGATTTCCTGCTCACATGCATTTGTGGTGTCTGATAAGCCCCTCAAATGAAACATGGCCAGCCCCAAGTACCCAGTCACCACTCCCAACCCCAGCCTGCTCCATCTTCAGTCTTGCCCCATCTTGGTCAAGAGCAACTTCAGTCTTCTAGCTGTGCAGGCTGGACATGTTGGAGTCATCAGTATCTCTTTTTTTTTTTTTGAGACAGGGTCCCACTCTGTCACCCATGCAGGAGTGCAGTAGCACAATCTTGGCTCACCGCAACTTTCTTTCTCTCTCACCATGCAGCCAATGCACCAGGAAACTATATCCAGAGCTGACCACCTCTCTCATCCACCATCAGCACTCTGGCCAGGGTCACCATCCTCCCAACCTGGGTCATTGCAACAGCCTCCTAACCCATCTCCCTGCCACCACCTCTGCCTGCCTCAACGCCCAGCATACTCTCAGCCAGGCAGTCAGAGTGAGCCTTTACATCTGCAGGTCAGACCAGCTCAGCCTCTGCTCAAAATCCTTCAATTCCTCCCCATTTCACCAGAGTGAGAGCCAAAGTGCTGACAGTGGCTTCCCAGACCTGGTGTGAGCCAGCCCATCACCTCTTCACTTCTCTGACCTCAACTACTAACTTCTCATTGGCTCCCTTGCTTACCTCACTCCTTCCTTTCTCTCTCTCTCTCTTTTTCTCTCTTTTTTCTGTCTTTTGAGATGGAGCCTCATTCTTTCACCCAGGCTGGAGTGCAGTGGCACGATCTCGACTCACTGCAACTTCTGCCTCCCGGGTTCAAGTGATTCTCCTGTCTCAACCTCCCAAGCAGCTGGGACTACAGGTGTGCACCACCACACCTGGCTAATTTTTGTATTTTTAGTAAAGACAGGGTTTCACCATGTTGGCCATGCTGCTAATTTTTATATTTTTAGTAAAGACAGGGTTTCACCATGTTGGCCAGGCTGGTCTTGAACTCCTGGCCTCGGAGTGATCTGCTCGCCTTGGCCTGCCAAAGTGCTGGGATTACAGGCATGAGCTGTCGTGCCCAGCCTCCTTTCTGTTTCTTGACTGCATGGGGCATGCTTTATAGGGCCTTTGCACTAGGATGGTATCTGCCTGCATCCCTCCTCCCACTCATAGCTTCATAACTCATGTCTTCTTCTCCTTCAAATCTTTGCTTAAAGGTTACCTTCCAAGGAGGCCTTCCAGATCCCCTAGCTCTGACAGCCCAGAGACCTCTTATCCCTCCTAACTTCTTTCCTTCGTGTTCACCTTCTAACCTTCACCACTTTCCTTCACCACCTTCTAACTTACATATCATTTTTTCTTTTTTTTACGTTTTTTGCTTGTTCATTTTATCTATTCTCACCCCTACCACACAGCTAGAATGTAAGCTCCATGAGGGCAGGAATCTTTGTCTGGTTTATTCACTGGTGCATACCAAGCATTCGAACAGTCTCAGTCACATGGTAGGCACTTAGTAAATATTTGTTGAACACATGTTATTAGATGAAGATGACAAGAGATTATGTATGTCAACCTGTCAATGCCAAACTCCAGAAGAATTTGGTAGATGAGGATGATGGTGGTGATGGTGATGGACAGTCATCTCAGCCACCCATGTGACTAGTGCAGCCTTGCAACATGACAGTCGAGGCAAGGCAGTGGCCAGTGGATGTGGGACTCAAGACAGAGGGGTTTTTTGTTTGTTTGTTTTTTTAAAGATTTAAGGAGAGAGAAAGAGGAGAGGGAGATTTGAAGGAAATACTTTATCCCTGGTTGAAGAGGAATAAATTACAAGGCTGGACACATGGCTATGCAGATAGTAGATGCTCAGTAAACCTGTGGGGTGAATGCACAAATCCCTTGCAGAACTGACTTGGCAAACTGGCCAAGCAGCCTTAGTGAGAAGTTTGAAGGCTGGATTGAAATAGGGATGTGGGAAGGCACACTCTCCCAAGGCTGGACAGAGGAGGCAGCCTGCAGTGTCCTCTGCCTGGACAGTGTCTTAAGGTAACACCCTCTGTTCAGCATCACTCCCTCCCACCTGGTACTTCTGTGTCTAGGGTCCCTGGAGAGTGAGGGGTGGGGGTAGGCTGAAGTGAAGACCTGCATCTCTGGAGAGCCCCAGGTTCCTCCACCTCCATAGCATTTCTCCTTCATGAAAACCTGGTGTTTGGGGATATGCAATGTCAGCGGCTGCCTCAAACTCTTCATCTTGCAAATAGAGTGATGGGTAATTTCAGGTTTGGAATTGGATTCCTTGATTTCTAACGTGCTAAGAGTGAAGCAACTTGCCAGCTTTCCATACATCTGGCGCTCCCATCCTCCACCGCCCCCACCTCAGATGGGAAACAGGGCCACGTGAGGTGTACCTTTTTCAGTATGTTATCGTGGAACAGCTATTTCCTCCTCCTCGTTCATCTTTTCCATTCACCAGCAACATCCCAGGGCCCCGTGGAGAGGAACCTGCCAGGCTGAGACCTGTGAGGTGGGAGCAGCAGGCAGGTCAGGTCCTGCGTCTCCTTGGCCACCGCCTCTGACCTGTCCAGGCAGGCTCCTGCCTCCGGACCCCTAGAGAAGTAAAGGTCAGTCCTTGCCTCTACCTGAAGCCCGTGTGGCTTAGAACAGCGGACAGAAAACCAAACTCACACAGCCACAAAATAACTAGAACAACAACATTCAAGTAAATACATAGCTGATCTCAGGAGAGAAAAGGTCTGCCTAGGTATAAGGTCAAAGGACAAAGGGATAAAAAGAAAGAGGGATGTGAATTACAACAACATTTGAAACTCTGCACTTTAATTGCCATAAATAAAATAAAAGCCCCACGACAAACCGAGAGAACATATGTGCCACAAATATGCAAAGCATTATTATCTTTATGCATAAAGGGCTCTTATAAATCAGCAAGAAAAAGATGAATAGCCTATTTTTTTTTTTAAAAAAAAAGGATGTTAATGGGTGATTATAGAAAGAAGAAAGTTCATTAAAAATATGGGGGAAGTTCCATTCCATTTACAATATAAAAAATGTGATTTTAGAAAATAGTATATAACTTTATTTAAAAATCAACTAAATGACAGTTTGTGTTCTTTTCTTAAAAGAGTATACACCGCAGGCAAAAGTACAAATTGCTTCAACTTTTCTAGATGAATCTGATGATTCAATAATGCCTATCAAAGTCATTAGCATGTCCATTGTGTTTGAGCAGTAATTTTAGCTCTAGGAATTTATTCTAATCTGATTACTTAATCAGAGAAACACATAAAAATTTATGTAAAAGGATGTTCATTGTAGTATTATTTAAAATAGCGGGAAAGAAAAGAAAATCGTCTTAAATGTTCAACAATAGATTGGTTAAATAAAATGTGCTCTATCCATATGAAAAAGTACCATATAGCCATTAAAAAGCATGGTCTTGAAGAATATTTAAGGCTGTTGGAAGATCTCACAATATATTTTTAAGCGAAGGAAGCCAAATGATAAAATAGCCATTTAACAATAGTTCCAGTTTTCAAAAATTTATATCTTTTATGCATGCAAAAATAAAAAACTAGGCGAACGGAGAATATATCAAAATGTTAACATTGGATCTCCTTGAGTGTTGAGACTAAGGGTGATTTTTATTTTCTCCTTTACACTTGTCTGTAATTTCCATATGTTCTCCAATGAATGTGTATTACTTTAATAAGAAGGAAAAAATGCTATGGGGGACGGGGGGTGAACGCTAAGAGGAAAAGGCTTCAGCTACCCAAATGGTCTGAGTGCTGGTTGCTGTGGAAACTGTAACTTTGAATTGCCCAACTTTTTGTGAATTACTTTCCTGCCCTGCAGGGTTAATGCTGGTGCTGGATTCAGCATCATCCAGGCGTGGGCACAGGTCTAGGGGTGGTAAAAACTGAGGGACTCTGCCTCCAGCCAAGGTCCACGAAGAAGCTCCCTCAGCCTTATCCTGGCTCCTTCTCCTCTTCCAGGTACGGAGAGCCCTGGGGTCCCTCAGCAGGTACTGAGGCACAAGCTGCCTCGTGTGCAGATCAGCCAGGGAGCCGGGAAGCAGCCTGCTGCTTCTCTAAGCAAGGTTCCCCCAGCCTCCGTGGAGTATTTGATGTTTCTCATTAATCAGCCTTGCCCCACTCTCAGCCTGGCATCTAAAAATAGGGTCTCAGTCACAGTGGCAGGAGGCAGGGCAAGCAGCTTTAGTTTTCTTTTTGTGATGATGAACAAAGACAGGAACTCAACTGAGTCCAGGGGCAGGTCACTGAAGTTGGGCATCTAAGCAAAAGTCCCACTCCCAGCTGGAGCCTTGACCATTGGCTCTGTCTTGCCTGCCTGCTCTTTGCCATGGGAGAGCAATATCTGCCTTGAAGGAGGTCAAAGAGGATGCCCTGGAAGCGGAGAGGCTGGGTACCAGGTAACCCTGGCCCAGTTGCAAGGGCACTTTCCTATGCCTATTCTGGGAGGATGGATATCTTGCTGCCATTTGCGAATGCTTCTCGGAGCTCTAGGGTGTAGAGAACGGGTTGATTTATAGATCGAGGCAGCTACAAGTTGGAATTTTAAAAAGCAATGTGTCCTTTGAGCAGGAGCCCGGGCTGGGGGCTTTGCAGGCTGTTGCTTTGTCCCAGGGACCAGATGGAACTTGTTTTTCTGCACACTTGGGGGTTTAACCCTTCACGCACTCCCTCCCCTGCAGCCCCATTCAGGAACTGCTGCCTCTGGGGGTGAGGAGAGAGACTCCACACATTTGAACCTCAGTTGTGTTTCTTAGAAATGCCTCGTCTTTCAATCCCCTGCCTTTGCCCAATTATTTTGTTTTATTTGGCACACACTGACATGTGCCAGACACTGTTCTAAGTGCTTTAGAAATATTAGCTCATTTACTCTTCACAACCATCATTATCCCCGTTTTATAGATGAGAAAACTGAGGTACACATAGGTTAAGCAACTTGTCCAAGGTCACACAGTTCATGAGTGATGAAGCCAGGATTTCAACGCCAGCTGTCTGTTTCCCAACTTTACTCACAATATCATGGCTGGCTCTCAAATAACAGGTAAATGAGTCCTGCTCTCAACATTTCGCGGTTTCCGGGGTGATTCTTCTTGCTTAAGCTATGGGAGTAGAAGGCTATCAGAGCGAGATGGAATCCAAGTTTCAGGTTGTACCTGAAATACCACTGCCATCTTTTCAGGCCCGTCAGGCTATTACAAGGCCCTCCTATTTATGAGGTCCCTACGGTGTAATGAGAAAGGTCCAAGGTTCAACGCTCACCTCCACCCCACTCCCCAACCCCTACAGCGTGTGGGAACGCAAGGCTATGCTGCAGGATCTGGGATCCCTGAGTTTGGAGCTTCTGTTCTCCTGGAAAAGTTCCAGGTATGTCCAATGCATTCTCCCTCCAGTAGGGGTCCTGGGACCTGCCTTTTGACAAACTCCCTTGATCTTTTTTGTAGCAGAACCCTCAGGGCTGTTTGATCCTCTGTGACATGTTGGAAACTTAACTCCTCCTGGGCAGAAGCTGTTTCTGACCCTGGGGAAGTTTGCAGAGACAGGAGCTGGACAGAGACCAGAGCTGAGATCTCAGCATTCATCGGGTCCAGGGCTGATGACAGAGCTGAGGCTAGAGTCCAGGTGTCCAGGCCACCCAGGCTGTGCAGGAGGGAGAGGTTGCCTGGGGAGAGGCTAACCAGGCATCAGATCCTACATGAAGCAACATGGGGCTTGTCATATCCTCACCAAGGTCTCATGGACACATTCAGAGCACCCTATCTGCCTCATGCCATAAAGCTACCAGGTGATCCAGGGAACTTGGTGTGGTCCATTACGGACATGACATGGGGGTTGGAGTTAGGACGTAGGATTTTAAAATTTATGTAGGTTTTGTTTTTGTTTTTTTGAGACGGAGTTTCACTCTTGTCATCCAGGCTGGAGTGCGATGGGGTGAACTCGGCTCACCGCAACCTCCGCCTCCTAGGTTCAAGCAATTATCCTGCCTCAGCCTCCTAAGTAGCTGGGATTACAGGCGTGCACCACCAAGCCCGGCTAATTTTTGTATTTTTAGTAATTTTTGTATTTTTAGGGGTTTGTCCATGTTGGTAAGGCTGGTCTCAAACTCCTAACCTCAGGTGATCCACCCGCCTCAGCCTCCCAAAGTGCTGGGATTACAGGCATGAGCCACTGCGCCCGGCTAAAATTTACGTAGGTTTTTAAAATTAAAAATGGCAATGCAGTAAAGCCGCACTTGGGGATGAGCTGTTCTTTCTAAGCTCATCTTCTGGATAGCTGACTGGCTCATTCATGTACTCAAACTTCTTATTTGAATCATTTGTAATGGCAGTCTTTCTAAAACATGACACATGGCCATGTCTTCTTAAACAGAGTCTAATGAACATGATTTAACCTTTGTTAAATGATGCAGTGTCATCATTGTAAACATCTGTCACAGAACGGTGCCCTCGCTAAGTACAAGTATTTCTTTTCAACAGTGGCCAGAGTTACTGACTTGTATTCTCACCAGGGTTCTGTCAGCGTGCTCCTACACAGCCTGCAAATCCCCCAGCCCGGGATCCTTTGAGTAGGTTTGGCCTTGCCCTGGAGAGGAGGTTTTCCTAGTTCTCAATCACCTATGACAGGGAATTAGGACTCTGGAGGTTGCCTTAGTCGAGCTGCACAGTGTGGAGAGTCGGTGGGCAGTATTAAAGATGACTTTAGGTGGACCAGGAGGGGCTGCGTCCCTCCCCAGAGGTTAGAAGCTGAAGATCAACACAACACACTCCCTGCAGGACCGATCCTAGGTAGTTCCAAGAGGGCAGAGAGAGTCATCCTCACAACTGAATCCCCGAGGCCTAGGACTCTGCTGACACAAGACAGAGTCCCGATCCATCTTCACTCATCACGTCTATAATAAGCCAATGGTGATTTTGCACCAGATCATCTATTTCGTGTCACTGTCTTCGCTTGCTTCCCTCTTGCTGCCTACAAGTCTTCAGTGAATACGTGTTGCCTCTCTTGTTTCACCAGCTGCCCCACCCAATGTGAAAATTCTTTCTCTGGAGCCAGGCCTGTCCGTGGAATATAGGTTTTATTTTACGTTCATAAGAAGGCAGAAATTTTCTTAGTTCATGCACAGTGATATCTATGGGGACCAAGCAAATGTGTAGGGCTATTGCTTCTACACAAAACCACCCCAAACTGCTAAAATTATTTTTAAACATTTTATCATCCTCCTGTCATCTGTCACTTCTTGCTGCTGTCAAGGCTGATTAGTGTCCTTATGGTCCTTCTGATGTGTGGCGGTGTGGGAAACCTGAGAGCTGACTATGTCAGAATTATGTCTAAACTAAGAGTAAATAGGCTTAGAATGAGGATGTGAGTGAAGTGCCTAGTTTTAGCCTGTGAGCCCTGTGACGCATATAAAATGCCTTCTGGTGTATTTTTCACAGGTGGGGCCAGGAAATCAGCATAGGATAGACAGATCTGAGTTCTGTATCCAACTAGCTTAAGTTTCTCAACCTCCTAGGCTAGTTCTCTCATCTGTAAAAGGAAATAAGATATCTTTTTTTTTTTTTTGGAGACAGAGTCTCACTCCATTCTCCATTACCCAGGCTGGAGTACCGTGGCATGATCTTGGCTCACTGCAACCTCTGCCTCCTGGGCTCAAGTGATTCTGATGCCTCAGCCTCCCAAGTAGCTGGGATTACAGGCGCCTGCAACCACGCCTGCCTAATTTTTGTATTTTTAGTAGAGACAGGGTTTCACCATGTTGGCCAGGCTGGTCTCGAACCCCTGGCCTCAAGTGATCCGCCCACCTCAGCCTCCCAAAGTGCTGGGATTACAGGCGTGAGCCACTGCGCTCGGGTCAAGATAATAATCTTTGTAATGGGCACCAAGGGCATCAAAGGAGAAAATGTACTTCAAGGAACCAATTAGAGTATTTGGAGCTCTTTCCGTAGTAGGTGCTCACTAAAGTCGTCTCACACCCCTCCCCAACCCTTCCCCATTCTTAACTGTGCTGTGGGATTCGTGACCTCCCGATAAGTCATTCTTACTGTGCCTTACATTTAGAGAGCCTGTCACATGTTTCCAGCCACTTAGCCTTGTCTCATGGTAGTCCTGTGGGCTTGGTGCTGTAGGTCTCCTGCTCCTCAGTTTGCAGACAAGAAAGTTGAAGCATAGATAAGGCTCTTGCCAGAGGTCATGCAGGCAGGTGGTGATAGAGCCCAAACCGCAAGCCAGGTCTCCTTCTTGTTTTTCTGGAGCTTTCTTTGTGCTATGCTCCTCCCGTTGTCACTCACCTTGACTGCGGGTGAGAAGGGTTAACCTCTCCACGTTCTTGATCTCCTCATGCATAACATGGGCAAATAAAACATTCCTGGTCATCCCTTCTGTCCCAGGGTTCTTAGGTGGCTCAAGTGACATAATGCCCACAAAAGCTCTTTGAAAAATGAAAAGCAGTGCATGCACGAATTCTGCGATTTCTCTGCAATATTTTAATTTCCTTTCTAGCATTGAGCAGATGAGATGCCTGGCACCCTCCTCTCTCTCCTCCTCACCCTGGCTAGGGAAAAAGTAGCCAGGAGTCATAGCCACTTTGCCGAGATGAGAGGCACCACTGCCAGGTGCTGCTCAGCAGACGCCATGGTAACGGGGTGAGTCGCAGGTTCCAGAAGCCCAGGATCAGGCTTAATAAGCAGGGTGCACCTAAAGAACCTCCCAGAACAGCATGCTAACCAACACACTTCTTTTGCCCCCTGCAAAAGCAGGTTCCTTTTCATGTGTGGCTTTTCCGAATTAATGATTTTGGAGGCTCAGCTCCCTCATGGAAGCCCTTTGGGACCCTCAGATAGGGACATGAGAGCCATTCTCTCTGCCTTTCCATGGGCCAAGGCTCCACAGACAGGAGCTGGCACTTGCCTGCAGAACCTTGGGTTGGGGAAGAGGCAATGATGGCCAAATGCCCCCGGCAGCCCTTGGCTCCCTGAGTCTGTGTGCAGCCTGCATAGGGCAGATTTTCTACCTCCAGAGAGCTGGGCTGGCAGGGCTATATTCTTTATGTATCATCATCATTTAATCTTCCCAACAATGCTTTGAGGTAGGAACTGCTACTTCCCCCATTTTCCAGATGAAGAAGCAGGTGTGTAGCTTGTCCAGGGTCCTAGATCGCCAGCTTCAGAGGCTGTGAATGAACCACCGTGCTGTACCGCCTGTCTGGGACAATGGACTTTAGTTAGCCAAGCCACACCTCCTTGGAACTATCCACAGCAGGGACTAGCAAAGGGATACTGGGACTCAGTTTCTTTGCCAGGCCTAGTTTACAGGGTGGGGCCCGTCCCTCTCTGCCTTCCTGAACTTCTCCCTCCTGGGCAGTAAGGGGGCCTCCTCAGGACCCAGCCCCTCCAAATTCACCCCTTTATCATCCCGCAACCTGCCCTGCCCCTCAGCCTGGATTTCAACCACACATTTTCTGTTACAAGGAGTATCTCCTCTATGCCAGGTCATCGAGAAGGACTTACTAACTCCAGAGGATAAAGAAAGGGACAAAGAGGAGCTAACAGCCAAGGGGCCACCTCTAGCTTTCACTTGGGTGTGCAGGGCGTGAGGGGAACATTCCCTCGGGCATGAATGTCTATGGTTATCTTTCTAAACTTACCGCAAACCAGAGCTTGGAGCACTTTGATTGAGAACCTGAGTATTAGATTGAGCCACTGATGGCTGGCTGGGAGGATTGAGTGACCATTTTCTGTGATGGTGTCTTAGCTTGGGGTTCCATAACAAAATACCATAGACTGGGTGGGTTTTTTTTTTTTTTTTTTTTTTTTTTTTTTTTTTTTTTTTGGGGTGGAGTCTTCCTCTGTCGCTCAGGCTGGAGTGCAGCGGTGTGATCTCGGCTCACTGCAACCTCTGCCTTCCAGGTCCAAGCAACTCTCCCACCTCAGCCTTGCAAGTAGCTGGGATCACAGGCACCCACCACCACACCTGGCTAATTTTTGTATTTTTGGTTGAGACAGGGTTTCACCATATTGGCCAAGCCGGTCTCAAACTCCTGGCCTCAGGTGATCCACCCGCCTCGGCTTCCCAAAGTGCTGGGATTACAGGCGTGAGCCACTGCGCCTGGCTGGCTGGGTGGCATTAACAACAGACATTTATTTTCTCACTGTTCTGGAAGCTGGAATTATGAGATCAAGGTGCCAGAAGATTCAGTTTTTGATGAGGGCTCCCTCCTTGGCTTGAAAACGGCTACCTTCTCACTGTGTCCCGACGTGGTGGAGGTTGAGAGTGAGGTCTCTGGGGTCTTTTCTTATAGGGGTACTGATCCCCTCATAAAGGCCCCACCCTTATGACCTAATCACCTCCAAAGGCCCCACCTCCAAATACCATCACACTGGGGGTTAGGGCTTCAACATAGGAATTTTGGGAGACATGGTTCATTTCATAGCATATGGGAAAGGCTGAGGGAAGAGCAGGTTTAGGAGATGAGTACAAGAGCTCAGGGCCTCTGATCTGGACATGGTGAGTGTGAATCCAGGGAGAGATGTTAAGCATTTTTTTAATGAGTTTGATGTTTAAAGGAAACATCTGGACTGGAGATAGAAATGGTTTTGAAACTCACCTCTCCAAGCCAGTTTACTCAACTATAAAATGGAACTAATAATACCCATCTCATAGGTTTGTTGTAAGGTTTGAATAAGAAAAGCAAAATACTCGGTGGTATTTTTACACATACTAAAACCAGAGAGCTAGGTCTTAAGAGTCAAATGGCAGAGATAAGCCTGAGTAAGACGATGAAAGGGTTTGTTTTTGGTGCCTCAGTACTCCACATAGTGTGTCCTTTCCCACAGCTCTCTTCTCCTTCGACAAGCAGTATCTTCATTCTCCTCTACCTCCCCTCCTCCATCCATATCTGTGCTTCTGAACGCATCACATCCCGTTGCAGTGTGGTGACTGATAGCAGCTTACAATGTGATCTGTCCCCAGGGACTTTGCATGATAGGAGTCTGAACAGTCTTAAATTTAAAGAAGATGGAAGAGGAGGAGAAGAAAAGGGGCTGTATTTTCTCAATTAGCAGAAAAAACAGATTTTACTCAATTTTGAATGTTTCTCCTATGCCTCAAAAAAATCTTTCCCACCTCTCAATGTCTACGCTAAGCCGTAGTATATTTGGATTATATATATATACATACACACACACACACACACATACACACAGATATATGTGTATATATATAACACGCAAATATATATAGATAGGTATAGATATATTATCCATTTTAGATTTAGCTATATATAATATCTAAATATGTTATATATAAAAATATCCAAATATACCATATATATTATATATATTAGAGATGAAGAGAGAGAGAAACTATCAAGTACATCAGTATACATAGAGAACTAGTGAGTTAAAGGGAAGAGACACTAACTGTGGATTTTAAGGCGTCATATAACAGGTCATGACATAGTTGAGGCACCTGACACCTTCAAAATTCTGCCTTATCATAAGTTGTCACCTTGCAACCTCTGTGTAATGCTGTTTCTACCAAGGGCTGAACGAGGCATGGGAGAGTCTGTGTCACTGCTGAGCCTTAGCTTGAACAGTAATAAAGAGGCCAAGGACTGCTGGGGTAAATGAGAAATGAAATAGGTAACGTGGTTCTCCAGATACCCAGAGCCAGAAAATGCTGAATCAGAAACACAAAATGTCAGGAAAGTGAGAGTAGGAGTGCGCCTGAGTGAGCCTCAAGAAACCCCTAGCAGGTGAGGTGGAAGGAACCCCATCACTGGGATGAGGAGGGGAGATCAGGGAAGACTCCCCTTAGCCTGAGGATGGCTCTGAGCAAACACGTTGGAGCCTGGATAATACCCCACTGAACACTGCAACTATCGGTTAAAGGAGCCATTGGAGTAAGAATTGATAGGTCAGCGGGAGCAAAACTCAACCATTCCTGATTAATTAGTATTACCGTGGCCTATGTATTTCTCTAGTTCAGATCTTCATCAGATCACACTCCAGCTATGACAGTGATTGTCCAAGCTCCATTCCCTGTCTCTCCTCCCAGACTAGGACATCTTCTTCTTCTGGGTTCCCACATCATTCTAGGTTCCAGTGGCACTTTTCTTACTTGATGCAAGGATGTGGGATTTGGGAACATGGTTTCATCTCTCCAACCACAATACCAGCAACTTTCAGGCAACTGTCTGATGCCACACAGCAAATCTGCCCCAGGGCAGAGGGGGCAGTAGGTAGGCAGTAACTGGGAGCACAGGCAGAGAGGCTGGCATGAAGAAACCTGCCCATGGGAAGCAGGGCCAATGCCACCTAGGCTGGGTTCAAGGATGTGGCCAAAAAAGCAGAACTTCCGACAAACTTGGAAAACTAGTCAGGTTACTGAAACAGGAACTTAAGCTTCTCAGCAAATTAGACGTAACATATAAACTGGAAAAATCAGTGAACTTGAAGATAGAGCAACAGAAATGATCTAAAGAAATATAAAGAGAGAAAAGAAGGCTGGGGGACAGAACAGAGCACCCAAGCATTGTGAGACAACATAAAATGGTCTAACATATGTATAGTTGGGATCTCATTAAGAAAAGAGAGCAGAGTAGAACTATTTGAAGAGATAATGACCAAGAACTTGTTAAAGAAAGGCAACATACCACAAGTCCAAGATACTCAGAGAACCTTAATCAGAATTTTTAAAAAAATCCACCTAGATGTGTCATGATCAAACTGCTAAAAACCAAAGATAAATTCTGAAGACAACCAAGGAAAACAGAATGCCGGTGTCCCCCTCACCAAAGCATGTCTAAATGCTTGTGAAGAAAGTATGTTCTCCTGGGACAGAGTGAAGGAGGGTATGTGGGGAACACATGTGTAAGCCCACCCCAACATTATTATGCCTCTCCAGGTATTAAGATTCCTTGCTTTATATCAAGGAACTTCTGTCACCTTAGCTTTATTTAGTATAGGATGCCATTCAGTTCAGGTTTCATTTCAGATAACCCACTGAGTGAACAGAACCATACCCAGATGATCCAGCCAGTACTTTGGATCCAGAATCCATATTGATCAATATGGCCCAATTGAAAATGATCTTCTTTCCTCCGTGATCAGCACCTTACTATACATTTCTCAGATTTCTGCCAATAAATATTAAAAAACAAATGGCACCTACTTTGGTGTGAAAGTCTACTGTTTCAGAATCAGACTTTGTGCTTGTCTCCCTTGGCCATGCTGAAATCTGATTCTAGAATAGGTCAGGAGCAGCCAGGGGTGGTAAGTGTCGACCTCAGGGAGAATCAGGATTCTCTTGCAAGACAGGACCTGGGGAAAAGGGGCAGCTTCTGCTGGAAAGGGAGGCTCAGCAGGGTCTAAGACTCAGTTATATGAATTCAGCATCCCCATTCACAGGGTTCCATCTTTCCCAGTCAACACCATCTCCCATAAGAGACCTGATGAGGCTGTGAACTTAACTTAGGTTGTAATTCTACAACCTGCTGGGTCAGACTTCACTTCTGATTTCAGTTTTGTTGGCCCTGAAACTACAAACCGTGGGAGATTCTTTCAGGATAGTCTTAACTGTTCCTTGCTCTTCTGATTGAGCCTTGAGCCAAGAATTTATTACTATTTTATTTTATTTTTAGAGACAGGGTCTCACTCTGTTGCCCAAGCTGGAGTGCAGTGGCATGATTACGGTTCACTGCAGCCTTGACCTCCTGGAATCAAGCAATCTTCCCACCTCAGCCTCCTGAGTAGCTGGGACTACAGGCACATGCCACTATGCTTGGAATTTTTTTTATTTATTTTTTATTTTTTGTAGAGACAGGGTCTTACCATGTTGCCTGGGCTGGTCTCGAACTCCTGGGCTGAAGCCATCCATCTGCCTTGGCTTCCCAAAGTGCTGGGATTATAGAGTGAGCCACTATGCATGGCTGTGCCAAGAATTTAAACCTCAAGCTTCTAACCATTTTTCTTTACTTTTCCCACTTCTGGCAGAAGAAGTCATCTTATTCCAACATCTTTATATTCATCATTCTGACATAATAATCTATCGTGCAATTCCGCCAAACTCTTATCTTCAATGGGTACTTTGTTCTAGGTAATCACACTTGATAATCAAGATTATTTTGCTACTATATGCCGCGGGCTGCCAGTGACACATTTGCTAATGGTAACCTGTGCTCTCATCTTCACTGGTTTTAAGCAATTTGATTGTGATGTGTTTGGTGTAGTTTTCTCATGTGTCTTGTGCTTGGCATTTCTTTGGTTGGGCTTCTGGGATCTGTGGGTTTACAGTTTTCATCAAATTAAGACATTTTTCAGCCATTATGTCTTCTAATATTTTTTCTAATATTCCCTAAAAGGGAATTTTAGGGACTCCTATTGCATGTATATTTGGCTACTTGAAGATGTCCCACAGCTCACTGATATGCTATTCTGGTGGGTTTTTTTCAGTCTTTTTTCTCTCTGTGTTTTATTTTGAATAGTTTCTATTGCTGTGTCTTCAAGTTCACTAATATCTTATTCTGTATAGTTAACCTTCTGTTAAATCTCATCCAGTGTACTCTTCATCACAGACAATGAAATTGTTATCTCTTCAAATCTGAATTGGGTCTTTAAAAATATTTTCTATGTCTCTGGGAATATATAAGCCTTCCCCTACCTTCTTGAACACATGGAATATAGTTATAATAACTGTTTTAATATATTTGTGTACTAATTCCATTGTCTGTATCATTTCCCAGTCTATTTCAATTGATTGTTTTTTGTCCTTGTTATGGTTTCTATTTTCCTGCTTCTTTACATGTCTAGTAATTTTTTTAGGTGCCAGACTTGTGGATTTTTACTTCATTAGGTGTGAAATGTCATTATAATCTCATAAATATTCTTGAGCTATGATCTGGCATGTGGTTAGGCTCACTGAAAGCAGTCTGATCCTTCTCAAACTTGCTTTTAAACTTTGGTAAATAGGACAAGAGCAGCGTTTTTCTAGGGCTAATTTTGCCCCACTGCTGAATACTCTCCCTGCTGCCCCAGGAATTCTGTGGCATTTTTACTCTGCCTGGTGGGAATACAAATTTATTCTCAGCCTTGTGTGAGCCCTGTAGACTTTTCTGTCTGTTTCTTTCAGGGAATTATTTCTTTGGACTCAGTTTTCTCACATGCGCATGCTGATCTGTACTCATCTGAAGACTCAAAGAGGACCTTCTGCAATTTCCACAGTTCTCTCCCCGCACAGCTGCCTCTGCCTTGTGAATCATGACCACCTTAACCCCCTTGGACTTGAGCTCTATCTCCTCAACTCAAGGTGACTGTCAGGTTTCCTGGGTTCTCTCTTTCTGTACTGCTGCCTAGAAACTCTATCAGGCAGTAAGTTGGGGTGATTGTAAGACCTTCATTTGTTTCCCCTCTTTTGCTGATTACTGCCCCACACTGCCTGAAGTTCAAAATCTGGAAACCATTGTTTCATGTATTTTGTTCGGTGTTTTCATTGTTTCAGGTGGTAGGGTAAATCTGGTTCCTGATACTCTATCTTGGCTGGAACCAGAAGATCTTTACCTGTCTTCAAATCCAACCAGACAGATAACCAACCCCAAACATGAGGCTCTGTAGCCTACAACCTCTTCTACTTCCAAAACATGATGTCAGTCCGTGTTTACTTGCAGAAAATGGAAACCATACTCTAGCTTTTTTTAAGCAGAAAACTAGTTAATACAGAAAATTGTTAGATGGGCTGAGAAGTAGGCTGTAGCTTAGGCCTCCAGGAATTATTCCACCAGGAATGAAGCCACCAAACTGGCCTACCAGAGGTAAGTATGGAGTTTTTGTTTTGCAAGATGAAAAGCATTATGCAGATGGATGGTGGTGATGCTACACAGCAGTGTGAATGGACTTCACACTACTGAATTATACACTTAAAAACCATTAAGATGGTAGATTTTAAATTATGTATATTATGCCATGATTTTTAAAACAATCCATACGTGTCATTTAAAAATAATTTAGAAAAGATATTACTTAGAAAACTATTCAGATATTTTAGCATTAAATAGGCTGACTACTAAAGTTTTATTTCTCACAAGTTGACTCAATGAAGTGTGACTCTTAGTCCCTCTACTTTCTCCTTCCCTGGTTTCTTTTTTTTTTTTTCTGAGACGGAGTCTTGCTCTTTCGCCCAGGCCGGACTGCAGTGGCGCGATCTCGGCTCACTGCAAGTTCCGCCTCCCGGGTTGACGCCATTCTCCTGCCTGAGCCTCCTGAGTAGCTGGGACTACAGGCGCCTGTCACCATACCCGACTAATTTTTTGTATTTTTAATAGAGACGGGGTTTCACCGTGTCAGCCAAGATGGTCTCGATCTCCTGACCTCGTGATCCGTCCGCCTCGGCCTCCCGAAGTGCTGGGATTACAGGCATGAGCCACCATGCCCGGCCCTTCCCTGGCTTCTTAAGCTGAGAAGGAGGCTGTGGTCCATGGTGGGAGGATGATGAGGAAGGGTCAGAAGACCCTGTTATAATCCCAGCTCCATTCCTCCTCTGCTGTCTGAGGCGGGCCCACCTAAGTGGGCTTCACTAAGGGCTTTAGCTATCTCTCTGAGACTTCCCTATAAATAAATGGAACATTTGCCCACAGGACCCTGAATTTTGCATCAGGAGCTTCCCATTTTGTGCTAGAGACAGTACTATGCCTAACTGTATTGTCATCCCCACACCCAGACTCCTCCTTCCCCCAAACAGCTTTGTCTTCTGAGTGGGATGAATCACACCAGCCCAAGAGGCCAAAATGAACACTTCTTGGATTTGTTACTTGGGTTTCATTGGAGGGAGATGAGGATGTGGGAGACAGCAGGTGAGGTAGGACAGAGGGCAGGAGGAGCCTGGTTCCATGGCTCCCACCCCACTTTCTGCCCTGGCATCTTCCTATGTGTGAGCCACTTATACTGGCTTTGCCTTGACTGCCACATAAGCATTCATTCATTCATTCATCTGGCAAGTGCATATGGAAGAAATATATAACACAGCTGACCTTTATTGGACATCTGGTATTGTGTCAAGGTCATTATGCTGCATATGTTATCCTATTTAATAAGATGGGAAGGGCCGGGAGCAGTGGCTCACGCCTGTAATCCCAGCACTTTGGGATGCTGAGGTGGGCAGATCATGAGGTCAGGGGTTCAAGACCAGCCTGGCCAACATGGTGAAACCCCATCTCTACTAAAGATACAAACAATTAGTCGGATGTGGTGGTGCACACCTGTAATCTCAGCTACTCGCAAGGCTGAGGCAGGAGAATCACTTGAACCTGGGGAGGCAGAAGTTGCAGTGAGCTGAGATTGCTCCATTGCATTCCAGCCTGGGTGACAGGGTGAGACTCCATCTCAAATAAAAAAAAGAAAAGGGGGAAGATGTTGAGGAAAGAACTTTATTCCCAAGTTACTAGTGAGGTTCAAGAAGGTAAAGTAACTTGCCTAAGACCAAGCATGCTTGCCGGTAAAAGTCAGGACTCAAACCCATGTTGTCTAATTCCAAACTCTGTGCGCCACACTGCCTGCTACCTGCCACCTGCCAGGCGGCCTCTGAACATAGTGACCTCTAGACACACTCTGTCTGGTGGACAACACAGTGTGATGTGGCAAGTGCCACTATGAAGGTGTGCCCCACAGTGCTACTGGGGCACAGAGAGGGGAAGCTGGGAGTTTGAAAGATAGGGCTAATGATACCTTCCCCATGTAAATAATGGAGAATGGAGAATGCACCAGATTTCACCTTGGGGTCTTTCCAACGCTGAAATTTGTAAGTCTATGACTTGAGGTTGCTTAT